>NC_000001.11:115614441-115917471 GCF_000001405.40 Homo sapiens | reverse complement strand
CCCCTACCCTAAATCTTATATTGTTCTTATAAAACTTTGGTCAAGAGTAAAAATATATCCAGGCAGATGTATATGTCATACAATAGCAAGAACAGTAAAGCCCAACTAATGACTTTAAAATATAAGACAATTATAATGTACTCAAAGGTACATAAAAAAAAGCTTTCATGGGGGTAATATTGAAACAGTCACAAAGGTTAAGAAAATAGTGATGTCACCTGGGCACCGTGGCTCACGCCTGTAATCCCAGCACTTCGGGAGGCTGAGGCCGGCAGATCACCTGAGTTCGGGAGTTTGATACCAGCCTGACCAACATGGAGAAACCCCATCTTTACTAAAAATACAAAATTAGTTGGGCGTGGTGGCACATGCCTGTAATCCCAGCTACTAGGGAGGCTGAGGCAGGAGAATTGCTTGAACCTGGGAGGCAGAGGTTGCAGTGAGCCGAGATTGCACCATTGCACTCCAGCCTGCGTAACAAGAGTGAAACTCCATCTCAAAAAAAAAAAAAAAAAAAAAAAAAAAAAAAAGAAAAGAAAATAGTGATATCAAAGTACAAATGGCTGCAATGTTAAAATAGACAAAAGCTACTATGCAAGAGCTTCTTTTAAAATGAAAAATATAGAACACAACACATGAGTCGGTGATTTTCCTGTTCTACTCATGAATTTTAGGTTGGTTAGGTTGACATTTAGAAGAGTTTCTTATCACATCTGATGGTGTCATTCCAACTTCGTAGGGTGGGTCTTCCCCAAGGAACCTCTAATCTTGGTTATTGTACAATTTCAAAGTAGTGCAATATCGCCATGATGTGCTGGGTCATGAAGATGTATCCTGCGTATCAATGGAAACCAGCGTGGAATTGAGCACCTTCCGCTCCTCGGGCTCCAGCATGTAGAGCATTGTGACCAGCAGGTGTTGGTAGTAGAACCAGGACATCTACTTCCAGGCCCGCACCAGCTCCATCCCTGCCAGGCGCCTCCTGCGATGAGGTGGCATTTCAGTCTCTCAATGACTAATCTTAAATATGCTATGAATTGATGGCATTCACTATTAACTAATTTGTGATCTATGTCCTCCTTCTAATGGTGTATTATGGTTTATATTATCTTTGTCAATATAAACATTCCTGTCTAATTATAAATTTAAATATTTTACAAATATATTCGTATAACTCATTCTTTTTTATTGATTAGATCATTAAATAATATAAAAGCCTATTTATTATTTCTATTGGCAATTTATCTCTTCCTCTTAATGATTTACTAATTTTGAATTTTTTTTTTTGAGACGGAGTCTCACTCTGTCGCCCAGGCTGGAGTGCAATGGCGCAATCTCGGCTCACTGCAACCTCTGCCTCCCAAGTTCAAGCGATCCTCCTGAGTAGCTGGAATTACAGGCACGGCACCACGCTCAGCTAACTTTTGTATTTTTAGTAGAGATGAGGTTTCACCATGTTGGTCAGGCTGGTCTCAAACTCCTGGCCTCGTGATCCATCCCCCTCAGCCTCCCAAAGTGCTGGGATTAGAGGCGTGAACCACTGTGCCCGGCTGGAAATGATACTTTTTTAAAAAAATATTTTTTAGAGACAGGGTCTCATTCTGTTGCCCAGGCTGGAGAGCAGTGGCAAAATCATAGCTCACTCCATCTTCAAATTCACAGGTTCAAGTGATCCTCCTGTCTCAGCCTCCTGAGTAGCTGAGACTACAGGCACACACCACCGTGCCAGGCTAATTTTGAAATTTTTGGTAGAGATAGGGTCTCACTATGTTGTGCAGGCTGGTCTCAAACTCCTGGCCTCGGCCTCCCAAAGTGTAAGAATTACAGGCATGAGCCACCACACCCAACTGTTTTTTGTTACAGTTTACTGCTAGATATCAGAATTATTTCTATTGACTTTATATGTAAATCTATGAAAAATAGTTTTATTGTATAGTACAAAAACACAATCATGTACACTGCATCTGCATGTGCATTCCCAATAGGAGAGAACTTCCTTTCAATTAGGTGTCAATAGAAACTAAATCCTCTGCTACAATTGATTGGAAAGAATTTTCCACAGACCAGCTTCTGGTTCCAATCCATTTCAAACCTTGCATTTCCTCTACTAGGGTCTCGGATGTATTCATATTGTGATTTAACCTTTAGATATGCCCCTTTATGTTATGACACCAGGTGAGTTTCCACAGTGGGCTGTTGGTATCTTCCTGAAAGCCATTCCTGTAACAGCATTCAGCCCAAAAGAACGTATCTCCAATTCTACTTGCCTTAGCTGCCCCCCCTCCCCAGAATGTCTGCAGCCCCTTGGATGCCACCTGATATAAGGAGAAGTTGGAGTACAAAGAGACAACAGTCTCACCTATTGTGACTACAAAATCCCACTTGTACAAGTTTTGCCAAAACATATGGCAAGTAAATACACTGCTAGGGTTCCTCCTATCAATTTGAGGTGCAGTGAAGCTTGAGCTTTATGATAAATTCACCTCTGGAGTTTGGGGAGGGAATTACTATTTGGAGAACAAGAGACAGGTGGGCCAATGGAGAGTGAAGATGCAATCTGGTTCTGCTGCATGGCTCAAATACTGTGATTCTCTATCCTTAGAATGTCAGAGTCTTCCAACTCCTTGACACGGGATCTAGTGTGGGAACTCAATCAGGGCCTGTCTTAGACTAAATGAAGTAAGAAAAAATATAATCTTTCCCATCTTTTGTTCATTTTCTTGCCCCTTTCACTTCTTTAGGGTTCACTTTTCCTTTTATCTCTTTCAGTCATATAGTGCTCTGTGGAGATTTTCCTTCCTTCCTATAAAAGTTTGCTCTTGGTAAAGGCTCAGATATTTGCCATTCATTCATTCACAAATGTTTATTTTGCATATACAAAAGACTAGGCACCATTTTAGGCACTTAGTCCTTTACTAGGGATAAAGCAGTGAAAAGGACAAAAATATCTCTGCCTCACAAAGGTTATAGTCTGGAGATATTGAGACAGAAAGTAAACAAACGTTCACATTAGCATGGCCAAGTTTTTAGTACCATATTAGTGCTCCTGTGGAAATTTGCATTTGAGGTCATTTACCTCTTGTTAAAGGAGTGTCTTTATTCCAGAGTTAACATAATTTCAGTCAGCAGGCATTTGGGGAAGTATTTCAGATGGGGAAAGGACATTTTCCCAATTCCTTGGAGCTTTCCATTTTTATTTATGTACAAAACTGGTCTTGGTGTACACAAATTAGGCTGACCATCCTCCAGCCCATGCCGCTCCATTTGAAACTGTATTCTTATTGTTAGAACCTCTAGAACAGTCTCTGGTCTCTTGACCAGGGCATCTTGAGGACTGTTTTAAACTGTACCCCATGTCGTATCTACTTATTCTCTTCAAAAGGTCACATGCTAAGTTTAAGTATGACCATGGTAGATCTCTGTTTCTAATAATTTAGATCATTTTTCTTGGTCTTATTCAAACTACCCCATATGATGACAGTCTCTTAGGCTTAGTGCTCAACAGTTTCATAATATAGTCACTCACACTTTAGAGGAAGTCCTCTTACTTCTATTACAATACAGTTGATCATCTTTTCACCCATTTGTCAATATTACATTCTTTTTTTATAAAGGCAGTGTTTAAAATTTTCATTATTAGCACTATGTAGAAGTTCTTCGTTGTTGACAACTTGTATGAGTTACGATTTCTTTATGTGTATGCAACAGAAAATTCAAACTGGCTTCTAAAATAAGATAATAGATGGCTCACAAAGCTGAAGTCCAGAGGTATTTCAGGCTTTCAGGTTGATGGAGTCACGTACTGCGGCCCCATTTCCCGGTAGTTCTCTTAGCTCATCCATTTCCCAACTCACAGCTTCATCCTCAGCCAGGCAGCTGTAGTAGATGGCCTCACATCTGTGGATAGCAATGTTCAGAGACTGTTCCCATGGCTGTCCCTGATGAACAAGGAAATTTTCCCCAGAGGCTCCTAGAATACCTTTCCTTTTGCCTCATTGGCCCAAAGTATCACATATCACATGATCATTTCTGTTCTTTTTTTTTTTTATTCACATGATCATTTCTCAACCAACCACTGACAAAGCACTGAGATGACCAAATCAGGCCTCCCCTGGAATACAGTCTAGGTGGGAAGAAGGGCTCGGGACAGATTCTCCTGAGGCACATGGGCTTCCTGGGGGAGGAAAATGACAGACATAATCAGACTCCTCATAAGAAGGAGTAATGGAAACAGATCCTATGTATCCTTTTACTTCAGTAGTCATGTCATTCTAGTTGCCTCAGTGATATTTTGTTAGTTTCTGAACTTATTTCTCCAGCCTGCAGGTAATAAGACAAGTCTCATGCCAATCAATAACCATAAAAAAGAAGTTAAAATTATGTTCAGTATCTTCTGCCTAAGAAAATGAGCCTGAATGTAGTATGTAGGTGACTAAATAAATAATTTGTTTAAGCTAAGGGAGTTAAATTTTAGTTACTGAAAACATTCCACAGGACTTAGCTGCCAAACTTCCCACTGAAAGGCCTGAGTGATTTTACTGAGTATACTTTCCATACAGAAGGAGCCTTTGCCAATCCCGTCCCATGATAGGATCACCGTTATTGGGTTTAACCTGCACCTTGAGGTGTTTTGGACAGCTGAGGCGCTTGGTCATACTCTCATTCTCTGCTGTCTGCCTTCAGAGGCATTTTCTTTCTTGAGTTAAACCTCAGAGGGCTCTTAAAGTTTCAAGGAGATTTGGTGTTCCCCCTCTCTTTTCTTTGAGAGGAAGGACAGAAACGGGGTATACAGAAATCCTTAACTTTATGTAAATGACCCACCTTTCTTTCTTTCCCTGGAGTGTTATGAAAGTAAGTGTTCTGAAAACATTTTTCAAACTGCTCCCTTGAGGTGTGAAGAAAAGTGCTATCAGTCCCACAGGTTTTCTACAAAAGCTTTTAAATCGGAGGAGGGAGGAAGGGAAAGTAAACACATGCCTCCAGCATTTTTCAGATATTTTGGAATTTAAAAAATATATATCGTTACAGAGATTGTTTTGGTTTTTCACCATCAACTAGTTCACAGGCTGGGCCTGTTGCTGGCTATTGACTTAAGAGGGGCACCTCCTGGGAAAAGGTTAGCACATCAAAGTGGTGTTTGTTAAAACTGACAACGTGATAAACTAGGTTTGTATTTACTCTATCATTACGGAGGATACTTTTAACATCCTTTTGATGTGCTAATAGTCCTTCCTGTGGAAAATTATGCAAACAAAGAAACTATTAATTAGATCAAGAGCAGCAGTCTCTGTAGAACTACAACATGCAGATTTGCTGATGTGGATGGACTTGAGCCAGGCAGTGGCCTTTAGCTGCAAGGGATGCTCTCAGAGGCCAGCTCTCTGTGCACATCTGTACACCCCCGAGTAAGGACTACAAGTCCGCTCACCCATTACAGATTTCCGAGACCTCCATCCTTCAGGGTGGGGCCAGAGGAGGGGTGCTCTGGGTACATTGTTCCAATTCACCTGGGAAGATCAACCACAGGTGGCACTTGAGGAACATGGGGGACTTAGGAAGACAATGTAGAATTTTCCAAAAATCTTATGAATTCCTAAATGGTCATAAGAGCTTTTGTATGGGTTACAGCTTTCTACAGAGGTCAAAAAAGTTTTATTGGAATGAAAAACCAAGAGCCACAAAGATTATGTGGCATGCGGCAGCCCAAGTCTTGGCTGGCTGAGTGCATTTCACTGGTCAACATCTTATGGTCATATGAGCTACCATCTGTAAGGGTAGGGTAACCATTACTATTATCAGGTGACTGATGCTAATTTTGCTCCAAGTTGGGCCTGACAATTTGTATGCTGATGCTCGAGTCACACTGGGAGGGACTATGCTATTCCTTGGTCCCAGGTGTGCTCCAGTTTTATCCACAGCCCCAGTCAGCCCTGACTCTCACTGATGCTTTATTGCACTGGCAGTTTCCATCTCGCTGGCTGCCTGCTCTTCCTGTTGGGTGACTTTTGGCAGCACAGCTGCTGACAGACATTGTGTCACATGCTTTTTTTTTTCTTCTCTTTAGCTCTAGGTTTTATTCTCCCTCCCAAGAGTCAACCCTGCTTGCTTTTTCTTCTGCCCAAGCTTTGAATTGTTCAGGTAAGTCTTCTCTCTTTGCAAAGTTAACATTGTAATGTGTATAGTAACACTCAGTGAAATTTTAGGGAGGAAAGGGAGAAAAAGTGCTTTCCCACAGAAAACCTCATGACTCCCAAGTCTGGAGCAGTCTGACCCCCAGGTAAAATTCTGTATCCTTCTCTTTCTACTCCATTCCAAGCATGATCCAGCTATATAAACTGATGGAAAAAGGCTCCTTTCTCTTTCCATGGGGTATGATTATAAAAGTGCCATGGAGACTTTCTCTCCAACCCCGAGCCATCTTGTTACCTTGAGAAAGCCTTAAAATGCCACCACTTGAGAAGGATTCCTTTGGCCTAAATAAGGTGTTTATCTGGTTAAAATGAATTTTTAAAAGACGGGTCACTTTAGTGTAAGTTAGTCATCTGGGCCCCTTGAGGAGAAAGCTCTGAAGAGGTAAAGGATGTCAGGAGAGCACATTTTGAATAAGTTCTGGAGTGAGGCAAGAGTGGGGATGAGGCTGGGGGAAGTGGATGGCACAGGAGGGAAGGACGTGTTCTCTGTTGATAAGTCTCATCTGCCTCACACCTTTGCCGAGAGTCCACCCTTGATACATTGGCTTCCAAGAACAAGCAGGGCCCTGAGACTCACAGCAGGGGCAGGACTCACCCTGGGTCCTGATGACCTCAAGACCTCAGTAGGATTCTTGGATTCTGCAAAGTAATCAGTTAACTCAATGAAAAAATACTGGGCTCTCTGCTTTGGGGATTTTATTTTATTTTTTAAATTTTAGTTCTTTGTTGAACTGACAATTATTTCTTGGAACTAGCTAAGTATGTCACTGAGCAGTCTGGCTGCTTTGCTGAAGAATCGCAGATGAATGACATGACCAGTTCTTTTGTTCGTGTGTAACCACAGCCTTGAAAAACCAGGCTCTCTTAATGCACCAGCAGGGCCTCTGGGAATATGGCCTAGTCCTAATTTTTTCATCTGCAAATGAAGATCATAGTAACTCCTACCTTGTAAAGTTCTTTTTTTGTTGTTGAGACAGGGTATCACCCTGTCATCCCAGCTGGAGCACAGTGGCATAAACATGGCTAAATGCAGCTTCAACCTCCCATGCTCAATCAATCCTCCCAGCTCAGCCTCCTGAGTAACTGGGACCACAGGCATGCGCCACCACATCCGACTAATTTTTTTTTTTTTTTTGAACCAGAGTTTCACTCTTGTAGCCCAGGCTTGAGTGCAGTGGTGTGATCTCAGCTCACTGAAACATCTGCCTCCTAGGTTCAAGCAATTCTCCTGCCTCAGCTTCCCAAGGAGCTGGGATTACAGGTACCCACCACCATGCCCAACTAATTTTTTGTATCTTTAGTAGAGACGGGGGTTTCACCATGTTGGCCAGGCTGGTCTTGAACACCTAACCTCAGGTGATCCACTGGCCTCGGCCTCCCAAAGTCCTGGGATTACAGTCGTGAGCCTCCACGTCCAGCCCATCCGACTAATTTTTAATTTTTTTGTAGAGATAGGGTCTCCCTATTTTGCCCAGACTGGTCTCAAACTCCTGGGTTCCCTCCTCCCACCTCAGCCTTCCAAAGTTGGGATTACAGGGGCGAGCCACTGTGCCCATTCATAAAGTTCTTTAAGGATGAATGATAGTGCATGTGAAGGGCCTACACAATTCCTGGCAAATACTAAGCACCCAATAGATGCCAGTTGTTATTTTTAATATTAGCGTAAGGCCAGCATACCAGTTATTTAATAACTAGTATCTTGACAATCAGGAAGACTTACAGCATCTTCCCAAGGAGCCTCATTTATCCCCAGAGAGTAGTATCTAGGGAGGAAGACCCATCTGCAGCCTTTGTTACCCCACCAGATATAAGAGTAAGGGAAAGAGGAGAAAGTTCCTTCTCCCCAGTGTTCTGCAAACTACCATTGTACATGCAGAAAACTGCACCCATATTGAGCATGGCCGTCTGGGGGAATGCACAAAGACTGGGGACTTTGGAAAAGTCTGAGCCTGATTGAATTCTAGTCTGTTCTCAGGAAAATGATTTGTGTCCTCAATGCACACATAAGCGTATGGCTTCAGCACGTGCACTCTCACACACACACCCACTTACAGGTTAGAACATCATCGCACTGGGTGTATTTTTCCATGTCTTCCTTCTCATCTCTTGCATTCTTTTCAGCCCATTTGGGCATAATTATTATTGCTCTGCTGGCTTGGTTCTGCAGCTCTCTAGAGTGGAGCAGATGTCGACAGCTCTGAAAGATCCCATGCTATTACACAGCAGAACAAATGAGAATGTCAAAAAAGGCTCTTCAGTCTAACAAGAAAACAGAGGAAAGAGACAAAAAGAATAAAGCCTTTGGAGACCAGCAGACTCGCTCTGATTAGATCTTATGCTAACATGATGCCCACTCTGCGTACTAACAGTGATTTAATATGTTTAAATGATACAGGGGAAATATGTCTTGGGGAAAAGAAAACACAGAGAGAAGAGAATTTCTTCCCTGGCAGGCATGATTAAGATGGTGTGGGCTTCCTTGAAAATGAGACTGCAGCATGAGACTGTTGAGTGCAGGCCCAAGCATATTTACTTACAATGCCTGACATTGTCTCATTATACTGGGCAGTGCCGGCTTTCTCAACCACTGGGTGAGTGATAGGAGCTGTTCAGATGGATTAGCTGGCTAGGTGCATAACAGAATGTCAGCCTCACTGCTGGGTCATTGTTTCTTCCCTTAACGTGGGAAGCTGTAATTTATAAACATCTTATATATGGGGCCACAAGTCCACAAATCCTAATTATCCAAAACAAAGATTAAAATACTCTAGAATTTTGAAAGCGAGAAGACGGAGGTCTCTCAGCAATCAAAGTGGATGAACCGAAGTCCATGTATTATGGATCACGTAAAGTAACTCCTGATTGAATATGTTCTCAGCTCCTTGCTTTTAACCAATTTACTCTACTATCTTCTCCTTATAATTCCAACTATTAATGTTATAGGTCTCTCTTTCACTAGACCACTGCAGAATAGAAAAACTAATTTAGAAAGGCCAGCCTTGGGATAAGGAGGATGGAGTGAAAGACTGTTACATATATATAAAATCCTGACAGTATCAAAATATGATATCTGTTGACAGTGAGAGGACACAGATACTACAATGAAGTAGAAAACATTATATGTGTTTGTTTCTTTTTCTTCTTTGTTCCTTTAATCCTTCCACAGTGGGTCTGAGGCAGCTTTCTAGGGGCTTTTGTTATATGGGTAAAGGCTAGCACATAACTCAAAAATCCCTAAGGAATAAAAATTAAAAACCAAATAAACAATTCTATGAAGAGAGCAGGTTATTAAAGCTCATTGTTTAAATGCAATAAATGGAAAACCTCCTGGGAATTTCCCTTATACCTAAAAATGCCCAGACTCTGCACTCCAGATGTTAGGATCTGTCTAGAAGCTCAACAACCCTTAGTAGGATGAGAACTCAACAGCTACCTGGTCCAGTGTTTGTTGCTGACACGTGATCAATCTGCCTGTGCTTAAGGCCATCTCTTGACAGGGCCTCATTCCCTTGTAAGACACCAGTCCATTGTCAGAGCACTCTCATTATTAGAAAGTTCAGTCTTGTTGGAACCCAAATGTACCTCTTTGTCTCTTCACCTCATTGGCAATGGCTCTGCCCTCCAGGACGGAGCATCTGTGTGCAGTCAGAACACCTGTGTCCATATCCTGGCTCTAGTAATGTGACTTTGGACAGGTAACTTAATCTCTCTGAGCTCCAGTTTCCTACTCAAAGGCCAGAAGTGAGAATAACTGAGAGAATCCATATAAATATATTTGCCATACAGAACTCACTCTGTAAATATGAGCCGTTATTTTAGACTATGAAAGGATTGCTGCCTTCCTTATAGTATACTCCACATTTCTATTATAGCCTGAGCTTACAGTGCACTAGTGATTCATTCTGGGCTTATAATCAGCTGAAACATCTCTATTATTTTCACACAGGCTCCTATCAAACCACATCTTTCCCATCTGCTGCTTATTCCATCTTATTTGCCTGTTTATTTTAACCAAATGTTAAGACTTTACATTTATCCCCATTAAACATAATCTTGTTAGATCTGGTCCATTGTTTCAGCCTGTCAAATCTTTTTTGCATTGCAATTCTACTGTCCAATGTATTAGCTATCCCTTCCAGCTTTGTGTCACCCACAAATTTTATCACTGGGCCGTCAATGTCTTCATCCAAGACATTAATAAAAATGCCTAACAAGGCAAGACAGAAGCCAGAAAACTGTGGTGTGCAAGATCCTTTCTGTAGATCCACATCAACTCATTCATTAGTACTCTGAGTCCAATCAGTTACTCATCTACCTGACTTGGTTGCCATCAGCCCTTGTCCATGGGTGTATCCCATTTTCAAAGATAGAGACTTTATCTGTCAAATGCATGCTGCAATCCAAATGCACTTCATCCACACAATACCTGGAAAACCAGTCTAGCAAGTCTCGCAGAAAGAAACATGGCAGGTCTGTGACAATTCACTGACTCCTTGCCTCTCACCTGGGAACAGCATCCAGCTCACCAGAAAAAGATCATCCAAACTGCCTGACCTTTATTTGAAAGGTCAAAAATTTCCACCTTTTCCCATGACTGGGCTTCCAGCACCTTTCCTCAAAGTCTCAGTGCTTCAAGGCAGACAGCAAGTCTCCTGCAATATAACTTGTCTGGCCAGGCCGCTGGGCACCAAGCATTCATTTAGAACCTTCTCTCTTGGGCTTCCATTATCTGTCACCAATATCTGTGGGAACCTTTTCCAACATGAAGTTGCTTTCCTTGATAGGAATTATGGAAGGGACATAAATACTGAAAGAATCTGTTTTCTGCCATTTGTTAATATTGTGCCAGTTACAATATTGATCTCAAGCAATGGACATATTTTTCATCCTGTGCCAAAGATAACTTAAAGTCCCTTTATGTTTTGCCTTAAAAGTACAGGTGCCTTTTAGAAGTCCTGGGAGCAGTATCAACAAAGGGTTAGATGGATCAATAGAAGCCAGCCTGCAATGGCACCTGGCTAAACAAGGGGAATCAGTCCCAGTCACTAGGTTCCTTTCCTAACTGTCCCCCACCCCCATGTCCCACCTTTGGGTCCTGGTCTATAACATCCAACCACCACTGGAGAGAAACAGTGTTTAAGATCTTGGAATTCTATGTTTACCTAATGCCGCTACATCCTATATATGTGACCTTGGGCTAATCTCTAAGAGAGGGACAATAGTAATTATCTCATGAGTGGTTGTGAGTATCACATGATATAATGACTCCACACATGCCATGCACAGTGCCTGGCACATGCTCAGGGCAGAATACTGGTGGTCTGTTATCACCTTCTGGTTTCTTCCTTGGTCGTGTCCCCATTTGGTTCTGCTCTTCTCATCAGTCCCTTGTCCATCCCGTCTCAGTCCACGTTAGCTCTGTCTCAAACTTTAATTTTCAGTTTGCCCTTTGAAAACTGGCTGCTCCCCGATCCACCCCAACACATAAACATACTGGTATTTGACAGTATATTGTGTACATTGAAAAATCTCTTGCTGACTCTACTTCTGGAAAAACAGTCAAAATATGAGTGTAAAACCTATCTCTTACCTGTCAGGGCCCAGGCCCCCATCTAAGACAAGTCTCAGTGAATAAGGAACACTCCTCAATTTTTTCACAATTCCAACCCTGACTTCTTTACTTTTTAACTGCATAATCTTGGGCAAGTCAACTAACCTCTCTAAGTCTCAGTTTCCTCCTCCATAAGGTAAGCGTAACACTGTAGGGTTGCTGGGAGCATAAGCTGCTTAGCACCATGCCTACAAAACCTTAATTACTCAATAAATGTTAGGTATTATTATCAGCACCATTATCATCATCCTTCCCCACTTCACCTTTCCTGATAGCATTCATTTTCTTAATAGATTCTTTTATATTTGCTCTTGGTTTTGCACCCATCTTTCCTTCTTTTGTTTAAGTTAATTCAATTTATGAACTCAATAGTGGAGTTCCTAAAAATCATATGGATCATTCTATATTATTCCTTCCCTTCCTTAAGAAAAGGCTTATAAATTATAAACAGTAAAGCACAATGAAAATGATAGTTACTGTATCACTACAAATTGAGATACATTTCAATCATATTTTTCAGATTCCGTGTTTAGATTTCACACCCTTCTTCTGCCTTTCTACAGTTCCTTTAAAAATGGTAGGGAAACGTGTGTTTACACATTGCCTTCATCTGACACCATGAAATACTTGAGGGCAAGTCCATGTTTTAGTCATAAGCCTCCTTTTGTACAATTTTCAGCATAAATAAATAAATTCTTACATTTATAGAATTTCTGTTATGTGGCAAGCACTGTCATAGAGAAACTAGTATGATATCATTCCTGCCTTGAAGAGGCTAAGTTAGTTGGAGTAAAGGGAGTAGAAGAGCTGTTTCTGGTTAGCAAGCAAAAGATTCTAGTAGATCTTCGTTCCCATGGTAACACCAAGAAAACTTTGGGTAACATAAAAACCATACAGATTATATTTTCTGGCCACATTAGAATTGAATTATAAAACAATAACAAAAAGATACCCAGCAAATATTTAAACATTTGGAAATTAAGCAATATACTTCTAAAGAAAAACTCTAGGAGAATTAGATATCTTTTACTGAATGGTAAGTATAGCATATCAAAATTTGTGAGATGCAGCTTATGTGACGCTAAGAATACAATTTAGAGTTTAAGTGCTTGTATTAGAAAATAAGAAAGTGCTGAAATCAATGAGCTAAGCTTCCACATTAAGAAGCTAGAAAAAGGCTGGGCGCGGTGGCTCATGCCTATGATCCCAGCACTTTGGGAGGCCAAGGTGGGCGGATCACCTGAGCTCTGAGGTCAGGAGTTCAAGACCAGCCTGACCAACATGGAGAAACCCCGTCTCTACTAAAAATACAAAATTAGCCAGGCATGGTGGTGCATGCCTGTCATCCCAGCTACTCGGGAGGCTGAAGCAGGAGAATAGCTTGAACCTGGGAGGTGGAGGTTGCAGTGAGCCGAGATCACACCACTGCACTCCAGCCTGGGTGACAGAATGAGACTCCGTCTCAAAAAAAAGAAGCTAGAAAAAGAACAGTATAGTAAGTCCAAAATAGAAGGAAGGAAATAAAGACAAGAGTGGAAATTAATTCAATAGAAAACAGACAACAATAGAGAAAATCAATGCAGCCAAAAACCGATTTTTGAAAAGATCAATAAAATTGATAAGCTCCTAGTTAAACTGAAGAAGGAAGAAACAAAAAAAGAGAGAAAATGTGAATTACCAATATAAAGAGAAAAGAAAGGCTATTCCCACAAATCCTACAGACATTAAAAGGATGATGAGAGGGTATTGTAAACAAATTTATGCCAACATGTTTGACCATGTAAATGGATAAATCCTTTAAAAAACAGGACTTTTCATAACTGGACAAAAGAAGAAATAAGTAACCTGAATATGTGTTAAAGAAGTTAAATTCACAATTACATTTTTTTTCACAAAGAACATATCTGGCCCAGATAGCTTTAATGGTGAAGTCTATCAAAGAAAGGGATAATACCAATCTTAAACAATCTCTTATAGAAACAGGAGGAAGGACCACCTCTCAACCCTTTTTGGAAGCTGACATATTCATAATACCGAAACCTAACAAATACACTACAAGAAATGAAAATTACAGACCAATATTTCTCATGAACAGAGATGCAAAAATTTTTAACAAAATATTAGCAAATTAGATCCATCTATATATTAAAAAATATAACACATCACAGCTAAGTGGGTTTTATCACAAAAAATGCAAGATCAATTAAAATATGAGAAAAGCAGTCAGTGTAATTCATCCCATTAACAGTATAAAAAAGAAAAATACAAACATCTCAGTAGATCCAGGAAAAGATTTTGAAAATTTCAACACTATTCCATGATAAAACCTCTAGACAAACAAGTAATAGAACAGAATTTCCTCAATTTGATAAAATGCATCTATAAAAGCTTATACATAACATCATATTTAATGATAAGATATGGAACACTTTCTCTCTAAGGTCAAAAATAAGGTAGGGATCCACTCTCATGCTGCTATTCAACATTGTACTTGAGGTCTTGCCATTAGGTATGAAAAGATAGAAGTCATAAAGACTGAGAAAGAAGTAAAATTATCTTTCTCTACAATGACATGATTTTGCAGGTAGAAACTTGAAGGGAATCTACTCCCTAATCCTACTAAATCTAATAAGTAAACTCAGCAAGGTTTAAGATACAAAGTTAATATAGAAAATTTTTATTTTATTTTTATATACTATCAACATACAATTGGAAAAAATTAAAAATCATTATTTATAACAGTATTAGTATAACAAATACCTTCAAAATTTTTAAAAAAAAGTTATACAAGACTTCTACACTTGAAACCATAAAACAGTGTTGAGGGTGATTAAGACCTAATAAAGAGATGCCAATCAGTATTGTACAGATGCTGATTCTCAGAAAATCGATCCATAGATTAAATGCAATTGCAATCAAATTCCCAGCAGGCTTTTTTTTTTTGGTAGAAATTGATTTTTTTAAAAAATAAAATAGTTGGAGGATTTACATGACCCAATTTTAAGTCTCACTGTAAGTTTCATCTTTTTTTTTTTTTTTGCACAGAGTCTCGCTCCGTTGCCCAGGCTGGAGTGCAATGGCACGATCTTGGCTCACTGCAACCTCTGCCACCTGGGTTCAAGCGATTCTCCTGCCTCAGCCTCCTGAGTAGCTGGGATTGCAAGTGCATGCCACCATGCTCGGCTAATTTTTGTGTGTTTTTAGTAGAAACAGGGTTTCACCATGTTGACCAGGCTGATCTCGAACTCCTGACCTCAAGTGATCCACCCGCCTCAGACTCCCAAAGTGCTGGGATTAGAGGCAGGAGCTACCGCCCCCGGCCAGTTTTATCATATTTTTAAACACCATTTTGGTCTTTTACATTTCCATATACATGTTAGTATTAATTTATCAGTTTCTAAGAGTGTCTTATTGGTGTTAAAATAGACAAATAGATCAATAGGACAGAAAAAAAATTACAATCAAATGTTTTCTGACAAAGGTGCCAAGACAAATTGATGAGAAAAGGACAATCTATTCAACAAATGGTGCTGGAATCTGCTCAGCAACAAAAAGGAATAGACATGAATGAATGTCTGAAATATTATAGAGTAAAAGAAGGAGTTAAGAGACAAAGGAATATATACTTTAAAATTCAATTACTATGAAGTTCAAGAACAACCAAAACTTGTCTGTGGGTTCTGTGGGTACAGAAATTGGAATAGTGGCTACCTCAGGACTGGGCAGGGGGTGATGACTACAAAAAGAACAAGCAATTTTCTAGAATAATGGCAACATTTTATGTCATGTTTGAGGTGTGTGTTAAATGAGTTTTCACATTTATCAAATGGAGGTATAATAACATTTAGTAAACTGCATAGAGTTAAGTGTATTTTTTTTCAAATGAGAAAATTAGCTACTATCCATTAATAATTTTTTTAAAGCAAGGAGCAGGATAGAGGAAAAGAAAAAGACACATAACACAAAATTAGAATACGACGTTGTAATGTGCTGGAGACATGCAGAGAGTGCTGTGGGAGAATATACAAGTGGCACAAACAGCTGGGTGGCCAACAAGACCAATCTATCTGACAGTTGTACCTCCTGTCCCTTCTGGCATCCCTTTGTCAACTCGATCTGTGAATATCTCATTTTCTGTTGGTTGATTGAGGCCTTGACACCAAGAAACAATTCTGGGACTGCTCTGACTTTTGGCTACTTAAATTTAGGACAGTTCATTTTGGTAAAGGGAGACCCCTTTATTATGGAGAAGGGGAAAGGGGGCACAGTTTAGAACCTTCCCAGTGGCTGTTGAATACTTGTCTGTCCTGACAACTTTCCTGGTACTCACCCAACAATTCTTCAGTGTTCTGAATACGCCAAGCTTATGAATGAATTTCTCCAGCACCAAATCCTCTCATTGCCTTTTTAAAAAATGTTGTCCAATTTAACATCAAGACACTGTCCATGCAATCTGTTGAAAAATCTGGCTATTTGCAAACAAAGAAAAAATGTATAGCCTCCCACACTATATATCAAAATAAACCCAAGTGTATAAAAGAGAAAATTTTAAGTGAAACCAAAACTTGAAAATATTGAGATGAATATTAGTTAGAGCTTTGAGTAGGAAAGGATTTTTTGAACAGATAACCAACAGAGGAAGTCAGAAAACAGTAATCATTTCCTTAATGAAAATACAAAACTTAAGTACTTCAAAAAAGTCATTACAATACTTAAAAACCTTACAACAATCATGTGGAAAGCATTTATTACAAATAATTCAGAAAAAGGATTTATATCCCTAATAACTAAAGAAGTGAGGAAGAATGCTAAGATCACATTTTTTAAAAAGTAGCTAAAGGATAATATAAATGACTAACAGACCTGAGGAAAAAAGCTAACCTCACAAGTATTCAACCAAATAAAATAACCTCGAGATACCACTTAAAAACCTATCGAAATAACGAAGTGTTTGGAAAATGACAAGATTCAAAATCTGGTAAGAGCAGCATTTTTCCCCATTGTGGAGGGAGTGTGTAAATTGGTGTGGTCTTTCTGAAAAGCAATTAGGCAATCTTGTATCAAAAATCTTCAAAGTGTTCTTACTCTTTGATGAAGAATTCCACACGTGTGAATCCTAAAACAATTAAAAGTATGAACATATTTTTATGCACAAAGATGTTTAGCCAAAAGGAAAACGACCTAAATGACGAATGATGTGCAACTGCATGGATAAATTGTTGTATATCAAAATGATGAAATATTTTGCAGCTTTGAAAAGGTAATTTTGAAAAAACTTTAAAGACCTCAAAAATGCCCAAAATATATTAATTGAAAAGGATACAAAACTTTATTATTTCACTACGTAATGAAACAGAATACAGTTGATCCTTGAACAACGCTGGTTTGAACTGCACTCGTCCACTTACATTCAGATTTTTTTCTTTTTGCTTTTTTTTTTTGAGACGAAGTCTCACTCTGTCACCCAGGCTGGAGGGCAGTGGCACCATTCTGGCTCACTACAACCTGCGTATACCAGGTTCAAGCAATTCTCCTGCCTCAGCCTCCCAAGTAGCTGGAATTACAGGCGCCTGTCACCACGTCCAGCTAATTTTTGTATTTTTAGTAGAGACGGAGTTTCACCATGTTGGCCAGGCTGGTCTCGAACTCCTGGCCTCAAGTAATCCACCTGCCTCAGCCTCCCAAAGTGCTGGGATTACAGGCATCAGCCGGGTGCGGTGGCTTATGCCTGCAATCCCATCCTGGCTAACACGGTGAAACCCTGTCTCTACTAAAATACAAAAAATTAGCTGAGTGTGGTGGCACATGCCTATAGTTCCAGCTACTTGGGAGGCTGAGGGATGAGAATTGCTTGAACCTGGGAGGCAGAGGTTGCAGTGAGCCGAGATCACACCACTGTACTCCAGCCTGGGCAACAGAGCAAGACTCCATCTCAAAAAAAAAAAAAAAAAAAAAAAGAAAAAGAAAAAGAAAAAGGTATGTTATGAATGCAGAAAGTATATGTTGATGCTAGTCTATTGTGTAATTTACCACCATAAAATATACACAGGTCTATTATAGAAGTTAAAATGTATCAAAATGTATACACAAACACTTAGAGATAGTACATGGTATCATTCCCAGTTGAGAAAAATGTAAGCAAACATGAAGATGCAGTATTAAATCATAACTGTATAAAATTAACTTAGTAATACTGTACTACCATAATAATTTAATAGCCACTTTCTGTTGCTATTGCCGTGAGCTCAAGGGTTGTGAGTATCCACTAAAAATGAAGTGTGACCCTAAAAATCTCCACGTGAGCAGTTGGTCTTTCTGGTAAATTGCATATCGCAGTAAAAAGTGATCTCTTGTGGTTTGGGTCTTACATATTTTTCATCATGTTTAGTCTATATTATAAACCTTGAATAACACCATGGGACCCATAGGAAGTGCCACTAGTGATGCTGGAAGTGCTCCCAAGAAGCAGAGAAAAGTCATAACATTAAAAGAAAAAGTTGAATTGCTTGATAATGTACCGTAGATTGAAGTATGCAGTTGCGATTGCCACCCTTTCAGATAGATGATTCAGCTTGTAAACAGATGACTTAAACTTAATGGTATCGATAAATAAGTACTGTAAATGTATTTTCCTTATGAATTTCCTAATAACATTTTCTTTTCTCTAGCTTGCTTTATTATAACAATACAGTAGATAATATGCATAACATACAAAATGTGTATTAATCACTGTTCTTGCGTTTGGTAAGGCTTCTGGTAAACAGTAGGCTATAGTAGTTATGTTTTGGAGAATCAAAAGTTATAGCAGGCTGGGTATGGTGGCTCATGCCTGTAATCCCAGCACTTTGGAAGGCCAAGGCAGGAGGATCACCTGAGGTCAGGAGTTCAAGACCAGTCTGGCCAACATGGTGAAACCCCATCTCTACTAAAAATACAAACATTAGCCAGGCATGTGGCATGCGCCTCTAGTCCCAGCTACTAGGGAGGCTGAGGCAGGAGGATGGCTTGAAGGCTTGAAGCCGGGAGGTGGAGGTTGTAAGGAGCAGAGATCGCACCACTGCACTCCAGCCTGGGTGACAGAGTGAGACTCTGCCTACAAAAAAAAAAAAAAAAAAAATAGCATATTTTTGACTGTTGTTAGGGGTTGGCACCCCTAACTCCCTCATTGTCCAAGAGTCAAATGTACATACATACATACATAGAAAAATACTGAAATAAAATATACATGTTTACTGAATCCTGTCTCAAGAGAGAGCTAGAAGTCCCGGATTAGGACACTATCCCATCTGGGAAGCTGATTCCACACGGCCGTGGGTTGACATAGAAGGGAAGGCTGTTTATCACTATGGGGTGCAGAAGGTCTGGTGATGGAGCAAGGGGGGGCATCTCACTCACAAATCCAGAAGGCACTTAGGACCACTCAGGGACAAGTGCACTGCCAGGTTTTCTCCCAGGGCCAGAGGATGCTAAAGGCATTCCTACGTGACACTCCTCTTCCAAAGTACAGTGGAAAGAACCCTGGTCTTAGAGAAGACCAGGTGGAATTCTGCCACTTTAGAGCTGTTGGATTCAAATAATGCTTGTAAAGAAGAAATCTGAATTTAAACTGAGCAAGAAAATGTTACAGCCAATGGTTGTCAGGATTCTGATGGTGGGGGCTATCTCATTCAGTTGCTTCTCTGCTTTAATAGGAAATGAACCCTCTTTTGAAGCAGCAAATCTGAGGTGTCAGGGAATGCCTTTCCCTGGGTGCCTTGGAATGTCAAAGCTTCAGGGTAGGAAACAAGAAGAGGTGAAGGCAGCTCCGGGCTGAAAATCTGTCTCCATAGACCTAGTTGTAGCTCTTATTTCTCAACTGCACTGTGACCTTGGACAAGTCACTTTCTCTGCATCTCATCTTCATTTATAAAATGGGCATAGTAGCACCTACTCCATTTGCTTCCCAAGGTTTAGGGAAGATTAAATTAGCTAGTTATGCACTGTGAAATTGTTTTGCAATGCAAGTCTCAGGGATGATTATGTGTCTACTATTCTGGCTTGTTATTACGGTAGGATTTAAATCTTGTGTGACTTTGTGTTTCCTCTGCTATGTAGTTTTGGAGTGGAGGGCATATCACACTCACAAACAAAAGCATTCCCTTGCTAATCACGAGGCTGGCTGAATTGTGTGTGCCACATTTAACATATGATCAGTAAAACCACATAAAAATAAACAAAGCAGAACAACTCTCTCTGAGAAGAAATCAGATTCTGGGAGTCACAGCCCTCTCCTTAACCCCTCTTAAATCATGGGATCTTGATTATAACAGGGACAGACTGAAATATGTGGAGGCTGTAGCCAGTGAAGAATGCAAGGACTGATCTATTAAACAGACATTGGAGACCGTACTCTTAGAGAACCAGTTTTTCACACCTTTTATAGATGGTCAATGTAAACCACATTTAAGATATCATCTGTATATGGAAGCTCTAATTGGGAGAATAGAAAATGCTGAGAAATGATGGAGTGGTCGATGTTTGTTTTGTTATTATTGTTTCTCCTGAAACCTAAGGACACTGTCATAACCTGTATAAATTAAGAGTGAACGCTTTAAAGTCAGAATAGTTTAAGATTGAATCCTAGTTACTAAACAGTCTAATTGTATGATGTTAGATAAGCGCTTCATTTCTCTGTACCTTGGTTTTCTAATCTGCTAGCTATTTTCAAACTCACAGGCCTGTGTTAAGAATAAAGGAGGAAAATGCACATAAGCACTTAGCATCATGGCCAGCAGAGAATATGTACTAAGTAAATGATAGCTGAAATACTGAATAGATAGTTGCTATCATGATCATTATTTTCACCAGAATTGTTTTAATACAAAGTCAACTGCATTCTTATACAGTAGCAAGTAATACCTAGAAAATGTAATCTAAAAGAGGGTTTAAAAAGTTATGTGGAAGAATAAAGGGATCAAAATTAGCCAAGAAATTTAAAGGAGTAAGAATGAGGAAGATGGACTTATACTACCAGATATCAAGACTCATAAGCAGCTATATTAAGATAGGGTGTTACTAGTGTAGACACAAACTGGTCAATGGATTAGAATAGAGAACCCAGAAAGAGACCCTTGAATATATAGAACTTTGATATTTGAGATAGCTGGTATGGAAGGTCAGTAGGGAAAAAAGACAATTTAATAAATTAACCTGGGGGACGGGGGAAAAGAATAGCTACGGGAAAAAAGTGAAATTAGTTCTTAAGTTCACACCACACACAAAAATAATTACAGATTACTCAGGGATAACTAACAAAAGCTAAGCTTCTATCTTTTTTTAAGGAGCGAAGATAAGTAAATATCCTTCTAATCTTGAGATAAGAAAAAATTTAGCAACAAAAATGCTAACCATAAAATTAACAATTGATAAATGTTATTATATTAAAAACTTCTGTTCATCAACAGAACCTTATGAATGTGAAAGACAACTTACAAATTGGATTAGAAAAAGATATTTTCAATACATGTAACTGATGATGAATTTATATCAGGATCATATTAAAAACTCCTTCAAAGTTGTCACAAACAACAGACATTCCAGAAGAAAAATAGCAAAAGCCATACATAGGCATTTTACAGAAGAGGAAATAAACATAAAAAGATGTTCAGTCAGAGGGAATTACCTGTCAAGTCCACAGTGAGATATATTTTATATCCATTTAATTAGCAAAAATAAAAAAGCCCAACTATATTGAGTATTGGAAAGGATATGGAACCACAAAATCTTCTCTACTTTGCTGGTAGAAATGTAAATGTGTACAAACTCTTTAAAAAGCAGTAGTTTCATGGCTGGGTGCAGTGGCTCACACCTGTAATCCCAGCACTTTGGGAGGCCGAGGTGGGCAGATCACAAAGTCAGGAGTTCGAGACCAGCCTGGCCACCATGGTGAAACCCCGTCTCTACTAAAAAATACAAAAATTAGCCTGGTGTGGTGGTGCACACCTGTAATCCCAGCTACTTGGGAGGCTGAAGCAGGAGAATTGCTTGAACCCAGGAGGTAGGGATTACAGTGAGCTGAGTTCATGCCATTGCACTCCAGCTTGGGCCACAGAACAACAACAAAAAAAGCAGTAGTTTCCAGATATATATATCTGGCTATTTGTCTTACATATATATTTAGATATATGTAAGATATATAAATATATAGATATATCTTAGATATATATCTGGATATATAAGCATATCATATATATAAGATATTTACCTGGAAATATATTTATATTTTAAATGTATGTAATATTATGTATCATATATTTATCTAATATATAAAAGATATGTATCTGTAAATATATACATATATTTAATATATAATATATGCATAAATTTCCAGATATATATCTAAGACAACTTGTTGAACATGTACAAGGATGTTAATAGCAGCACTCTTCAAAATCGTAAAATCTGGAAACAAGCTAAATATTCAATTACAGTCATGCATTTCTTCACAACAGGGATATTTTCTGAAAAATGCAGAGTTAGGCAATTTGGTCATTTTGTGAACATCATAGAGTGTACTTACACAAAGCGAAATGCTATAGCCTGCTACACATCTAGCTACATGGTATAGCCTATTGCTCCTAGGTTACAAACTATATGCATGTTACTGTGTTGAATCCTGTAGACAACTCTAACACAATGGTAAGTATTAATATTTGTGTATCTAAACATAAAAAGCTACAGTGAAAATATGGTCTAAAAGATAAAAAATGGTACCCCTATATAGGACACTTTCCATGAATGGAGCTTGCAGGAAGGAATAGAAGTTGCCCTGGGTGAGTGAGTGAGTGAGTGGTGAGTGAATGTGAAGGCCTAGGACATTACTGTACACTACTCTAGACTTTATAAACACTGTACTCTTAGGCTACACTAAATTGATAAAAAGTACGTTTCTTTCTTCAACAATAAATTAACCTTAGCTTACAGTAATTTTTTTTTTACTTTACAAACTTTTAAGTTTTTAAAAAACTTTTGGACTATTGTAATAACACTTAGCTTGAAACACAAACACATTATACAGCTGTACAAAAAAATTTTCTTTCTTTATATCATTATACTATAATTTTTTCTATTTTTTATATTTATATTTTTATTTTTTACTTCTTAAATGTTTTGTTTTTTTAAAAAATTGAAAGTTTTTTTTTTTTAAACTAAAACAGAAACACACACATTAGGGTAGGACCATGCAGAGTCAGGATCATCAATATCACAGTCTTCCACCCGCACATCTCGTCCCACTGGCAGGTCTTCAGGGGCAATAATATGCATGGAGCTGTCATCTCTTATGGTAACAATCCCTTCTTTTGGAATACCTCCTGAAGGACTTGCCTGAGGCTGTTTTACAGCTAACATTTGTTTTAATAAGTAGAAAGAGTATATTATAAAATACAGACTAAAAATATAGTAAATACATAAACCAGTAACAGTCATTTATTATCAAGTAATACATACCATACATAATTGTATGTGTTACACTTTTATATTTTTATTTTTATTAAAATTTTTTTTTGAGACAGGGTCTCACTCTGTCACCCAGGCTGGAGTGCAGTGGCATGATCTCAGCTCGCTGTAGCCTCTACCTCCCAGGCTCAAGCGATTCTCCCACATCAGCCTCCTGAGCAACTGGGACTACAGGCACACATGACCATGCCCAGCTAATTTTTGCATTTTTGATAGAGATGAGGTTTCACTATGTTGCCCAGGCCGATTTCAAACTCCTGAGCTCAAGCTATCCGCCTGCCTCGACCACCCAAAGTGCTGGGATTCCAGGAATGAGCCAGGGTGCCCAGCCTGTGCAACACTTTTACATGACTGGCAGCGCAGTAGGTTTGTTTACACCAGCATCACCAGAAACACGAGTAATGCGTTGTGCTATAGCGTTACCATGGCTACCACACATCACTATGCAATAGGAATTTTTGAGCTCCATTATAACCTTATGAGACCACTGTTGTATATGAGGTTTTTTGTTGACCAAAATGTCGTTATGCAGTACATGACTATGTATAAATATACCACAATGTATTTATCCACTTTCTTAGTATATTCACATAATTAAATATTATGCAGCAGTCAAAACAATGAATTTCAATTATATGCAACATGTGAATGTTGCTTTTGTCCAGGTTTCTGAGAAGAAGATGACAAGGTGAGATTAAACATAGAAAATTTTTTTAAGGGCAATGACTATGAGAGAAAATGGAGACGGAGCCCTGGAAGGGTGGGGGAATCATCAGACTACCATGCAAGTCTGACCTAGATTTAGGCAAGAGGAAAAGAAGGTGGAATGGAAGTGAACTACATTGCTGTTAGGTCTAAGGAAGACTTGGCAAGGCCACCTAGGTGTCCTTAAGCCATCAGGTGTCAGGGAGCCCCATCTCTCCCAGGAATGGGGCTGCCCTATGCCTCTGCCACACTCAGTCATTGGCTGGGAGCAGGGCCCCAGGAGCAGTGGGGAATGTGGCCTTAGGACAACTCAGCAATGGGGGACGCAGCATAGAAGTGGGGCTCTTGTCAATTACACTCCCAGTAGTTAGAGATCTCTGAGGAATTCCAGCGGCCACAACAGATGTCTTAGCAACAGAACATTGAGTGGGAAAAAATAAGAAGAATGCATTCGGGATAACATTTTTTGTATAAGATTAAAAATAGCTAGGCACAAAAAACCTAAAACATCTTTCAGGAATATAGATGGTGAAACTACATGTTGAAAAGTGAATAAATGATATACACTTGAGTCAGGAGAGCGGGTGGGCTTCACTAAAGGACAGGATGCAGAAGGGGCACATAAGCACATGTAAGCTACTGCCAATATTTTATATTATTTAAGAAAGTTAAGTGATGCAGAAGGGGCACATAAGCACATGTGAGCTACTGCCAATATTTTATATTATTTAAGAAAGTTAAGTCAATAAATTAAAAATGACAGTATTTTATGAGAAAAAAGGATTATGATTAATGTAATTCTGTGACTATAAGGCCCAAAATGCATTTATTTTCTCTCCTATGCTCCTATACGTTTATCTCTAATTGTTAGTGATTGAGCTATTGATGGACAAGAAATTGCCTCTGTGTCACTGATTAAATAATAAGTTGGTTAGGGTTTGTCTCAATCTGGTAACCTGGAATTTGGATGTCCTGTTATAGAATCTTAAATGGAGTATTCAAACTCCAAGTGCTCAAATAGGAGAAAGAGAGGACAGTTGATGTACATGAACCTTCTCCAAGGAGTATTCGGTTATCTCCTTCTCAGACAAGCTAGGAGCCTAGAGTTCAGAGCTCTAGGAATGAAGATAGGTCATTTGCAGCATCAAGTCCAAGGGTGCAGGAAGACAGCAAAAGATAGCAGGCCAGAGGGTTATCAAGAGGAACAGGAGCATCATGGTCATGACTATAGGCTCTGAAGCCAAACTCTCTAGGTTTGAATCCTAGCTCTACTACATTTTAGATTTTTCATCTAATCTCTTTATGCCTCGGTTTGTTTTTTTGTTTGTTTGTTTGTTTTGTTTTTTGTTTTTTTGAGACAGGGTCTCACTCTGTCACTCAGGCTGAAGTGCAGTGGCACAATCATGGCTCACTGCAGCCTCAGCCTCCCGGGCCCAAGCTATCCTCCCACCTCAAGCTCCTGAATAGCTGGGACCATAGGCATGCACCATTATGCCAAGCTAATTTTTAATTTTTTGTACAGATGAGGCCTCACTGTGTTGCCCAGGCTGGTCTCAAACTCCTAAGCTCAAATTATCCTCCCACCTTGGCCTCCCAATGTGCTGAAGTTATAGGTGTGAGCCACTTTTCCCAGCCTGTGCCTTGGTTTTCACATGCATAGAATGGAGATACTAGTACCTTCTCTGCAGTGTGTTTGTAAAAAGTAAATGACTCCATATACCTAAAATGTTTAAATCAGACCCTGAGACATAATGTATCAATCAAGATGGGCTCGGATATGTTTCAAAAACAGGCAACCCCCAAATACTTGTGTCTCCTAAGGAAAAGTTTTATTCTCCATGCATACAAGGTCAAGTAGCACAAGGCTAATCATCATGAGCTCTTGCACTGAGATCCATAAATGCAGGGGGAAGAAACTGATGATACTCGCTAACAGCTTTGTCCACCCAACACTAAGAACTCTGCCATGTGTTTTTTTTTTTTTGCTGCTCAGCTGTAAAGCATCAGCACAGGGCTCTGTCCCATATCTCCTTACTGAAGGATTTAGGCAGATGGAACTTCTACTGTTTGGATAACTGTCTATTACAGTGGCAATGAAGGATACAAGACAAAATGTACACTGGTCTTAAAGGTTTCTTCTCAGATGTCACTTCCAGCATTTTGTTGGCTGAAGCAAGTCTCATGATTACACCTTACCTTAAGTGGGCAAGGAATTGCAAGTTTTCACCTTCCTGGAGATAGGAGAAGCAGAATATCTGTAAACAATCCAATCAGCTTCTGGGGAATGTCCCTAAAGTGACTCTGCCTGGGCCACTTCCAAGATTACTAGTTGAGGCCCCCACATGGGTTTCAGGGCATCGCTCAACTATGTACTTTCTGATGTCAGAGTCCCAAAAGGAAGAACCACCTCAGTCACCATTTCTGCTATGTGAATCAATTGCCTTGGGTTCTTTGCTGCTGCTAACAATAACACAGCCAAATGAAATAGCTCCAATGGTGTAACAGAAGTACACATGAGATAAAAGAGTAGACTCCTGTGGATCAACAGCAAATCTACAAGATCCATGGCATGAGCACGACACATGGCTGCAGTCCATTTTTCCATTGGCCTGTGGCTACTGTGAGCTGAGTTACCGGACTGCTTCAGGCCTACAAGGTTCTTTCTATTGACTGTGAATTAATCATTCAGAAGCCAACAGACACCGTTTGTTCACATTTAGCAAACATTGCTAATGGTGACAATGTATAATGGTGACTGACTAATAACATGTTCCCCGTTCTCATGGAGCTTTCAAACCAGTGCAGAGGTGGGGAGAGGACTAATATTAAACAAACACATAAATAAGCCTATAATTAAAATCAAGATGTGTGCTTTGAAGGGAGGGGATGTACCAGAGATTCAGGGGAGGCTTTCTGGAATTAATATTGGAGCTGATACCTAGAGAATAACTAGGCATCGATCAAATCAAGTTTGCGGAAAGGAGGAGAGTATTTTCAGGCAAAAAGAAATATGGGGGTAAAGAAAGGATCTGGAGCGAGAGGGTGTATAATGAATACAAAATTTTTTAAAAAATAAAATTTTGACTGTAGTGTAGAGATAGAGCAGGGAGAGTGGTCAAGACAAAGCTATGCTTTAGGTCATGTTAAGAATATTCGTTTTATGGCTGGGTGCAGTGGCTAACACCTGTAATCCCAGGACTTTGGGAGGCCGAGGCAGGTGGTCATCTGAGGTCAGGAGTTCGAGACCAGCCTGACCAACATGGAGAAACCCCATCTCTACTAAAAATACAAAATTAGCCGGGCGTGGTGCTGCATACCTGTAATTCCAGCTACTCAGAAGGCTGAGGCAGGAGAATTGCTTGAACCCAGGAGGCGAAGGTTGCGGTGAGCCAAGATAGTGCCATTGCACTCCAGCCTGGGCAACAAGAGTAAAACTCTGTCTCAAAAAAAAAAAAAGGAATATTAGTTTTATTTCAAGAGTAATAAGAAGCCATTGATGAAAGAAGCCCTTCCTAATATTGTGTGAATCATTGGATGTGGTCCAAGAAGGGAGAGCGTGTACATGAAAGGACAGCAATGACCTTCAGTAACTCGACTCTGGAGGACACAGTTCCTGATGTACTGTGCTAATGGGAAGGAGAAACAGTTGAGACCACTGTTTCCTAAAGAGAGTTCCTCTAAACACAAGTCCCTCGAGATGTCCCTTTCAAAAAGCATTGTGTTCAAAAAAATTTATGCAGCAGTTGTACAATGTCTAGAACCCTTGGGGAGCCACAGTACATGAGCTATATTCAAGGTTAAGTTCTACAGGAAAGAGGAAAATTGCTTAGCTTAATATTTCTAAAACTTTCTGTGATTGTGGAGGCATTTTATTTTCAAATAAACCCTATTTCCAACCTGTGGTGCTAATGTCCAGTGAAATACTTTCAGACTTGTGTAGACAAACTAGACTCATACATAGTCATACATAACAGTTTAAAAAATGAAAAGAAAACATTTTGTATACACCAGATTTTAAATATGGATAGTAACAGGTAACCAGCAGAAAAACCAAAATTGGCTCCAGAACACCAATGTGTCAAAATCCCACATTGGAGAACCACTGAATCGAAGGCCAATAAAAAGGACAGTGCTGAAAGATTCTGGCTAGGGAACAGCTTAGAAATTCAGGGAACCTATGGGGATATGCTCTGATGATTCCAGGCTGTTATCTGACAAGTGTGTCAGGAGAAATCACCCAAAGTGGTAAAGTTCCACACAGCGTAAACCTTCAAGAGAATGGACTTTGACAGTCAACCTCATGTGGCCTGTATCCCTGAATTGTGGGTGTGACTGCACAGTTTGCTTAGACTAAACCTCCTTTGCCATTACTAAGTTCATGAAGAAAATGAAAGTCAAGATTCTTAACAGAAGAAGAGCTAAAGCTTGTAGTTCAAAGAAGAGAGATTCAAGAATTGCATAATGGACCCATGTTGATGGGTACAGAGAGCTGGAGCAGGGGGCAAATCTCATAGATCTTGGGGCAAACAATATACAAGAGGAAAGGAGCATAGTGTGTCCCAGGCTGGAGAGAGGAGGTGATGGTAACATCAGGCTTACCAAGGGTTGGAGGTGTAGAATGGGAAGACTGCAGGAAAACCTAGGGACTATCTAGTCCTAGTCATTTGTGCTGTGGACAGAGCTCTGAGTTATTAAAGAATTTTTCCAAAGTCACACAGCCAGAGAGTTGCTGAGCCAGAACTATAACGCCATGCTCTTACCCTCATTCCAGGCTATCTGTGCCAAGTAGAAAGAGCAGTGGTAACTCTGGCAGTGCAATATTAGTCATTTAAATAAAATATAAAATTAATATCCCTGGAGCCTAAATTCTAAATAGATTTTTTATCTATAAGAGACAAGAAGAAAGGCTAAAATTTTTAGATATACACAGGTCTGGGAATTAAAAATGGGCAGCTTTCCAAAAAGTTAGATATTATAATAGATATTAAGCATTTTCCTTTTGCCCATTCATTCTTTTTTTTTTTTTTTTTTTTTTTTTTGAGACAGAGTCTCACTCTGTCACCCAGGCTGGAGTGTAGTGGTGTGATCTTGGCTCACTGCAACCTCTGCCTCCCAGGTTCAAGTGATTCTCCTGCCTCAGCCTCTCAAGTAGTTGGGATTACAGACATGCACCACCATGCCAGGCTCATTTTTTTGTATTTTCAGTAGAGACAGGGTTTCACCATGTTGGCCAGGCTGGTCTCGAACTCCTGACCTCAAGTCATCAGCTCGCCTCGGCCTCCCAAAGTGCTGGGATTACAGGCATCAGCCACCACGCCTAGCCTCATTCATAAATATTTATATGAACTTTTGGTTCTAGGCAAGAACAAGTAAGCACACTCAGCCATATCTCTCCTGGTAACTACAATTAAAAACTCTGGATCAACACACATAATCCAACTATCAAAAGGCTCTGAAAAGTGGATGAAAGCAGTCAGAGTGGGTAAGGATAACTGGACTCCAAGCATGATTTGGTGGTGATTTCTCTAAAGACATTTTTCTTGTGTCTTTGTGTCTTTTTTTTTTTTTGACCTCTCATAGATTTTGTTCTGGGTACTGAAGCAGCCTGAAATCTGGACACAGACAGAAATAAGCCCTTAGGAAGCCAGAGTCTCTGGAAAGGGAGGACCCCATCGGTCTAAATCCTTTTGTCTTTATCGGCCCTACTCCAGGCAAACACCAGCAAAGAATTGGTTCCCCCTGCTACTCTCACTGGTAGCTGAGGTGGTCCCTGAGGGGCAGAGTCCTGTTGAGTCTCTCTGCCCTACACCAGGCAAATGCCAGCAAGAGGCAGAGCTTCTTCCCTTCCTCACCAGTACAGCAGACCCTATAGGTAGGATAATGCCTCAGCTTTCTAGCCAGACATCAGGAAGGGGAAACCCTAAAGGCCAGAGACTGCAGGATAGAGTGGGGAATTATGAAGAAGGTGCTGGAGAAAAGGATCCTTTAAAGCTGTGTATAAGAAAGTGTTGAGCTTACTCCTGAACTGAGCATGTGTGAAGCTGAGCGGAATTAGCACAGTAAGGACTTTAAGCGCTGAACTATGGAGTAGACCATTGCCCAGGTTTCAGACGGGCAGCTGGGTGATGTATAGGCAGAGTGGACCAGAACATCACTGTAAATGCTTTAGAAAGTTGGCCAGGTTGTGAGTCTAAACCTGAGTTGCCCGACTGATTTTAAAAACAAGTCAATGCTTTTCAGAAGATTTAAATAGGACTCAGGGTTTTATCACATTACATTCAAAATGTCCTAGATACAACCCCAAATTATTTGATATGCAAAGGACTATGAAAACTTAAACAAGTGTCAAGAGAAAGGGCAATCAACAGAAGCCAGCATGGAGCTACTTAAACATTGAAATAGTCAGATAAAGACTTTAAAGGAGCTATTATAATTATGCATTAATAAGCAAAGTAAATATTTTTTAAATAAATGGAAAGAAGTTCTCAGCAAAGAAATAAAAGCTATATAAAAGAACAAAATGGAAATTTTAGAATTGAAAAATTCACTGAAGAGACTCAATAGCAAATTGGAGATATCATCAAATTATACCTCACACCATATACAAAACTTGACTCAAAATGGATCATAGAATGAAATGTAAAACTATAAAACTCATCAAAGGAAATATTTTAAAAATTTTGGGTTAAGCAAAGAGTCTTTAGATATAAGAAGACAATCCATAAAAGAAATATGGCAAAATTTGACTTCGTAGGAATAAAAAAGCCTTTATTACTCTACAAAATATACTGTTTTTTGTTTTGTTTTGTTTTGTTTTGTTTTTGAGACGGAGTCTCGCTCTCGCACAGACTGGAGTGCAGTGGCACTATCTCTGCTCACTGCAAGCTCTGCCTCCCGGGTTCACGCCATTCTCCTGCCTCAGCCTCCAGACCAGCTGGGACTACAGGCGCCCACCACCACTTTTTTGTATTTTAGTAGAGACAGGGTTTCACTGTGTTAGCAAGGATGGTCTCGATCTCCTGACCTCGTGATCCACCCGCCTTGGCCTCCCAAAGTGCTGGGATTACAGGAGTGAGCCACCGCGTCCGGCCTCAAAATTAATTTACTGTTAAAGCAATAAAAAGACAGGTTATAAGCAAGGAGAAAATATTTATAATCACATATCAAATGAAGGACTTGTATCCAGAATATATAAAGAACTCAAAATTCAGTGATTAGAAGCAACCTATTTTAAAATAGCCAAAAGATTTTGACAGACACTTCACCAAAGAAGATATATGGATAGCAAATATAATGCTTAAGATTAATAAAATTAATAAGATGAATGAAAAGATGCTTAAATATAATCAATTAGTGAAATGCAAATTAAATGACAATTTTAAGTGCTGGTGAGAATGTAAATCAACAAAAACTCTTCTATACTGCTGACAGGAAAGTGAAATGGTACAGCCATTCTGGAAAATTGCTTGGGAGTTTTTTATAAAGTTTGATGTACATTTACCAGATGACCCAGCAATCCCACTTTTAGGTATTTATCCTAGAGAAATAAAAACATGTTTACACAAAAATCTGTGCACAAGTGTTTATAGCAGCATTATTCATAATCACCAAAACACAGGAAACAACCAAATTAGCATTAATGTCTGAATGGATAAACAAACCGTGTTCCATTTATGCAAGGGAATACAACTTAGCAATAAAAATGATTAATTACAAATACAGACAATAACATAGGTGAATCTCAAATGCATTATGCTGAGTGAAATCTCAGTATCTAAATGTTACAGATTTATTCCATTTAGGAATCATTTTGGAAAAGGCAAAAGCAGACAGATCTGTGGTTTCCAGGAGTTAGGAATACAGAAAGGGTTTAACTAAAAAAAGGCAGCTGGAGGGAAATCTTTGGGATATTCAAATTGTTCTCTATCCTGACTGTGATGCTGGCTATAGGAATCTATGCATGTGTGAAAATTTATAGACGTGTACATAAAAAAGTGAATTTCACTCTTTGTAATTTTTATAACTAAAGAAATGATTAGGCCGGGCACACTGGCTCATGCCTGTAATCCCAGCACTTTGGGAGGCCGAGGCGGCTGGATCATCTGAGGTCAGAAGTTCGAGACCAGCCTGGCCAACATGGTGAAACCCCGACTCTACTAAAAATACAAAACTTAGCTGTAAGTGGTGGCGGGTGCCTGTAATCCCAGCTACTCGAGAGGCTGAGGCAGAAGAATCACTTGAACCTGGGAAGTGGAGGTTGCAGTGAGCTGAGATCATGCCACTGCACTTCAGCCTAGGAAACAGAGTGAGACTGTCTCAAGAGAAAAAAAAAATGTTTACAGTGTTCCTATTATGTACCATAAACTCTAAAAATAAAAAGATGATTTAATGCTTGAAAGGGGATTTAAACTCTGTAATGTAAAAATGTAACTTTTAAGATTTCCTTGAGTCTAATTTTCATTTCCAAATGGCCTCTCTTTCTAACAGATTTATTCTAAGACTTTCTATATCTGCTGGCAAGGGAAAAGAAGGATGTTACTTGTGATGCTAATGGGAGTAAGAAGTAGGTGAGGACTCTAGAAAAGGTGTTTGATTGGAACATTTAAAAATATCTCTTTCACCCAAGGTTGGTGCTGAGAACTAACTTGACATCACTGAGCAGATGCTCTGTGAGTAGATACAGCTGGGTCGACACACCATCCTGCCCCAGAGCAACAGGGGCAGAGTTTCCTAATCCTGCAGTTGCTGACCACCCTGCATATTAAGTAAAAATAATATTCTTTTTTTTTTTTTTTTGGAGACAGAGTCTCGCTCTGTCACCCAGGCTGGAGTGCAGTGGCACCATCTCAGCTCACTGCAGCCTCTGCCTCCCAGGTTCAAGTGATTCTCATGCCTCAGCCTCCATGGTAGCTGGTATTACAGGCACCTGCCACCACACCAGACTAATTTTTGTATTTTTAGTAGAGATGAGGTTTCACCATGTTGGCCAAGCTGGTCTCGAACTCCTGACCTCAGGTGATCAGCCCGCCTCAGCCTCCCAAAGTGCTCGGATTACAGGCATGAGCCACTGCACCTGGCCAAGATTCTTTATGTCTAGAATGACCAAAAGGGGACAGATTGGTGGTACTGACCAGCTGTAAGAGAATAGATGGATATAAAATAACTGAGTAATAACGAATTTATGGAACTTAATACCCTAGTATACATTCCTTTCTATCAAAGGTGCTCAGACTCCAGGGCAGAACTCCATGAAGAAAAGTTTCCTACGTGGAAACCCAGGTGGGGCCAGGTGGGCTGAAAACAGAATGTCTTGCTTTCACTTAGAGTCAGACCAACTCATTCACCAAGAAAAATTCGCTTGGAAAATACAGGTGTGCTGTCCAAACAACGCACAAACAGTCCCTTCCCTCCCAAAACGAGGGGAAGCAAAGTCCCAAATGACCAAAGAGATTAACACTGCTGTAATTATTTTCATTTCAAAAAGGGCTCACTTAAAATATTTACTTCGGCAGTTCCTTCAAGTGTGGACCACCTCTGGGGCATTTAGATTTCCTTCATAAATCATTAATCACTGAGTCAGGGCTTGCAGAGAGGGAGAGTTATGGAGTTCTTGCCAATTGAAGATCAATAGAAGTAAAGGTAAATCATCTTGGAAATGATGATGTGAGCCAATGGGGGAGATGTGATTGTGATTTACGCCCAGTGCTTCAGGAAATGCGTCTTTAGAAAGAAGGGAGCCGTCCCTAGAGTGTGGAGGTGGGAGACTGCTCTTCCCAAAGCCGACTGGGGGTGCCACAGAGAATTGGGAATGTGCCCATGTGTCCTCTCTCCACTGGAAAGGCCTGAGACTGGACATGGCAGGTACCAGGGAAACTCAATCCATCCTGCCTTCTGGGCTGCACTTGCTCATTACAAAAGGCTGCAATTTCATTTCAGATAGGCAGTGTAAAACCTGTTGTCATATTTTATGAGATGATGTTAACTCTGCTATGAAATTATACCCTGAGAATACCCCAGAGCCAGCTCAGTACATATAAATAGCCATTTATCAGATGCAACCCATAATCTTCCCGCTGCTGTGACCCATTCTGTAATTTTCCCTCAGCTGACAAGCTACAAATGAAGAGTGTACTTAGATTTCAGTTATGAGGTTTAAAATATGGATGTGGATATAAAAAGCTAAGTCCTTCAAGAAGAAACCAGGGAATTTTCCCATTAAATTCTGAGGACTTTCGTCCATCTCCTTTATAATCATGTAAGAATCCCATGATCCCTGCATTGACCTCCCACACAATCTTTTATCCACTGATTCCCTGTCGTGCCTCTGTCACGTGCTTTCCTAACTGGCCCATTGCCCCTTTATGTGTCATCCCTCTCCCATCACCAACACAGGCACTTCTTTTCTACATGCTTATAAAACATGTGTGTAAGCTGAGAACCACATTATGTTTGTGGACATGATGATGTGAGCTTTAACCACTGAAACTTTTTTTTTTTTTTTCACAAAAAACATGTCATGAACTATTACTATGTGCCAAACACTACATAGTACACATCTTACACATATACTTTCATTTTATATACATTTGGCCCTCTGTATCTGCGGGATGGATGTCCGAGGATTCAACCAACCTCAAAAAGAAAATATTCAGAAAAATATATAAAAAATACAATATCACGATAAAAAATAATACAAATTTTAAAATCTAGTATAACAACTATTTGCATAGCATTCACATTCTATTAGATATTATAAGTAATCTAGAGATGATTTAAAGTACACAGAAGGATTTATGTAGGTTACATGCAAATACTACCATGTTTGATATCAGGGACTTGAGCGTTCTCAGATTTTAGTATCCACAGGTTGTCCTGGAACCTATCCCCCCGCAAATACTGAGGGACAACTGTTTGAAGAAACTGTGGTTCACAACAAACTAAGATCATGAGCAGTTAACAGTTTGAACCAGGATTTGAATCTAGACTATTAGTTTCCTGTGGTTGCTGTAACAAATAATCAAAAACTGGGTGGCTTATAAAAACAGGGGTGTATTCTCTCACAGCTCTGGAGGCCAGAGGTCCAAAATCAAGGTGTTGGCAGGGCTGCACTCCTTCCAGAGTCTCTAGGGGAGAATCCATTCCTTGCCTCTCCCAGCTTCTGGTGATTGTTAACATCTTTCAGCCTGTGGCCACGTCTCTCTCTGCTCTGTCTTCTCTGTGTGTGTGTGTCTCTCTCAAAACTCCCTTTACCTCAGTCCCATGAGGACACATGCTACACTGTATTTAGGGTCCATCTGGATAATCCAAGGTAAGTGCCTTCTTTCAAGATATTTTACTTAATCACATTTATTTGCCATGTAAGGTAGCATTCACAAGTTCCAGGGATTTGAAGTGGATATCTTTTGGGGAGCTGTTTTTCAGCCTACAACAGCCTCTAAAGCCATCAAAGTCCCAATGGGTCCCCATCACCAATCATGCATAAGAAATCTTTAGACTGTGGGGAACTAGAGGTAGGGGCTGCCTAATTCGTGAAATGCAAGTTGCACCTTTGCCAATCTCCACTTACATGAAGTTTCCAGGGACCGAAAATTCACAAATTCATTTTGTTTAAATCACGAAAAAAACCAAGATACTTGAATATAATAATAATCACCTTAATACAGGTCAGTTTACCAGATTAACCCTAGTCACTCACAGCCCTGCAGAAGCAAGACAAAGACAAGCCAAGTCTGATGGACAAGATGAGCTATTCACACTTTTTTCAGGTACGTTATGCTGACATAAACAATGGCTTTGAAATGCCCCTTGAGCTATTTTTTTTTTTTTTTTTTTTTTGAGGCTTTATCTGCTAGCCACTGGAACATCTGGATGAAAAAATGCAGTACTTAATTATATGTAAGTTTTATTGATGTAACAACTTTGATATGCTTGATTATTCACAGAAGTTATGCAGTGATCTCTTTATATGTTGAAATTGTTTGCCCAATTGGCACTTCTTGACCCATTTGTTTGTTGTCTCCATGACCTCATGGCTGGGAACTCTCCAAAATATTCTGTTTCTTCCTGGAAAGACCTTTTCATAACCTTTTAAAAATGTTTATTTTAAAAGGAATTTTATGTCAAGATTAAAAAAATTTTTTTGAAAGAATAATAAAACCCACCCATAATCCCACCTGCCTAGCAAACAAGAGTTTTCATGAGTAGCGTCTTCTAACCTTAATGAACATCACAGTGCTACTCCATCAACACTTGAGACTGTATGCAAAAGAAAAACAGGAACTATTTGGTTTTCAGTTGTGAGGCATAGAACTATTACATGATTTGACTAAAGCATGTAGGCACCCCCACAACAGTCTTATGAATAAATAGACACTCATCATGCCCCAGTACCTGAACATGTTAACAGATGTTATAAAATCAGTAGGCAATAGCCTGGCAAATTCAAAATTACTGGAAATTTTCATTGTGATTCATTGGTGGACCAGTGCTAGAACTTTATCATAAGCAATCAGACTAGGTCCTTGTGGAGATTTTGGATTTTCCCATGCAAAATGCTCGTTTTTGGTTTCTCATCAACTTTCCAGCCATCTCTTTCTACCATCTGTTGAGCCCAAGGAATGCACACTTTCTTTTAGAACCACTAGTAAATACTAGGGAAACACTAACATGGAATATAGCTCAAATCCAAATGATTTTTTTTGGTTCTGTTTTTTTTTTTTGTTGTTTGTTTGTTTGTTTTTGAGATGGAGTCTTGCTCTGTTGCCCAGGCTGGAGTGCAGTGGCATGATCTCAGCTCACGGCAACCTCTGCTTGCCGGGTTCAGGCAATTCTCCTCCCTCAGCCTCCCGAGTAGCTGGGACTACAGGTGTGTGCCACCATGCCTGGCTAATTTTTTGTATTTTTGGTAGAGGCGGGGTTTCACCATGCTGGCCAGGCTGGTCTCGAAATTCTGACCTCATGATCCGCCCGCCTCGGCCTCCCAAAGTGCTGAGATTACAGGCGTGAGCCACTGTGCCCGGCCCCAAATGATTGTTTAATACTTTATTAAGGATTGTCTTGAGAACATGAATGAAGATAATGATGAGTTAACTGCAGGGAAAAAAATGTAAGGTTGGTGAAATCTGCTTAGTTGATCCTAATATTTCATCCTTTCTATTTCCTGAAATACAACCCCCACCATACACTCCTGTGGTACTCTCATGGTACACTTGGCTGTCACAAAGAAGACTGGCAGCTCACAACTTAAATTGGTTGTGAAGACTTCAAAGAGGAACTCCCCCCAGGACTCTCTGGGGAGCCAGGAGGGGGCACTCAAGGGATGATTCATGAATGGTAGCGTTGGATCCTATGACAAAAGAAGTGGTTTTATAAGATTGGGATAGGGGTAGCTGCTTTCCTTGGTACCTCAACCCTCAAATCACACTATAGAGGTGACTCCTTCCTTTGTTTAAGTAAAAACTAGATCTCCTTGTTGGAATCACTGTGCTTGTGTGTGTGTGTGTGTGTCTGTGTGTGTGTGTGCATATGTGTGTGTGTGTGCATGTAAGTGCATGTGTATGCAGGCCGAAAAAAAGAGGCTGAGGTCAGGCGCAGTGGCTCATGCCTGTAATCCCAGCACTTTGGGAGGCCTAGGTGGGAGGATTGCTGAGCCCAGGAGTTCGAGACCAGCCTGGGCAACATAACGGGACCCCATCTCAAAAAATAAAAGTAAAAGAAGCTGAAAAGCAGAATATAAGTAAATCCATAAATAATTGTACTGAAGGAAATTACCATCAAATAAGTCTTGTAGTAAATACAATTAAAAGAAAGTTGCTTTATTTCCCTGTTTTTATTCGTGAAGCTGAGCAAGACAGAATGTTTAATGGAAAATAGACTGGACTAAACAGGCAACAATTTCCCTGTAGGTCAGAGAAGCCTGTTTCTCCTTAAGTCTCCTAACACCTCTTATACCTCTCTCTACTTCTTTCAGATATTTGAAGTTCTTTGTACTACAAATATCTGTTAAGAAAGGAAAGAACACTTAATGATTATGATTTATTTGTGTCTCTATTATAGCAACTGTTGATTTACCCCCTGTATTAGTTGTCTCTGGGTCAGACAACCCCTCTCTATTAATAAACTTCTTGAGGTCAGATAGCATTCTTTCTCATTTTTCAGTCTCTCACAGCACACAGTGCTCCTCCTTTCATGTGGCAGGTACTCAGTAAATGTTTCTTGATTTATGAATAGTATCCCTTTAAATACTTGAAGGCTGCTATCAGTTTTCCCCAAGCCTCTTCAGGCTAAAAATTCCAAATTCTCCACTGCTCGGTGTACAATAAACACCCTTCTTTTAACACCTTGTGCATGTCAGAGGACTGCCCCCAACCCTGGCACTTTGGTCCCCTAGACAGAGTTAAATGATCAACGTGAGGTTGTTTTATCCAGCCCCGTATTCCTTGACCGCCCCAATTACCTCAGCACCTGGGGACTCAAGAAAGCTGGTGGAGACCAAAAATCCTGTGCTTTCACAGGAACTTTGGTTAATCAGGTCTCTCTCACCCTATCCTTGTGGAGACTAAATGTTTAAAACTGAATTCAGAGCTTCACATTTATTTCTGTTAAAATTCATTTTGTGATAGTTTCATCCCCGTTCTCCAAACTGTAATGACCTTTCTGTATTGCAATTATCTCACTAGGTATCAATCCCAGCTATGTGACATCTGAAAATGGTCCAACAAGCACTACACACGTCCAGGTAAAAGAATATGAAAAAGTATTAGGCAAGAGAGGATAAAGTATTAGGCTGGAACACGTAAAACTACCATTTTTATAGGTCAAAAGTGCTCACATATCACCAGTATTTAATGCTGCAGCCTAAGGTATTGTTCCAGGACTTCCAAAATGGCAGGGAGGCTTCACTTGAACTTCTCTTCCTGCGACTGCTTAAACGAGTGCTACTGTGCCTCACTGCAGCCTGTGCAGACTGCATTTCCTCCTGTTGTCATGAAAGGCATGTTGATGCTCATTATCCATTGCTTTGCTGAAAGCCTCTCAGAGTCAAGGGGAAGAGCAAAAGCTCCAGAGCCAGCCTGCCTGTTGAGCTCTGGCTCTGTTACACTGGCTGTGTGACCTCTGGCAAGTTCATTGACTCCCCTGTGCCTCTGTTTTCTCATCTGGAAATAGAGATAATGGTAGTACTGTTGCTGAATTTTACTCCTTAGTTCAGCTAAAACCTGGCTTCTTGTCACACAACCAGGAAAACTTAGGCACGTGGACACATCAAAGGGTGTGTAGAGCAGGATTGTATTGGGTGAAAGGTGAAAAATGAAAAAGAGGCCAGGCGCAGTGGCTCACGACTGTAACCCCAACACTTTGGGAGGCCTAGACGGGCGGATCACTTGAGGTAAGGAATTCGAGACTAGCCTGCCCAACATGGCGAAACCCCGTCTCTACTAAAAATACAAAAAATTAGCCGGGCATGGTGGCAGGCGCCTGTAATCCCAGCTACTTGGGAGGCTGAGGCAGGAGAATCGCTTGAACCCAGGAGGCGGAGGTTGCAGTGAGCTGAGATCACGCCACTGCACTCCAGCCCGGGTGACAAGAACGAAACTCCATCTCAAAAAAAAAAAGAAAAGAAAAAAAAGATCTCAGCAATGTGTGATGGACCCCTGCTAACAGGCCCTCTACCTCACTGATTGATTCCCAGGTCACCGCAGGAGCTGAAGAGAGCAGGCTCTTCCCATGCATAATGTGTGAATTTCCTGTGGCTCCACCCACTTCCCCCAGTGCACACGCCAGGGTCTAGTCAGCTGTGTGCATGCACAGACAAGCCCTGGGCATCTAGCCCTCATCTGCACAAAAGCATCTGATGTAAACACTTTTGAAGCCGGTCAGAGATTCTCTGGGACTCCTTTTTATCTGCCTAGGATTTGACTGTCTCAGGACCTGCCTCACAGGATTCTTTGAGGCCTGAAGAAATGGAGTGCTTGGAGACACGCTGGCAGGTGGTGCTCAGTATATTATTAGTATAACATTTTTCCCTGGAAAATCAGGCTGAGTGCAGGGCTTTTCACTCCTTTATTCCATCAAGTATTCATAAACTACCTAATTTAATTAAATCAACCCAGAATTTTCCCGGGTATCAGCATCAAGCTCACAGGGTGGCAGATTCTGAAATATGTATTTCCCCACGTTAAAAATAAGCACACTGGTCCTTCTCTCAGCTTTCAGGCAGGTTCTTGTGCCCTTTCACCCAAGGTTGAGGTAAGGGTTTCCCAATCACATCTGCACATTTTTCATCCAGCAGCAGATTTGAGCCCATGAAAAACAAGGAGGGGGCTCTTAGTATTTATTCAACTAGTTAGTGCTCAAATTCTTTCCTAGCCAATATGATGGTATCCATTATCATTAGAAAATCATTTTCCTTGATAGAGAAAATTAAAAAAAATTATGAAATGAATTGTTCTGCCTTCTTTGTGCTGCTGTTAACACTAAATTGACAAATGGCCATATGCTTCCTTGTCTTTCCAGCACCAAGCATAGCTAAAAAGCTTTTTCAATTGTCGTTGGCATGCTTCACAAAACCTTGCCTAGTTCTGACCTTTACCATGCAGGAATAATACCTACTTGTGTCATTCTGTGTTAGCCCTCAGCTCAGTGTTCTTCATTCACCTACGCAGATCCTTTAAATACCTGAGATCATCTGGGAGCTCCCTCTATGGACACACTGTTTCCCATTTTTCTCTCTTATCACGATAATTTATGACTAAAGAGTTAGAATTTCTGTTTAGAACCTGCCATTCCTCTTAAGTCACTCGGTCTTTTTGAAATCAGACTACATGGTCACAGCTATTTTTTCTCCAAACTTTTTTGAATTCTATTTTCTTAAAACCTAAATTAGATGTTAGCACTTCAACAAACATTTTCTTCCTATACTATAATATGATGGTCCCTTGTATATGACATTGCTGTCAATTTCTCATCTTTCTTCCCAGTTCCTCAGTTTTGGTCAGTGGAGAGCAAACTGGTCAGTGGAGAGTAACTGTCCTTCATTGCATCTTTCAACTTCTGAGAGATTGAATCACTGGCAAGGAAAGTCAAGAATTTATTAAATATCATGGGGCTTTTTGAAGGCAGGCAGAATGAGACTCCTATTAATCATTTTAAGTAAGCTTTTTAAAAGTTATAATATATGTACAGAAAAGGTCCGAAATCATAAGTGTAGAGCTAGAGCTCAATCTATTTACTTAGTTATTTATTTATTTTTGCAACAAGGTCTCACTGTCATCCAGGCTGGAGTGCAGTGATGCCATCTTGACTCACTTCAGCTTCAACCTCCCGAGCTCAAGTGATCCTCCCACCTCAACCTCCTGAGTAGCTGAGACTACAGGTGCGCTCCACCTTGCCTGTCAAATTTTTGTATATTTTTTGTAGAGATGGGTTTCACCATGTTGCCCAGGCTGATCTCCAACTCCTGGCCTCAAGCGATTCACCCATCTTGACCTCCCAGAGTGCTGGAGTTACAGGCACGAGCCACTGCATCCTGCAAGCTCAGTGAATTTCTGTGAAGTGAACACACACATCTAACTACCTAATTACAAAACCTATCAGCTCCACGGAAACTTTCCTCTTGCCTCATAAATTAGTTTTAATGGAATTATAATCTGTACTGGGAAGGTAACAATTACCATAATAGGAGTAACCATTTCTTGAGAACTTAACTATGTGCCAAGCACTGTGCTAAACAATTTATATGTATATAAGCTCCACAGCTCTGTGAGGTGGGTCTCGTTATTTTCCCCATTTTAAAGATAAGAAACTGAAGCTGGGAGGAAATAGGGGGATACTGGTTAACGTCAGAGACCATAAGTCTGTGAGATCTATTGCAGAGCAGGGTGACTACAGCTAACAATATATTGTTTATTTCAAACTTGCTAAGAGAATAAATTTCAAATGTCTCACCATGAAAAATAATGTCAGGTAATAGATATGTTAATTAGATTGATTTAATCATCCCACATTGTATATCAAAACATCACATTATACCCCATAAACATATACAATTATCTTTCTATTAAAATAATATTAATTTTAAAATAATAAATTAAAAAACACAAAGAAATCACTCTCACAAAAAGGCTCTGGCTGTTGAATGGTATATAGTGGCTGCCTCAGCTACTGGGAACATGAAAATTGTTTCCCACGATCCAGTAAATTTTATAAAAGCCATAATATGTAACAATAACAGAATGGGAGCAAGAAAATTGTTTCTACATATATTATGAGACAGGAATGAACACTAGTTTTCAACCGGAAATGTCCATGACTCAGAATGTCCTGTTTCCTGGGAGTTCTAGCTAACTTAAATGTTACTGTGATCATTTGTACTTGCTGACCACATAGTGTGACGTGGCATAAGGGGGTGTTCAATAGATCTTGCTTGAAAGCTGAAAAGAACACGAAACTGAAGCCTAGAGAGGTTAGATTACTTGCCCAACATCACTAGCTGGAATTCAAACTCAGGTCTAGCTAATTCCGGAGACTGCATTCTTAACCATTATAATAGACACATGGTCCACAGCTTCCACTTGGCTGGCCAGGCCGTAGATCAGGGCTTCTCAACTTCCACACTATTGACATTTGGGGCTGAAAGTTTCTTTGGGGCTGTCTTCTGCATTTTAGGACGTTTATCAGCCTTCCTAGCGTCAACCCACTAGATGCCAGAAGCATCTTCATCTCCAACCAGTCATGATGTCAGAGGTGCTTGAGCCAGAGCGACTCCATCTTGAATAGGGGCTGGGTGAAATAAGGCTGAGACCTGCTGGGGTGCATTCCCAGTAGGTTAGGCATTCTTAGTCACAGCATGAGATAGGAGGTTGGCACAAAATACAGGTCATAAGGACCTTGCTGATAAAAACAGCAAGAAAGAAGCTGGCAAAAACTCACCAAAACCAAGATCCCAAAGAAAGTGACTGCTGGTCATTCTCATTGCTCATTATATGCTAATTCTAATACATTAGCATGTTAAAAGACACTTTCATCAGCACCATGACAGTTTACAAACATCATGGCAACATCCAGAGTTACCCTATATGGTCTAAAAAGGGGAGGAACCCCCAGTTCTGGGAATTGCCCACCACTTTCCTGAAAAACTCATGAATAATCCACCCCTTGCTTAGCATACAATAAAGAAGAAACTGTAAGTATACTCAGTTGAGCAGCCCATGCTGCTGCTCTGCCTATAGAGTAGCCATTTTTTTTTTTTTTGAAATGGAGTCTTGCTCTGTTGCCCAGGCTGGAGTGCAGTGGTGTGATCTTGGCTCACCGCAACCTCTGTTTCCTGGGTTAAAGCGATTCTCCTGCCTCGGCCTCCCAAGTAGCTGGGATTACAGGCGTGCGCCACTGCGGCCAGCTAATTTTCATATTTTTAGTAGAGACAGGGTTTCACCATGTTGGCCAGGCTGGTCTCGAACTCCTGACCTCAGGTGATCCACCCGCCTCGGCCTCCCAAAGTGCTGGGATTACAGGCGTGAGTCACAGCGCCCAGTCTGCCATTCTTTTATTCCTTTACTTTCTTAATAAACCTTGCTTTCACTTCACTCTGTGGACTCGCCCTGAATTCTTTCTTGTGCAAGGTCCAATAACCCTCTCTTGGGGTCTGGATCAGGACCCCTTTCTGGTAACAATGATAACCAAAAACATCTCCAGACATTGCCACATGTTTCATGAGGGGTACAACTGCCCCTAGTTGAGAAGCGCTAGTATAGACAGTCCCATACTTTCACGCCTCCCTTCTCCCTCCTCATTCATTAGCTGAGTCCATCCTCAGTCAAATGGATACTAAGATAGGTGTGCACCTTTCTGACAGCCGGTGCTATTCCAAAACCCTAGGATTCATCAGTTTCTTTTGAACTCCTGCCCTGCAGTGACAAGCTTCACTGCTTGGGTTGTATTTAACAAGCTGAATTAAAAGTTCTGCTTCATTTCATCATCCAAATACATTCATGGCCGTGCAGTCTTCTGTAGCCACAGATATCAGTGCTCCTGCCAACAACTGGCACAACTCCTGTCTTGTTTCCTTTTCACCTTGTTATAGAAAATCACCAGAAACTTCCTCCCAAACACTTCCTTCTTTTCCCTTGCACTCACCATCCTCCATATAGATAACTGTATGTTAGAGTCATGGAAGAAACAGCTGGTATACGTAAGGGCAATTTGAGAAGCAGTTTTTAAAGATCTTACTTACAAAGTGTAGAGATGATTAGGGGAAACTGAGGCTGGATAATGTAGCAGCTTTAGTGGCAACCACACAGAGTTGTTACAACTCCTTGGTCTGAAGGGGAAAGAGGAAGGTGTGGTTACTTGAACCCAGAGTTTCTCCATGGTGGCTCTCATTGGTACAAGCCAAAGAAAAGGGATGGGAGCCCCATGACGCAGTCTGTACTGTGAACTTCCCAGGCACGGAGCAGGGGGAGAATGGCAGAGAGCAGACCTGAATGTGAATGGCAGTATCTTCAGAGCATTATATAAGCACATTTCCCTGCCCCTTGCCCTAAATTTCATTTTGAAGTCCTCTTCATCAGATCATACAGCTTCTTGCCAAACATGTTTATCCTGGTTTTTGAGAGACGCCTTCTTCTTCTTGCCAGAAGCCTATCATTCTAATATCATCAGCCCTGTTTAGAAGACCAAATCCTGTTTTTGGATACCATCTATGTAGCCAGCTGCTCATTTCTTCTCTCCTCTCATCTGTTCCAAAATTACAAACCTCAAGTGGAAGCAGAAATGAGAAACCCTGATCTGCCTTGGGAGATTTGGGTGGGTTCCTTCATCCGATTCAGGAAGGAGGGAACCATTTTCCAGTCATTGCTCTGCCTGATGTCCAGGTCAGGATTTCTTACACCTGTCAATACCTGGATATTCTCTTGATTATTCTTGAGGGCAGTGCTGGTGCTTTTTCCTCAGAAGATCTGGATTCATCCTAAGCAGGAGGGTCATCAGGGCTGGGGGAGCCAGCTCCAAGGCTGAAAAGCTTCTTCCTTTACTTTTGACTCTAAGCCATACAATTGTTAAGATGTTACCCTGCCTTCGTAAAAACTTCCCCCGACTTTTACTACATTCTAGGTTATTTTTCCTGGAATCTTTTTGTCCTCTCTGCTAAAGGCAGCAATAAGTTTTTCCTCAAGCCCTTTGTCTTCTCCAGAGAGATCAGTGGCATTTATGGCACATCTGAGAGAAAGAGAGACCAAGTGAACACACTCCAGAATGCTTCCTTGATGCTCCTACCACCTGAGAATCAAGTTCAAAACAAACTTCTCTGGTTACTCTCCATTTCCGCTCCTGTTTTCTTCTGAGTTTCTGGTTTCTTGGGGACTCTTGATAAGAGTGCCATTAAGTTGACATGGCTGTTTTCCACCCCGTCTCACCTAACTTCTGCTAATCTGCAAGGCATTGGTAATTAACAGTAAATTGCACTAGCTGTGAACCAGGTACAGTCTCTTTTGGTTAACACGGTAAGGCAGGAACAGCTGTCTGTCCACACACTCACAATGGCAATGCTTCATCCTCATCGTTCTACCTTTTGCCTTGCATGGTATTTTGTTGCTGGGCTCCTAGTCATAATTGTAGATTTATATTATGCATACGTTAAGACTTTTATTCTTGGTGCAGTAGTAAATTTAATTAGTGGAGATACATATATATACATATATATGCACACACACACATATATGTGTACACACACATATATGTATGTTTTTAAAATTAAAATAGCCTAACACTTTAAAACAATGCTTAAAATAATTATATTTAAGAGCAACCACCTTCTTACACATCAACGATAAAATTTATAGAAAATGATTATGACAATATTTAACTTACGCAACATTTTTGTTTTCCAAAGTACTTTCAGCATTTCCTTAATGTTCATAGCACTTTTGTTGAGTATGTAAAGCAGGTGTTAGTTTCTTTCTTTTTTTTTTTTTTTTTTTTGAGACAGAGTCTTTGCTCTGTCGCCCAGGCTGGAGTGCAGTGGCATGATCTCTGCTCACTGCAACCTCCGCCTCCTGGGCTCAAGCAATTCTCCTGCCTCAGCCTCCCTAGTGGCTGGGATTACAGGCATGCACTTCTACGCCCGGCTAATTTTCGTATTCTTAGTAGAGACGGGGTTTCACCATGTTGGCCAGGCTGGTCTCAAACTCTTGACCTCGTGATCCACCCACCTTGGCCTCCCAAAGTGCTAGGATTACAGGCATGAGCCATCGCACCTGGCCCAGTGGGTGTTAGTTTCTATATCACAGATGAGACAATTCAGGTAAATACATTGGACTTATTCTTAGTTTTTTCTTCAGTTTTAAGTTTATTATCTGATCAGATTAAGTCAAGATCTTTAAATTCTGCTGTCAAAATCAACATTAACTTCTCCGATTTGATAACTGTACTATGGCTATGTCCTTGTTCTTAGGAAATATACACGGAAATATTTAGGAATAAAGGAAAACAATCTGCTACTCATTCTCAATGGTTAAAAAAGATTATATGCATATGTGTATACATGTGTATGTTTGTATGGATACACGCACATAGAAAGAGGGAGAAAGCAAATAAAATCTCATTATATATATATAATAAAAGTCACCTTTAGAGGTAGATAGAACACAAACCTATTACTCTGAAAATCAGGAAATGAAATAATTTTTAAAAGTCTGCTAGCCAGGTATTAATGGTGAAAAGGTCATTTGCAAAACATAATCTTTAGGTGTTTTTCAGACATCTTGGTCACATACCACAATCAGTTAAAAATTGAACACACTCCCTCAGCATACGCTTATTTATTTATAATTTACACATAAGTACTAATATACTGATACATTATATGTATTATAAGGCATCCATATTCCTGAAAAGGGAATATGTAAATGGTAAATAAATCACGTTTTAAAATAATATTCTTTTTGTTTAATAATTGTTTAAAATATCTTTTTATTTATTTTTATTTTTGAGACAATCTCACTTTGTCACCCAGGCAGAGAGTAGTGGCATGATCTCAGCTCACTACAACCTCTGCCTCCTGAGTTCAAGCGATTCTCCTGCCTTAGCTTCCCAACTAACTGGGACTACAGGTGCATGCCACCACCACACCTGGCTACTTTTTGTATTTTTAGTAGAGATGAGGCTTCACTATGTTAGCCAGGCTGGTCTTGAACTCCCGACCTCAAGTGATCCACCCGCCTTGGTCTCCCAAGTGCTGGGATTAGAGTCTTCAGCCACTGCTCCCCCCCTTAAAATCCCTTTTTAATCTTACTAAAATTAATGTTAACAAATGACAGAGTAATGTGATTGAATATGCCTAGTTAAATTTTTTAAATCTTGGCTTAATACCTTGTGATTTAACAATCCAAAGTTCTGGTTCCCAGCTTAGTCTATCCAGATTCTTGGTTTTAAAGAGTGCTATAAATGAGAAGATATCTTGCAATATGTCTAATCCAAATGGAAGAGGTGTATCCTTGCCTGCACATGCCGGTTTTCACTGAAATTTGGCCAGTAAAGTTCTATTTTCCCCAGCTCTGACCACTTTTCCTTGCAAACAAATCAGAAAACATTGACTTTTAACTTTAAAATATCTGGGTTTAAAACTCATTAAAAGCCTTTGTTTTGGAAAAATTTTAAGGAGACTAAAAAATTATTTCTAAATTATTTTAAGGGCACAGATATAAGGGTATTTTTAAAAATAGATGACACACATTTTTTTTTCTGATGACCAAATCATGTTTCTATCCTTCTAAATGATTTCTCAAAGCATTAAGTTCTTTTGAAATATTGTTACCTTCTCATTCTTTGTTACTTTGAAGAAGCAGGTTGTGGGGTTTTTTGAAAATATAAAATATATGCTTGATTATGAACAACTTAATGTCATATGTTATTAAAGAAAGGTTGGTCACTTTGGAGCACTTCCTTTTTTGTAACAGAAGAATGTTAAATTCCATCTCTAAGTTAACAGCTCTTCAAAGTAATTTTTTATGCATTCATCAGTAAATTTCTCTGAGATACAAAAGATGTTCATAGTCACTCCTTATGTCATTAAAAATGCATTGTAAAGCTTCTTCCGTGTTTTAAGTCTTGCTTTAATAAATCCAGCCATACCAGTGACATCCTATAGCACTTAGACTATGGTACATTACAATTCGCTGAAAGCAAAATGACACATGAGGTTTTCACTGCCAGCCCATCCTTGCTGCAGAGTATACACGTGGTTTGTGACCAACAGACACTGGTACGGTGAAGTCATCACTGTCAACCTGTGTATTAAATAATAGTAACACATCTCATTTTTAGCTAAAACTTAAATATAAAATAAAGTTTGAATATTTTCTTTTTTTTGAGACGGAGTTTCCCTCTTGTCACCCAGGCTGGAGTGCAATTGTGCGATCTCGGCTCACTGTAACCTCTGCCTCCCATGTTCAAGCAATTCTTCTGCCTCAAGCTCCCAAGTAGCTAGGATTACAGGCACATGTCACCATGCCTGGATAATTCTTTTATTTTTAGTAGAGACAGGGTTTCACCATGTTGGCCAGGTTGGTCTCGAACTCCTGACCTGGGCCTCCAAAGTGCTGGGATTACAGGAGTGAGCCACTGCGCCTGGCCTGAATATTTTCTTTCTGTACCCTAAAGGATTAACTTGTACTTCCCTTGGAGTACATATTCTCCTGATGGACCACTGACTAAAAGAATATATTCCAGTTCATCTGCCTTTCTTTTCATTGCTGTATCCACCGTAATGCAGGGCGATTTTCCCCAAAGTGTGGCTTTTCCATCGCTAAGTTTGAATTGCACACTGCTGCCCATTTCCCAATGTCTTCTATGCCTTTCAACATTTTCCCTCTCTGGACATCAAGATTTATAAACCAACTCAGAAAAGTATGAAAAGAGAGCACCATTTTATTTTTTTAACTTGATATTGCTTAAGATATTGCTTATAATTGCAAGATACTGGAAACGACCTAAATGCCCCTTCACCGGAGACTGGTTGAGTAAACTATGGGACATCCACATAATGGAGTACTATGCAACTATAGAAAAGAATGAAGAGGAGCTTATGAACTGGAGTAGAGTGATTTCCAGGATATATTGTTATGAAAAAGGCATCTATATTATGCTCTTTTCTGTAAGAAGAGAACATAAGAAATATACATATATCTGCTCATTTGTGTCAAATGAAAGAAATAGAGAAAGTGTATACCAGAAACTATCGGGACTGATTACTTACAGAAAGTGGATGGAAATAGAGTAGATAGAATAAAGGGATGGGAATGAAGCAGAAGGGATGAAGGATGAGTGACTTTTCTGGGTATACATTTTTGTCTAGTTCTGATCTTTAAACCCATGTTTTTAATATACTCAAAAATTAGATAAATAATTAAAATCAGCCACAATATAGGGGAAGGCAAAATGGAACCCAAACACTAACAAATGAACCTAACTGAATTACAAATGAGTAATATAATTACACTGAAGGGATTGGGTGAAAACTAAGTGATTTTGGAAAGCAGAAAACATTATTTTGTTTGGCTAATACATCAGTCAGGATTCACCCAGAGAAACAGATCAAAAGGACATATATACTAAGGGATTTACTGTAAGGAATGGGCTTGCAATGTTGTAGGGGCTGTCTAGGCAAGTTAGAAATTCACAGGGCAGGCTATCAGGAGGGCAGGCTGGAACTCTAGGGTGTGAGCTGAAGCTGCTATTCACAGGTAGAATTTTTTCTTCTTTAGGGAAGCCTCAGTTTCACTCTTAAGGCCTTTCGATTGATTGAATCAGGTCTACCCAGATTATCTGGGATAATCTCCCTTACTTAAAATAAACTGATTATAGACTTTAAATCCATCTACAAAATCCCTTTACAGGTTTGATTTCTCGAATAAATGAGGACTGTAACTTAGCCAAGTTGCCACATAAAACTGACCATCACAAATACTATCAGGCTAAAGAAAAAAAAACCTCTACACAGATACTGTAGTCTAGTTGGTAAGTTTTTTTTTTTTTCCACAAGGGTATGACTTGGCAATATTTGTGTGTATTCTAGGACTCAGCAAATTAACAAGTTTATAGTGACTAATGTGAGTCAGGTTTCTTGCTGTCAGAGAAAGGAATTACAAATAAGGAAAGAGAGAAGGTTGGAATGAACCAGTTTTTAATACAGAGAGAGAGAGAGAGAGAGAGAGATACATGATTATTATGTGTGTATATTCATACTTATATTTTTAAATTCTGTCCACCAAGAAAACTAAGAAACAGTGAACATACCCAGAGCCCAGATCTTTGTTTCTAAAATTCATTCTCCAAGAACAGAAACAGGGATCCTTGGAGAAATGACTGATTTCATGGCTCGGGCTGGGAAAGTACAAGATAAGCCTGGAACACTTAAGGTTGAAGAAGGTAAGATAATGCTCAAAAAATGATAAGAACGTGTTGAAAAGACATAAGAACCAACTTGAGGTTGTCCCCAATGGCCAAATCTGGAAAATCTAAGCAACAAAACCAATAGTGATAGAATGGATATAACCCATAGAACAAAACAAATATCCATGAATCCGTACTTACATAAATACATACTTGAATAAATGAATAAGGAAAAAACACTGTCTTACCATAGAATTCCAACTAGTAAATGTTGTAATTACAACTAGGCCAAGTTATAAAACAGAAAATCTCTACTAGATATTTGGGAAATATATTTCATGATTCTTTATACATTTGGCACTCAGTCAAAATTAACCCCTACTGTGACCACTCAATCTAAATTAACCCCTACCCCCGCAACATATACACTACAGTAATAATTGCTGTAGGCAAGAATCATCAATGTATACACAAATTGGAAGGAAAAGGCTTGAGGAGAAACAGGATATTTGCATAGTCTCACAGTATCTCCCCATAAGACACTTAATAATTACAAAAGAAAATGTAATAACTTTACAATGGGGAAAACCGGCAGGTACCTTTTTAACCAAGTGACTAAGTTAACATCACCAGTGATACAACAAGTAGTTATCATGGGCCTCCTGATATGATGCAGTAAAAAGAGCCTAGTATCATTCTTGTGTAACTTGAATATAATCATTGGGAACAGCAGACAAACACAAATTGAGGGGTGGTGAGCAAAACAGCTGGTCAGTATTCTTCCAATTGTCAAGACTGTGAAAAACAAAGAAAGTGAAGAACCACTGTGGATCGGAGAGACTAAGATGACATGACAATGTGTAATCCTGGATCAGATCCTACACAACAAAAAAGAAAATTGGCAGTTTATGAATAAGCACTGTAGCTCAGTTAATACTACCGTATCAATGTTAAATTCTTGGGTTTCATAATTGTGGTTATGGAAGATGTTAATACATGCGGCTGCTGTGTAAAGGGTATAAAGAAATTCTTTGTGCTATTTTTATATTTTTGGTAAGTCTGAAACTGATTCACAATAAAAAGTTAAAAAAAAAGAAGTTAAAAAGAGACACGAGTGATGCCTGCTTGTTGATCCATAAAACTTACATAGTCCACCATCATCTCTCACTTGGAGTATTGCAACACCCATTATCTGACCTCTTTACCTCCACTTCCCTTTTTCCAATCTGTTCCCTGCATAGCAGTTGAAATGATCTTGTAAACAAAACCAAATCATGTCACTTTCAAGCTCACATACCTTCAGTGACTTCCAACTAAACTCAGAATTAAATCCAAACTCTGAATAGTACCTGCCATGGTGTCCACCACCCAGCATCACCTGGCCTGTCCTCTTGTCACTCATTTACAGTATCTCTTTTCTTCTCACACACCATGTTCTAGCCAGGCTGATTTCCTTTCAGTCCCTCATAAGCACTAAGGTCCTTCCTTCCTCCGGGCCATGCATTTACAGTCTTCTCTCCGGGGTCACTCTTGCTCCAACTCTGCCTGGCAGACTCCCTTCATCCTTCAGGGCTTATCCTAAATACAACTTCTGAAAGAGGCCTTCTATGGCCACTCAATCTAAATTAACCCCTCCTTCCATCACACACCACCCAAAGAAAGACTGATATTCTCCATTTTGTCATTCTGTTTGCTTCTTTCATTTATTTTTTCTCAACTTATAATTTTTGTTTGTTGGTTTATTGTCTGTTTCTGTTTCTGCCTCTAAACTCTAAGCTTCATGATGGCAAAGATTGTGTTTTCCTGTATGCTATGCCCCTAGTTCCTCACTCAGAATCTGGCAGGTAAGTAGTCAATATTTTTTTAAGTAAATAAATAAAATCTGGCAACATGGGCCAAGCTTCCAATTCTGGAAGAAAGCACAAAGTTCTCTGAACAGCAAACAGCAGTCACAAAGTCTAAGTGGGTGATCCCATTAGAGAGGCAGAATTACTTTCAGGACTTTACCTAAACAATGCTGTGAAGAATGAGGCAACCATTAGAAGAAGCAGGGAAGTAATGAGCGCAGTCAAGGAGGCAGCAGAACAATGACGACAACAACAAAGTGGTCCAAGAGCCGGTTTTTAGGGACTGCTTAGTAACCACAGCATAGAGGCTGCTACTAGTCTGTCTCAAAAGACCCTGAGCATCAACATATTATAACAGGACATGTAACTGATGTCAATAATGATGACCATAGTCATCATCATTCACTTATTTATGTGCTACGTCTTTTCAAAACAGACACAAGGCCCCTTAATCATTACCAAAAAAAAAAAAAAATCGTATTTAAAATTGTCCTTTCACAAACAATGCCCATTAAAAACATTTCTGTCAGAATTGATGATTTAAAAAAAATTTCCTTCCTTCCTTTTTCTTTCTTTTCTTTCTTTCCTTTTCTTTCTTTCTTTCTCCTTCCTTCCTTCCTTTTCTCTTTCTCTTTCTCTCTTTTTTGAGACAGAGTCTCACTCTATTACCCAGGCTGGAGTGCAGTGGCGTGATCTTGGCTCACTTCAACCTCTGCCTCTCAGGCTCAAGCAATCCTCCCACCCAGGCCTCCCAAGTAGCTGGGACTACAGGCATGTACCACCACACCTGCCTAATTTTGTTATTTTTGTAGAGACAGGGTTTCACCATGTTGGCCAGGCTGGTCTCGAACTCCTCACCTCAAATTGATCCCACCGTCTCAGCCTCCCAAAGTGCTGGGATTACAGGCGTGAGACACTGTGCCTGGCCAACTTGGCCAATTTCTATCAAAAAATTTTAAAGTATGAAATTGATTCTCAAAAGACTGAGTTTCTATCATCTGGAAAATGGGCTTACATAGACACTCTTTTTTCCCTTGGTAGTGCCAGTGTTACAAAGTGCCATGGCCCCAGGCTGGGGATATGCTGAGGGTCGGGGAACAGGTAAAAAGAAAAATCAGTGTGGCACCATGGAGGCTGAGAAGGCCTGGGGGCTAGGATAGCAGCATGTAGTCATCCTCCTGGCCTCTTTCAATAGCCTCAGTTCCTATGGCCCTGGGTCTGCAGCTGAAGCCTGTGCTCCAGACATGTGGAGCTTCCCCAGCCACAGACTCCCACTCCCTGGCTTGGCGAGGCCTCTGGTCCCACCTTAGGGACCTCGGATCACTTCCTCACTCACAAAAGCAGCTCTTTGTCCAGCCGAGTCGCTTGGACCACTGACCCCAGCATCCTGCCCCCAGCTTCAGCTCCTAGCCATCTTCCTGTTGCAGCCTCTCCCACACTCTTCCCAAACTGCTCTGTGCTTTCTCCTCTTAGATTCTCAGACCTTTTCACTGAGTGTCCTGAGAAACTCTTGCTCATGGTAGGCATATGAAAGTTCATGTCACAGTTTTCATGGCCTTAAGGAAAATCTGTCTCTTCCTTGAGGACACTGAGGTCTTCCCCTGGGGCCCTCCCTCAGGGAGACTGCTTATTCTCCACATCCCCAAACCTTTACCTGTCCTCATTTCCCAAGGCTGCTCCAGACTACTTCCTTCTACTCTCAGGTAAATATCCTGGCTTCTCTCAGGTAGGTGTCACAGTGCTCTGCCATCTTCCACCCTTTTCATCTCCATCACTTACTGACTTCCTGTCCTTCCCCAAACTCACTGAAAACTGACCAGCCTCCCAGTATCCCTGTTCATTTTCTAGTGACATCAGTTTCCATGTGGACAGCCAGTCCAGCTCCCAGCCTGACTGCTCCCTGACGTCCTCAGTGTCACCACTGTTCTCTTTGGTTGCCCTTCCCACGGGGCAGGGAGAGCTCACTGGAGCAGCCCCGCTCTCTGGACACAGCCCTGCCTCTCCTTCCCACTCTCCTGCCAAACTTTCTCCTGAGTCTCAGAGCAGACTCGATGCCTGAGAGTTGTTGGGATCCTTCTTCCTTTCCTCAGCCCAGACCTGAGAGACTCCAGATCCTGCTTCCACCACTGAGATTGCTGGTCATCTTGACACTGCTAAACTCAAGGAACATTCTTCTCTTTCTGAAAGTCTCTGCTACACTTGACACCAGGATCACTCTTTCCTCCTTTTTGTTTTTTGTTTTTTTTTCAGAGACGCAGTCTCCCTCTGTCACCCAAGCTGGAGTGCAGTGGTGCAATCTTGGCTCACTGAAGCCTTGAACTCCTGGGCTCAGAAGATCCTCCCACCTTGGCCTCCTGAGTAGGATTACAGGTGCAAGCCACCATGCCTGGCCTACTCCGTCCTTTTTACAATGTTTTACCATCTTGGCTTCTGTGATCCCACCCTCTCATGCTCTTTATTTTTCTCAAAACTTCCTTTGCTGATTTTTTGTGGACTTTTGTCCTCCAAGCCTATTTTAAATGTTGCGGGTCCTTCAGGGATATGTCCTTGGGTCTTGGCAGGATTCCTGGGTCACTCACTGGAATATGGCTCATTTATCCAGTTGTACTTGCCCTACTGCTTTTAACCGTGCACAGGGTTCTGGGGATGATCTCATCCACATCTCATGGTTTCAGCTATTACACGTGTATTGAGAATTATTTCCAGCCCAGCCTACTCACCTCATATCCGGGCTTTGTGGTCCGACTGCCTGATGGAAACTTTCGCCTGGGTGTCCCACTGGTCCCTTAAACTCATTATCTTCGAAACCAAACACATTATCTACCTAAAAATCTTTTCTTCTTTTCATTATTTCCAACTTGTTTCAAGGTAGAGATTTCAGATTCATGTGGTTTCATATCCAAGTAGTCATGTGCTGCTGTCACCATTGCTATATTTTTGTATCTGTCCCCTCTTCTCTACCCTAACTCAAGTCACTATCATCTCTCAGCTAAATCACTACAGTTGTTTTAACATGTTGTTAAAAGATACTTCAATGCACAGGTCCCTGCTTAACTCTCTAGACCAATTTTTCTCTACTACCTGCCTTTTATTAATACTTCTTAATCTAGTAGCATTTATTTTTCTTCTGCTTCAAGTAGCTCTCTTATTCCCTCATTACCTAAATAACTCTTACTCAACCCTGAAGACTCAGCTTTCTTGTACCTTTCTCTAAGAAATTATCTCTATTGCACAATTTCTCTTCATCCCACCTCCCTTTCCCCCAGAACTGGATTACTTATCCCTCCTCTGATCTCCTATAATGTGTTGTGTAAACTCTATGTTGGTACTTAGTGCATGACATTTTAAATATTCACTTTATGTCAATGTCTCTCTCATAAGACTAAGTTCCTTAAAGGCAAGAATTACATCTTATTTTCATTAACTTTGATGCCTTGTATAGTACTTGCCTCATTTTAATAACTAAGTAAATATTTGTTTTTTAAGGTAAGCAAGCTAAGCAAGGACAAATTCATGCAGCAGGGAGTGATATGGAGGGAGAAGAGGCCATGGCGATATCCATTTCTGCTTGGGCTTCTGTGGTTCTGTGGCTGCTCCAGTGCATTGGCTTCTGCTGAACCAGCTAGAAGGCACTGAAGACCAGAAGTGACAATCACAGTTAGGGCCAGTGAGTGTGTCTCTGCCTGAATAAATTTCTCAGCCCTCCCAACTCCCATGCTGCTGGTGTGGTCAAATTGCAGGGACGGCTGCTCCCACTCCTTATGATCTGAACTCTCCAGACCCTGCTTATGCTCTACTTTGCTTGTGTTGTTCTCTTTGATGGAAAACAACATTTTTATTTCTGACTACTGCAATGCTCCCCAATGTCAAGGCTCAGCCCAAGTGGACTTTTTCTATGTACTTTTCTCCAAGATATCAATTTGTATTTAACTGCCTTTTTAAAAATCAAATGGATGTCATCACTATGGTACAATTTAGTTATAATATATCATCTTAGATAGGTTTCTATTTTTTTCACATGTTCGTCATAATTGACCGGATGGATCCATTTGGTGAATGACAAGGCTTCCTGATGTCAGGGACCATGTGTTCATTTATGCATCAAGTAAGTATGCATTGCCATCGTATAAAGTATCAGGCCTATACAAGGCATTGGGAGGAACAAACAGCGATTGAGACAGAAGTTCTACTCTATAGAAGCATATACACGAGTGCAGCATCGCTTAAGTCGGGGATATGCAAGCCAGGGAGTATCTAAGAAGATCTATTAAAGTGAGAAAATATTAGAATTCCTAATATTTCTAATTTTTGTTTCTAATAGTCTAATGTTTCTAATATTCTAGCAAACTTTTTATCTAAGGAAAGAAATTAAGCTTTATAAATATTTAATATGTGGATTGATCCTGATTCTCTCAGTTGGTAACTATGTCATACAGTCATATATCATGTATAATACAAAAGGATCTTTGAGGCAGAGTGGGAGTTCTCAAACTCATAGGGGCTGACAGTACAAACCTCTGCCATTTAATCACTTTCAGTGTAATGTGATGTATTGCAGTTTGAGTGTGCTTGGTTAAGAGGTTTGCTATTATCTAGCTTTAAGAAAATTAGCCCTCACAAAGAGACTAGTGGCCTAAAAAAAATTCGTTTAAAGATACCATCATTTAAAGGTAATACTAATAATGCAAGCACGAGCAAACAAGAAAGTGTCAGCTGACATTCTCTCCACTCTTAATAATGAACATTTCAGCCATATTTCAATAAAAAGCAATGTTTGTCTAAACAGATCTAACAAGAACTTGTCCAAAATTTTAAATGATCTAGAATATTAATTAATTAGGAAACTCAACCTAAGAACACCTTTTACCTTGAGATACACTTACTAATAGTTCGATGTCATCATTATCATAGAAATTTTAAAAATTAAGCATGAATTTTCACTTCTGCTTTGTGTTAAAAAGCTGCAAAGACTATTGTTCTCATCACAACAATGAGAAAAGTCCAGAAAAAAGCAAAATCATAACTTTATTGAACCAATCAGAAAACTGAGGAAAATAGAGTTATCTGAGTTTGAAAGAGAGATAAACCCTTCTAAGGAGAGATAAAAGACATAAACTCTCTCACCTGTAGCAAACCACATGAGAAAAAGCTGTAGGCCACAATACAAGTGGGGAAGAAGAAACCAATCACATTTTAAAGGAGCTTCCAAAGGCTAAGTGTGGGTTAGTGTGCCAGTCTAGAATAGTGAGGGCACCAAAAGGGAGTTAATATTCATTCACCAACTCCTATCTGTGGACTCTACTGAGTGCTCATGAAAAAGTCAGTGCGTGGGCCTGCATCCACTGTGCAGTGGTTTGGGTATAGACCCACCCTGTGTGCTGCCACTAGTATATGTGAATGCTGTCTAGCAGTATAAGGACAGGACCACCCCACATGCTGCTTGTGCCCATATGCACCTCCTAAAAGCAGGGGTACTTGCCTGTCTACACTGACATTGCTGCTACCAGCCCCTGCCCACATGTACCACCCAGGAGACTGTGGTCCAGCACACCCAGACTGCCACCACCACTGCTGGTGCCTGTGTGCACTGCTTGGTGTTCTGAGGGTTGGCCTGCCGCTGCTACTGCCACCACCAACATCACACATGCTGTCTGGGGACCAGAGGACCTGCCCTTCAGGACCTGCCACTGCTGGCACCACGCACAACATCTGGGGGCCCCAGGCTCTGCCCTCCTGAACTTGTCACTGCTGGTGCCCACATATACTACTTTGGCACCTGAGGACTGGCATGCTCAGCACACCACCACCACCACCACCACTGTTGCCCGAGGACTGGCCCATCTGGCATTCGCATCATCAGCAAAGTGTCACCACAGCCTCCACTAACAACTGCAGCCTAAGCCACTGAGGAACTCACAGATGCCACTGATGAGCTGATTACAGCTGAAGAAATCATACAAAGGCTACGCTACTACCCCCACCAAGAATCAATGCCAAAATGCCTTTTCCAACCAACACTACAGAAACATCTACAGGAAAAATATTTCACTGCAAAAGCCAACCGATAAAACTGGAAGAAGTGACTGTTACAATAGATGTGTAGATATTAAGGTAAGGACACAAAAACATGAAAAAGCAAGAAAACATGACACCTCCAAAGGAACATTATAATTACCAGTAACAGAGCCCAAAGAAAAGGAAATTTATGAAATGCCTGGAAAAAACTTCAAAATAATGACATTAGAAAAAGTCAGTGAGATAGGACAACCCAAATGAATGGTACAAAGAAATCAAGGAAAGAATTCATGATCTGAATGACAAATTCAACAAAATAAATGATGAGGAGCTTAAGGAAATCCTACATCTGGAAGCAAAAGAACTACATCTACATATATATGAAAACACACAAAAAATAAAACTCGTTGATAAAGCAGACACACAAATGAGAAGAAAGGAGTCAACTGTTATTACCACAAAACAGACCAAACTGTAGACGTGAACAATAAAACAAAAAATACAAAACAATCAGAAAACAACGAGATGATAATAACATGTCGTCACCTATCAAAAACAACCTTCAATGTAAACAGCTTAAATTCCTCAATTAAAAGCTATAGACTGGCTGCATAGATCAAAAAAAAAGACACAATTATATTCTGCCTAAAAAACTTACTTCACTTGTAAAGACACACATAGATTGAAAGAAAAGGAATAGACAAAAATATTCCACACAAACAGAAGCCAAAAATATGCTTCTGTAGCTATACTTATATCAGACAAAATAGACTTAAAGTCAAAAAACATAAAAAGGGACAAAAAAGGTCATTATAAAATGATAAAGGGATCAATTAAGCAAGAGGATATAGCAATTGTAAATACCTAACACTGGAGTACCCAGGTATATAAAACCAATATTGTTAAAGAGGGAGACTCCAATATACTAACAGTTGAAGACTTCAACATCTCACTTTCATCATTGCACAGATCTAGACAGAAAACCAGCAAAGAAACATCATACTCAGTATGCACTAGAGACTAACTGAACCTAACAGACATTTACAAGACATTTCATCCAACAGCTGCAGAATGCACATCCTACTCATCAACACATGGAACATTCTCCAGGATAGACCATATATTAGACCACAAGACAAGTCTTAACAAACTTTTAAAAATCAAAATCATAACAAGTATCTTCTCAGCTCACAATGGAATAAAACTGAAAATCAATAACAAGAGGAACTTTGGAAACTGTACAAATACATGGAAATTAAACAACATGCTCCTAACAATTGGGTCAATAAAGATATTCAGAAGGAAATAAAAAAATTTCATGAAGCAAATGAAAATGGAAACATGTTCTTTCTGCCCATGGATGCCGCCGAGGAAGCATTGTAAAGTCTCTCATCCCCCTGCCGTCATGTCTAAGTCAGAATCTCCTAAAGAGCCCTAACAGCTGAGGAAGCTCTTCATTGGAGGATTGAGTTTTGAAACAACCAACGAGAGCCTGAGGAGCCATTTTGAGCAATGGGGAATTCACGGGCTGAGTGTTAATGAGAGATCCAAACACCAAGCTCTCCAGGGGCTTTGGGTTTGTCACATATACCACTGTGGAGGAGGTGGATGCAGCCATGAATGCGAGGCCACACGAGGTCGACGGAAGAGTTGTGGAACCAAAGAGAGCTGTCTCAAGAGAAGATTCTCAAAGACCAGGTGCCCACTTAACTGTGAAAAAGATATTTGTTGGTGGTATTAAAGAAGACACTGAAGAACATCACCTAAGAGATTATTTTGAACTGTGTGGAAAAATGGAACTGATTGAAATAATAACTGACCGAGGCAGTGGCAAGAAGAGGGGCTTTGCCTTTGTAACCTTTGACGACTATGACTCCATGGATAAGACTGTCATTCAGAAATGCTATACTGTGAATGGCCACAACTGTGAAGTTAGGAAAGCCCTGTCAAAGCAAGAGATGTCTAGTGCTTCATCCAGCCAAAGAGGTCGAAGTGGTTCTGGAAACTTTGGTGGTGGTCATGGAGGTAGTTTTTGGAATGACAACTTTGGTCATGGAGGAAACTTCAATGGTTGTGGAGATGGCTATAATGGATTTGGTAATGATGGAAGCAATTTTGGAAGTGGTAGAAGCTGTAATGATTTTGGCAGTTACAACAATCAGTCTTCAAATTTTGGACCCATGAAGGCAGGAGACTTTGGAGGCAGAAACTCTGGCCCCTATGGTGGTGGAGGCCAATACTTTGCCAAACCATGAAACCAAGGTGGCTACGGTGGTTCCAGTAGCAGCAGAGCTATGGCAGTGGCGGAAGATTTTAATTACTGCCAGGAAACAAATCTTAGCAGGAGAGGAGAGCCAGGGAAGTGACAGGGAAGCTACAGGTTACAAAAGATTTGTGAACTCAGCCAAGCACAGTGGTGGCAGGGCCTAGCTACTATAAAGAAGACATGTTTGAGACAAATACTCATGTGTATGGGCAAAAAAACTTGAGGAGGACTGTATTTGTGACTAATTGTATAACAGGTTATTTTAGTTTCTGTTCTGCGGAAAGTGTAAAGCATTCCAACAAAGGGTTTTAATGTAGTTTTTTTTTTTTTTTTTGAGATGGAGTCTCGCTGTGTTGCCCAGGCTGGAGTGCAGTGGCTCGATTTCGGCTCACTGCAACCTCCACCTCCTGGGTTCACGCCATTCTCCTGCCTCAGCCTCCCAAGTAGCTGGGACTACAGGCACCAGTCACTACGCCGGGCTAATTTTTTGTATTTTTAGTAGAGACAGGGTTTCACCGTGTTAGCCAGGATGGTTTCGATCTCCTGACCTCGTGATCCGCCTGCCTCGGCCTCCCAAAGTGCTGGGATTACAGGCATGAGCCACCACACCCGGCCAGTTTTTTTTTTTTTCTTTTCCACCCATGCTGTTGATTGCTAAATATAATGGTCTGATTGTGATGCTGAATAAATGTGTCTTTTAAAAAAACATGCTAAGTTAGTCTACTCTGAAGCCATCTTGGTAAATTTCCCCAACAGTGTGAAGTTAGAATTCCTTCAGGGTGATACCAGGTTCTATTTGGAATTTATATACAACCTGCTTGGGTGAAGAAGCCACTGTCTTCAGAAACCTTGGTGTAGTTGAACTGACAGTTACTGTTGTGACCTGAAGTTCACCATTAAAAGGGATTGCCCAAGCAAAATCATGGAATTATTGGTTATAAAAATGATTGTTGGGGGCTGGGCACGGTGGCTCAGGCCTGTAATCCCAGCACTTTGGGAGGCCAAGGCGGGCGGATCACCAGGTCAGGAGATCGAGACTATCCTGGCCTACATTGTGAAACACCATCTCTATTAAAAATACAAAAAATTAGCCAGGCGTGGTGGTGGGTGCCTGTAGTCCCAGCTACTTGGGAGGCTGAGGCAGGAGAATGGCGTGAACCCAGGAGGCAGAGGTTGCAGTGAGCCGAGATTGCACCACTGCACTCCAGCCTGGGCGACAGAGCGAGACTCTGTCTCAAAAAAAAAAAAAAAAAAGTTTGTTGGCACATCCTATGCAGTGTATCTAAATTGAATAATGGTACCAGATAAAATTATAGATGGGAATAAAGCTTGTGTATCATCCATTGTCATGTGTAATCAATAACCCATTTAATTCTCTTGGGAAAAAAAAAAAGAAAACACAACTTACCAAAACCAATGGGATACTGCAAAGCATTGCTAAGAGAGAAGTTTATAGCAATAAATGCCTACACCAGAAAAGTAGAAAGATTTCAAATAACCAATTATGCACCTCAATAAACTAGAAAAGCAAGAGCAAACCAGACTCAAAATTAGTAAAAGTAAAGAAAAGATAAAGATCAGAGCAGAACAAAATGAATAGGGACAAAAAAAAGAAAAAAAGAATCAACTAAACAAAAAGTTGGCTTTTGAAAAGATAAACAAAATTCATAAACTGCTGGCTAGACTAAGAAAAAAAGAGAGAAGACCCAAACAAACACAATCAGAAACCAGAAGACCTTACAACTGTTACCACAACAATATAAAGATCACTGACAACTATTACAAACAATGACCAATGATGTGGCTAACAAACTGCAAAACCTAAAGAATATGAATAAGTTCTTGGGCAAACACAACCTACCAAGATTGAACAAGGAAGAAATAAAAAACCTGAAAAGAACAATAATGGATAATGAGATTGAATCAGTAATAAAAGGTTTTTCAGTAAAGGGAAGACCAGGACTGGATGGCTTTACTACCAAACCTGTAAAGAACTAACGCCAATTCTCAAATTGTTGCAAAAATAGAGGATGGAATTCTTTCTAAATCATTCTACAAGGACAGCATTACCCTGATATCAAAACCAGAAAAGGATACAACAATAGCAACAACAACAAAAACCAGTGGTATGAAACACACTGGTTTTGGTAAATTGTGTTTCCATTTTCATTTGCTTCAAGAAATTTTTTTATTTCCTTCTGAATATCTTTATGGACCCAATTGTCATTTAGGAGCATGTTGTTTAATTTCCATGTATGTGTGCAGTTAAAAAAAAAAAGGAAACAGACCAATATCCCATAGATGCAAAACTCCTTAATAAAATACTAGCAAAACAAATCAAACAACACATCAAAAATATAAGACATCATAATCAAGTGGGATTTATCTCAGGGATGCAAAGGTGTTTTAATACAGGCAAGTCAATAAATGTGATACATCACATCAACAGAATAAAAGACAAAAACCATATGATAATCTCAATAGATGCAAAAAATCATTTTATAAAATTCAACATGTCTTCATGGTTAAAAACTCTCAACAAATTAGGCACTGATGGAACATACTTCAACATAATAAGGCCATATATGACAAACCTACACCTAACTTTACATTAAATGAGGAAAAGCTAAAAGCCTATTCTCTAAGAACTGGAACAAAACAAGGATGTCCACCTTTCACCACTCTTATTCAACATAGTACTGGAAGCCCTAGCTAGACCAATCAAAAAACAGAAAAATAAAAGGCATCTAAGTTAGAAAAGAGGAAGTCATCTTCCTTTGCAAATGACATAATCTTATATCACGAAAAACCTGAAGAATCCACCAAAAAACTCTTAGAACTGATAAACAGATTCAGTAAAGTTGTAGGATACAAAATCAACATACAAAAATCAGTAGTGTTTCTATACACCAATAACAAACTAGCCGAAAAGGAAATCAAAAAAGCAATCCCACTTACGATAGCTACAAAAAATAAAATACCTAGGAATGAATTTAATGAAAGACCACTACAACAAAAACCACTGATGAAAGAGATTGAAGAGGACACAAACAAATGGAAAGACATCCCATGCTCATGGATCAGAAGAATTACTATTGTTAAAATGGCCATACTACACAAAACAATCTATAGATTTAATGCATTCCCTATCAAAATACCAGTGACATTCTTCACATAAATAGAAAAGAATTCTAAAATTTGTATGGAACCACAAAAGACCTCAAATAGCCAAAGCAATCCTAAGCAAAAAGAACAAAGCTGGAAGCATCATACTACCTTACTTCAAAATATACTACAAAGCTATAGTAACCCAAACAGCATAGTATTAGTATAAAAATCGATACATAGGCCAAGGGAACAGAACAGAGAACCCAGAAATAAATCCACATATTTACAGCCAATTGATTTTTGACTAAAGTGCCATGAACATACACTGGGGAAAGAACACCTTCTTCAATAAATGGTGCTGGGGAAACTGGATATCCACATGCAGAAGGATGAAACTAGACCCTTGTCTCTCACCATATACAAAAGTCAACTTAAAATGGATTAAAGACTTAAAGATAAGATCCAAAAGAAAACATAGGGGAAATTCTGTAGGACATTGGACTACGTGAAGATTTTATGGATGAGCCTTTATTTTTTAATTTATTAAATTTTGTAGATCTGGGGTCTCCTCTGTTGTCCAGGCTGGAGTGCAGTGGCATGATCATGGCTCACTGCAGCCTTAAGCTCCTGGGCTTGTGTGATCCTTCCACCTCAGACTCTTGAGTAGATGAGACTACAGGCGCACAACACCATGCTCAGCTAATTTTTTTTTTTTTTTTTTTTTTTGTAGAGACAGGATCTCACTATGTTGCACAGGCTGGTCTCAAACTCCTGTCCCCAAGTGATCTTCCCACCTCAGCCTCCTGAGCCACTAGGATTACAGGCATGAGCCACCATGCCCTGCTGTAACTAAGACTTTAAAAGCATGGGCAACAAAAACAAAAACAGACAGAAAAGACTATATTAAGCTAAAAAGGTTCTGCACTGCAAAAGAAACAATTGATAAAGAGGCAACTTGTACAATGGGAGAAAATATTTGCAAACTATTCATCTGACAAGGAACTGATATCTAGAATATACAAGGAACTCAACTCAACAGCAACAAAACAAAACAAAACAAAAGCCAGTAATCCCATTAAAAAGCGGGCAACAGATGTGAATAGACATTTCTCATAAGAAGACATATAAATGGCCTACAGACATGTGAAAAAATGTTCAACGTTGCTAATCATTAGGGAAATGCAAATCAAAACCACAATCAGATATCATCTCACCCCAGTTAGAATGGTTATTGTCAAAAAGACAAAAAATAACAAGTGCTGATGATGATGTGGAAAAAGGGACTCATACACTGTTGGTGAAAATGTCAATTAGTACAGCCATTATGGAAAACAGCATAGAGGTTTCTCAAAAAATTAAAAATTGAAGTACCATATGATCCAGTAATCCCACTACTGGGAATGTATTCAAAGGAAAAGAAATCAGTATATCAAAGGAATACCTGCACCTCCATGTTTATTTCAGCACTATTCAGAATAGCCAAGATACAGAATCGACCTAAGTGTCCATGAATAAATAAAGAAAATATGGTATATATACAATGGAATACTATTCAGCCATAAAAAGAATAAAAGCATGTAATTTGCAGTAACACGGATGGAACTGGAGGACATTATGTTAAGAGAAATAAACCAGGCACAGAAAGACAGTTATTGCATGTTCTCACTGCATATGTGGGAACTAAAAGTTGATCTCATGGAGGTAGAGATTAGAATGATGGTTACCAGAGGCTGGGAAAAGGTAGAGGTATGAAAAGAGGTTGGTTAATGGATGAAAACATACAGTTAGAGAGAAGGAATAAGTTCTAGTGTTTGATAGCACAGTGGGGTGACTATAGTTACTAATAACTTATTGTCTATTTCAAAACATCTACCAGAGAAGATTTGAAATGTTCCCAACACAAAAAAATGATAAATATTCGAAGTGATGGATATTTTAAACACCCTGACTTGATCATTACACATTATATGCATGTATCAAAATATCACATGTACCCAATGAATATGTACAGTTATTGTGTATCAATTAAATCAGGAAGAAAAGACCATGGGTGTAGCAGGTATACAGAAAGTAACTGGTAGGTCTGTGTGGCCAGACACAAAACACCATACACTTCCCTCCCCAGACTCTTTTCTCATGTGAAGCAAAAGCTTTAAACTTCTGGAAGAGTGGCAGCAAAGACTGTTGCCCAAAGCCCAGGAAAAGATGCATTATGGAGAGGGGTTAGGGGTATAAGAAAAGGCTATCTCTGGGGAGATGCACAAAATCATCTTGGACCTAACATCTCAAACTGATATAAGGCAGAGGTTTTCTACCACTAGGAAAGGCGAAGAAAACTCTTGTTCAAGATCAACTATTATTAATACAAAGCAGAATTTGGCTGCCACAAGACGGAGTGACAGGAATGCAGAGAGAGGCCCAATTTCAGAGGCCCTCCCTAAGACATAGACTGGAGTAGAACAACAGATAAATCCATCTACCCTGAACACAAACCTGGCAAAAAGTAACAAGCAACAGTAGTCTAAGACTGGGGATGGGGAAAATCCATGGTGAGAGATCTTCCCTGTGGTACAGGCATTCAGGAAAGCTGAAAGCTGATGGTAGAACAATAAACCTGAGAGAAGACTCTGGCATACCAGTGTCCACTCTAGGCACAAGGCAAAGGCGGCCCACCAATGGAAGAATTAGAAGCCTGTGGTGCACTGATGGTAACCATAGCAACAACAAAACCTAAACCCAGCTCAACTCCTGACAGATCGAGTCAATTCTCCATATTAATGGCCTTACACAAGAAGAGTCATTCTCATTTTCCACTGTTAACAATATTTTAACAATATTTACCCCAGGTCTCTACTGTTCATGCAAAGTCTGGCATTCACTCAAAAATTACATCACACACACACACAGACACACACACACACACACACACACACACACACACACTACCTACGATCAAGAAACAATGAAGTCAACATCCAATACCCAGATGTTGAAACTAGCATACAGGAATTTTAAAATAACTATGATTAATATGTGAAAGGATATAGTAGAAAAGGTAGCATGTATAAAAGATGGGGAATTTCTCCCATCTTTTTGAGAAGAAGAAAGATGTATAAAAGATAAGGAATTTCTCCCATCTTTTTCAGAAGAAGAAGCATGTATAAAAGATAGGGAATTTCTCCCATCTTTTTCAGAAGAAGACATCTTTCTTCTGAAATTCCCCATCTTTTATACATGCTACCTTTTCTACTATATCCTTTCACATATTAATCATAGTTATTGTAAAGTTCCTGCATGCTAGTTTCAACATCTGTGTACTGCTAGAAATTAAAACCTAATATTGGCCAGGCACGGTGGCTCATGCCTATAATCCCAGCACTTTGGGAGGCTGAGGCAGGTAGATGATCTGAGGTCAGAAGTTCGAGACCAGCCTGGCCAACATGGTGAAACCCCTTCTCTACTAAAAATACAAAAATTAGCCAGGTGTGATGGTGGGTGACTATAATCCCAGCTACCTGGGAGGCTGAGGCACGGGTGCTTGAATCTGGGAGGCAGAGGTTGCAGTGAGCCGAATCACGCCATTGCACTCCCTCCTGGGTAACAAGAGCGAAACTCCATCTCAAAACAAAAACAAAAACAAAAACAAAAACAAAAACAAAAACCAAACAAACAAAAAAAACCAAAAACAAAACTAATAGTGGAGATAAAAAATGCTTTCAACATACTCCTTAGTAGAAGTATGAACCCAGCTAGAAAGAATCAATTAACTGGAAGATCTGTCAACAGAAATTACCCAAACAAAAATACAGAAAGAAAGAAGAAGAGTGGGAGAATAAAATCAGAACAGGGCATTCAAGAGATGTGGAATTATATCAAACATAATAATGTACATATAATTGGAGTCCCAAAAGGATAAGAGAAAGAAAATGGGGAAGAAGAAATATTTGGAGACATAATGAATGGCCAAGAATTTTCCAAAAATAGTGAATGACAGTAAATCACAGATCCAAGCTCAAACAACCCAAAAAGGATATACACCAAACAAACAAACAAACAAAGAAAACCTTACACATGCCTAGATACATCATAATCAACCTGCTAAAAATCTAAAATAAAGAGAAAATTTTGAAGGCAGCTGGGGAAAAAGGATGAGGAACACATTATATACAGCAAAACAAAGAGACTACTTAGTGTAGACTTTTCATCAGAAACTATACAAGCCAAAAAAGAAATGAAGCAACATTTTTAAAGTACTGAAGAAAAAATAAAAACCACTGTCAACTTAGAGTTCTATACACAAAGAAAAGTTTTTGAAAAGGAAAGCAAAGACATTTTCATAAAAACAATAGGTGAGAAAATTCACTGACAGCTTACTTGCTTTGTAATAATAGTTAAAGTTCTTCAGGCAGAAGGATTACGTTACCACATAGAAATTTGGATCTACACAATCGACTGAAGAGCTCTGGGAAGGATAAATGAATACTATGTAGCAATAAAAAGGAACAGCTAACTAATACATAACAACATGGATGAATCTCAACATAACGACTGACTAAAAAAAAGCAGACAAAGCCAAAACATATTGTATGGTCAATATATAAAATTCTAAAAACACCAAATAACGTCTAGCAACAGAAAGTAGAACAGTGGTTTCCTGTGGGCTGAGGAAACATACACTCACCATACAATCCAACAGTTTTATTCTTGGTTATTTACCCAGGAGAACTGAATGCATGTGCCCTCATAATACCTGTATGTGCACGGTTATACCAAATTTATTAGCTATATTCTTAATATCCAAAAACTAGAAACCACCCAAATGTCTATTAGTTTGTGAGTGAATAAACAAATTGTGCTACATCTATGCAATGGAATACTACTCAGTAATAAAAAAGAATAAAGTACTGATACGTGCAACAACATGGATGAATAATAAAAAAGACTTTGTACTAAGTAAAAGAAACCAGACTTGAAAGTCTATACTTCCTATACTAAGCAATTCTATTTTTATGGCATTCTGGAAAAGGCAAAACTATAGGAACGGAAATCAGATCTGTGGTTGTCTGAGGTTGGATGCAGGTAAAAGGATTGGCTACTAAAAGGTACAGGGAACTTGCCAGGGTAATGGAAATGTTCTATATTTTGAGTGTGTTGCTTACACACTCAATACGTTTGTGGAATTTGTAAAACAGGGCACCTCTGAAGGATTAGTTTTACTGTATATAAATTATACTTCAGCAAACTGGTTTTAAAAATTAGGCATCCAAAATAGGAAAGCAAATCTCTCAAATTTTCCAGTGATATGTAAAATTATACCACACTCAATCCAGTACTTTAAAACATTTCACTAAATATAAAGATAAATGTTTAGAAACCTCTTCTAAAGTTTCTTATTTTATAGCAAAAGCCAAACTGTTGGGGAAATAGCTGAATTAATACTCAGAAACCAGTAAAGTGATAAACTAAAATCCTTTCTCATATTGACAGATTCCATTGATAGACACCTGGGAAACACTCCTGAACATTCCTGAAAATTTGAAGAAACAAGTATTAGATCAATTTATGCAGTGTTGTAATTATGTAAGTTTGCTATTTATGTGGATTAAAAAACAGCAGCTATTTCTAACATGTTTGAACTTGTGGTACTTTATAGATTCTGTCTCAGAATCTTTTGAAATACATGAAGAACTCTTTTTAAGGGGATATAAATGGAAAAATGTATGGGAGCAGATATATTCACAACTGAAATGATCTTCAATAGAAGGAATAATTTATGGAAAAATTATGGAAGTGTAACTACTGAGGAAAAGGCTGCTTTAACTCAAATAAATATAAACAGCCTGGAGTCAGAGAGACCATCACAAACAAAATTTATTCACCAAGTAATTACTATGCAAGAAATGTGCATAATTTGAAGCCAAAGTATGCAAGATGTACCCATGTAGTTAGTTTTAGAAATATGAGTCTTTTAAAATATTATAGAATCTTTGCAATAAATGAAACTGGAAAATGCCATAAAATTCTACTGTTCCACACGAAAAGTGCTGTTTGGCAAGTGGTAAAGTATGTAAAGAGTACTTAAAGAGTTGCTCAACTTTAAGATAAGTGTTCCAAAGTTATTTTTTATGACAATGTCAATGGTATGCTACCAGCAGATTAAAAAAATGAATGCACACGCAACGTGTCTCTTTAAGTACTATTTTTAAATGAATTAAATGGTAACTTTTAAAAACATTGTGCAATGGAGAAGGCATTTTGAAGAGATTTAATTTAGAAATTTTTCCATTGTTATGTGATTTTTGCTACCCCAAATAATGAAAATGTGACATATATTAAAATCTGTTATATCTGAACACTTGAAACACTTGGAAGCATAAATATCTAAGCTGTTAAAAATTTTTCCAAATCAAGAGTTTTATGGATTTTAAACCCATTGTTAAAAGAAAAACTAATTCACATTAGAAAGAGACTTACTGTCCAAATTTCAATAAAACTTTGGAATATTTCATAGATAAGTAAGAAAAATGAGAATAATAATTTAGTTAACACAATCAGTGATTAACTTCTGTTAGACTTTTGATTTTTTTTCTTATAGCACACATTTTATTCTTTCATAAGAAAAATGATCTCCCACAACAATGTGTATATGTCTGAATGGGTTGAGGGATTGGAAACATTGTTTTATTAATATATGTTTAGTGAAAATAAATAGCTCTCAAATTATGTCCTATCACTTATGGTGTTTATATAGATGCTAAAATACTTTTGTCACAAAAGAGTTTCTGTTTTTTCCCCTGTAATTATTACTAATGGGATAATATTGGCTTATATAAAATAAATTGGAAATTTTACTTTAATTTTAAAAAATTGGGAATGGTTATCCACCACACATATCAGCTCACCAGCACAAGTGGACCATAGATAAGTACAGAGCAAACTAGGGGATACTATTGTCTATCTTTAACCTCTGACTGTGCTCACTCCTACCACGGTTCGGGTCACATAGATGGTAAGTTTTCAAAAGTACTGCTACAACTGGTGGTAGTCTCTTCTATTCCTTTAAAGAAAGCAAACAAATAAAAAATGATAAAAACCCTCACCATTTATGATATAATCAATAACAATAAATAAAAATATATACTAGATAAAATAATAAATAGAGAAGTACAGTGAAAATAGGAATTGTTGGGATTCAGAAAATGATAACTCAAAGTATGGCACTTTGGCATGCTGAGTACTTTGAACAAAAGGTGATTGAAAATCCCTTAAAAGCAAAGTCTCTCTCTGAACTTCTCATGCCCTCCTTTCTCCTTGCTCCCTTTTCTCCCCCAAGGGCAAGCCATAGAAACTAGAATTTCTCTTCCCCAAGGTGGATCATAGAAACTAGAACCCCTCTCTCCAAAGCCAGCCATAAAACCTAGAAATAGTATTCTAACATTCTCCCATTTTTCTGTGTAAGAGCTGACCATACAGAAATTCTCTGACCTACTCTGTCTGCAAGTAGATTATAAGACCCTCATTCTAAAAGGGGTCTTGCACTATCCCTGGAAAAAGGAATGCCACACAGAGAGACCAAGTAGAATCTTAACAGGCAGGCTTTCCTGGGTTTCCTCATTCAGTCTGTTGCTGTAAGATCATTCCCTTTTTGTCCAGTCGCATTTCTGCACGGCTATCCACTCTGCATCAAATCTAGGCATAAAAATGGACAGTTTTCCTTTGGATCTTTGGGTCTTCATTCTGAAGACTCCTGTGTCATGTAAAACTCTGATTAGATAAATATGTTATGCTTTTCATGTTAACCTGTCTTTTGTTAAAGGAGTGTCAGCTGTGACCCTTATGATGGGTGAGAAAAGACATCACGCCCTTTACCCACTACAGTGACATAAATATCACACATTATGTCTTCTGAATTTTCTAATAGCTTTATTGAGATATACTTAACATACCATAGTTAAGGCACACAGCTCAATGTTTTTTAGTATATTTACAGAGTCATGAAATCATCACCAAAATCTAATTTTAGAATATTTCCATCATCCCAAGATGAAACTCTGCTGATTAGCAATCACTCCCTGGTACCTTTCTTTACCCGATCTTATCCCTGCACAGCCATTAATCTACCTCTGTTTCTATAGATTTGCTCATTCTGTACCTTTCCATATGAATGGAGTCACGCAATATGTGGTCTTTGTGTCTGGCTTCTTTCACTCAGCATAATGTTTTTGAGGTTCATCCATGTTGTCACATGTATTAGTACTTTGTTTCTTTTCTTGCCGAATAGTAGTCTATTGTATGGTTATATCACATTCTGTTTATCCATCCATCAGTTGATGGACCTTTGGGATGTTTCCACTTTTTCTTATTTTTTTTTAAATTGACAAATAAAAATGGTATACATTTATGATGTACAATGTGATGTGTTGATATATGTTTACACTGTGGAATGAGTAAATCAAGCTAATTTACATATCCATCACTTCACATGCTTATCATATTTTGTGATACCATCTGAATTTTTGTATTACATCTCTTTCTGCTATATCAGCCAAAAAACAGATTCTAAATAAATTGATCTTAAAACCAGATGATCAAATCATTATCTCAAAGGGTTAAACAATGAGTTTAACAAAATTAAGCTTATTGCTCTCAGAAGTTATACATGATCAATAAAACCTTATGCTGTTAATTGGTTTTTGTGCTGTTAATAAATAAAATTAATTAGTTTATTAATATTATTTTTAAGTTTATCATATATTTAATAATAAATATGAATATTTAAATTTATAAATGTATCTATTGATAAATACTTACAAATTTTAAAATAAATATTTTTATCATATCTTTGCTTATCTTTTGTATATCATAATTATATAATATACTAGTACAGTAGTACATGTACAAAGCTTATACATGTACTACTGTACTAGTATATTATGTAGTTATAATTGGGTATATACATATAAATATACATATACTCAGTATGTATGCCCTAAATTTTTATCTATGGGGTACAAAATTTTAAAAAATAGGTTGGAAACAGATGTCTCATAAAAGTAACAAATAATTACAAAGCCTTTGTAGTCCAACAGTATCTGGCAAAGCACTAGATGTGCAGTAAGTATTTAAACTACACTGACACTGTGTTAGTCCATTCTCATGCTGATATAAGAACATACCTGAGACTGGGTAATTTATAAAGGAAAAATGTTTAATTGACTCACAGTTCCTCAGGGCTAAGGAGGCCTCAGGAAACTTATAATCATGATGGAAGGGGAAGCAAACATGTCCTTCTTTACAAGGCAGCAGGAGAGAGAAGAATGAGAGCTGAGCAAAGGGGTAAGCTCCCTATAAAACCATCAGATCTCATGATAACTTACTCTTTTCATGAGAATAGCATTCAATTACCTCCTACCCGGGAATTATGGCAAGTACAATTCCAGTTGAGATTTGGGTGGGGACACAGCCAAACCATATCACTCACTAACCACCCCTGAATGCAAAGGTGGCCATTTATCTAAGTTTTGTGTGTACGTGTATTTCTCCCTTGCCATATGCATTTTGGTGAATAGTTCTGTGTGAGTATATCTGTGTAGGATACAATGACAGAAACAGTAGTACTTTGTGTCTGAGAGTGCAGTTTCTGAATTTAGACCACCTGAATCTCTATCTTAGCTCCATAATTTATTAGCTATGTGACCTTGAGTAGATTACCATCTTTTCCATGTCCTAGTTTTCTTATACACAAAATCGGGACAACAGTACCTACCTACCTCACAGGTTTGTGGTGAAGGTTAAATAAGTTAATATGAGCAAAGTCACTATACCTAGGTCTGACACATGGAAAATGCTCATTGTAGTTTGGCCACCAGAGCTATGGACAGACACACACACACACACACACACACACACACACACACACACACACACACGGGTGAGTATATCTGGATATGTTTATTTTTCTATGTCAATATATATCTGTTCCTCAATATGTATTTATACTGAATAATAATAATAATGATAGCCAACACTTACTGAACATGAGTTCTAGGCATTAGTTTAAGCACTTTACATATATTATCTTGTTCACCTTCAGAAAAAAACATGACATAACATTACATAACATGCTTTGATTATTCTCATTTTACAGATTAGAAAACTAAGGTCCAAAAAGGTTAAGTAACTTACAACTAAATTCACACAGCTAGCATATGACAGAGCCACAAAGCCGGACTTTTTAAGTCACTACTTATCACCTCCCCATTCATTTAATAATATTATTTAATATTACTCTTATAGTCTATAATATCATAATTTGTATGGTGCTTACTATTTCATCAAATATTTTCAAATACATTGGGTCTCATAGCGAGCCTGTGAAATGAGAAGTGCAATATTATTATTCTCATTTTTACAGGAAAGAAAATTGATAGAACTGAACCATGGGTGTCCTTTAGTGGAAGCGTTTCTATGTTACAAATATCTGGGGTACCTCTGTACATAGAGTCACATCATAAATGAACTGAGTACCTATAATGTGTCAAGCTCAGACATTAGTGCTGGGGATATAAGCTACAGACCTCCCCTGGAAGCATCATAGCCTAGGAAGAGAGACCAGTGTGGTAACCAAGAACCAAGAATCACGGTACACAATATGTAGTCTCTAAGGGAGACATGAAAGGAGTGCTTATGGAGCACAGAAGGAGGGGCCATCTGTGCCAGGGAGGTCTTAGAAAAGGCAAAGGGGTGGGGGAGGGGGAGGCTTTGATGGAAGAAAGAATGTGTGTGTGTGAATGTGAATCCATGTCTGTGTCTATGACAGTGTGGCTAGGCATCACTAAGTATGGATCTGAGTGTGTACCTGTTTATACAGGCTTACTTCTGTAAGCATTAATTTTTGTGTATGCTGGCTGCTGGTATAGAATGAGTAAGCCTGAACATAAAAGGGAATTTGTCTGGTATCACACACACCATAGCAGAATTGGACCTGCCCTGATAGGCACACCCTGTCATGACTCCCCAACACCAGGGGAACCAGAGATGCTGGTCCTTTCCCACTGTAGCAGCTGCCCACTCTAGAGCTATGGTGATTAGACCCACCAGTTTTTTTCAATCCATCAGTATGGATGTGTGGTGGTCTAATAGAGCCAGCCAGCTTGTATGATGAAGGGGGAGGAGGTACAGGTGTCTGTGGGTGTGCATCTGTGTGCACACTTCTGGTTGTGTGTGAATGCTTAGCATTGGCTGTTCCTAACTAGAGTGAGAAAACCTCCCTTCTCCCTTCATTGTCACCACCTTGGGGTGTTTATCCACTCACCCATTTCCATTGCCACCTGTATGGGACCGGCTTCCATCTTCACTTTAACGTTCTGGGGATATCTAAAATATACCTCTGTGCTGGGGTTAGGCAGAAGCAAGGCTGGGGAGTGTTGGTGCCCTTATTTGTTGGAGGCACTCCCTCCTTTCCCCGACCCCTGCCCCATTGTGGTCCAGGAATCTCTCAAAGGAGCAAAAATGTGGGCAAAGGCAAATAGTACTTGTGGAAGCCATGAAAAACCCGGAGGGTCACTCCCAGGGGTGGGCTGCTCAATGTGCCTCCCCTGGTGATAAAATCTGCTTTTAGGGCAAAATTAAGGAAGACAAGTGAGGACTCCTCTCTCCACAAATGTTCCCCTAGGAACTGGCGGGGTGGGAGTAAGGCTGTAATGCTCTTTTATTTCTTTAAGCTTGTATGATCAAAACAAGCTAAAATAATCACAAATAATATGTTATTGATATTAACTATGAGTATCTTCATAAAGTGGCAAAATAATTGAACTAGATTTTATTTTTTATTATAAGGTATACAAATTCAGGGCCATGGGATCATGTAAGGCAAAGGCATTATGTACTGGGACACACTGGTAATTTGTGTTTACATCTTGGCACAAGCACTGCCACGCAGTACAATATATTAGCATGTTAAGATGGGCAAGAATGAAGTGCAATAATCAACACATGTAGCATGTCATATTTCAGCTTGAATGAATGAGTGGGTGGAGAGAAAAACAAACATACAGAAAAGTAGAATTATCTCATGTCGTGGTCCGTGAATATGTGGATTCTCTTTCTAGTTCCACCAATGGCTTAATCTATTGAAAGGTTCTTACCATCTATTGATAAGTTAGTCTCATAGCAGATCATTTCTCAAAAATGTTAATATGCTTAATCAAACCTTACTGAAGTATCTTTTAAAATGTAAATGATCTCTAATAAATGTTGGCTGTTGCATGTCTAAATACTTTATTGCAGCATCTTATATAGTATATATTTCCATGTTCTGGACACAAATATTTTTCTAAATATTAAGGGAAAGTGGTGGCTTTGTAATATGCCAGGGGAATTCTTTGATAGTCAATATATTGTTTATTTGTACTTAAATATTTCATCAATAATCTGGAAAAGAGAAATAGCCTGACTACGGCTAGATACTGTTTAGAGGCTAAGATTTCTATCATGAACTGCTTTTCAATTGTTATATTTTATGGCACAGATTCAGTGGGAATCTGATCTGCTAAAATATTTGGGCTGTGAAAACTCCCACACTGTGACAGATGTCAAGTCCAATTAAGTGACTCATGTCCAGGTTTCTGTCCAATAGGATTTCCCATTAAATATCAATTTAGGGGAAAAAAATTCCATCCCCCTTCCTAAGCCTTTATCTCTTCCACCATCTCCAGGCTGAATCAATTGGTACCAGGAGAGCCCAGAAGCCACACACGCATCTCTGCCTCTTTGCTCTGGCTCTCCCACCCTCTTCCCGTCTTTCTCTGCTTCCTTGTCACTGTTACTCCAGGAGACGTTCACTTTTCACCAACCTTTCTCCAAGCATCTCCAAGCCACTGACTATATATATTTTGCTACAAGGTAAAGAGAAGAGGGGCTGGGGACGGGGGATATAGCCAAACCTTGAAAGACTTTGAAACTGGAAAATAGGTGTCTATTTATACAACATACAAGTAAGTGAGGGAAGAGGAAGAGGCAACCTTAGCTCCTAGTTACAGTATTGTGTTCCTGGGAACTGGGGAGATATCAGCTGAACAAAGCCTTATCTCAAAAAAAAAAAAAAAATCACTTCTGAGCAAGATCACATCTCTGTCCTGCACTTCCCAGTTTCTGCTCAGCCGTATTAAGGAAAAGAAAGGCATACGATAGGAGCGGAATCTTATCTTAACCATCTTTCTTATTGATTATTCCGCTATTAGAAAGTGGAGGAATCAGCCCTTTGATGTGATTGTGTTTATCTCTGCATCTCTTTTGTTATTTTTAGAGACCTAGAAGAGGAAAAAAGGCACGAGACTTTTCAACACATCGTTTAAAAAAATCATCAACGAATTTCTTGCAATGTTTGAGAACAATTAAAAGGAAAAAGCGTTTTTTAAAAAATCTATCAACTAAGTGAACAATCATTCATATCGTCTACATCCTGAGATATTATTGTCCCTCGCTGCGGACACCAGCGAGATGACAGCTGCTTTTTCATTTTTGAATGTAATAAATATTTGCTGCTTTTAATATTTTCCGGAATCTCCCCTCGCTATTCCTTGGAATTTTAACTCTAAAGATTGGAGAACAGATTATCAAAAAGGCTTTTGCAAGGTAAGACTCCTTTAAATAATTTTTTTCAGCTTGAAATAAGTTAGATTATTCATACTGTATCTATAGATGCAGTTCATTCCATAAAGAGATAAAACGCATACACGGCATACTATTTATGAATATTTTTAAAGATCTAGAGGAGAATTTAATGTGCTTTGAGGGCAACCCAGGAACTTTTTACCAGAACTACAACTATTTAGTGGCTTATTGTGATTTTCCATTACTCGTCTATTTATTTCTGCCCTTTCAAGCTGACTGTGTAGGTGCAAGTTGTTCTACTCATAAACGTACCCGAGAAAAGCCCGTAGGGAGTCACATGCAGCTCTCTGGGAGCATTTGTTTTTATTTTGCCGTAGAGGACCTGATTTCCTCGCAGGGAAATTAAAGCTGTTTTGGCCCAATTCGCTCCTCTGCAAGTGCGGTGCTGGGAACCGATCACCCATCCCCTTGCTTTTGTTTCTCTAGAAGCAAACGCTCCTATACGTCGCCGACGCGGATTTCTCCCGTGCCGAGCGTCGTGGAGGCTGCCCACGCCGGGGCCCCGAGTTCTCAGCCTGGTCCTCACTCCCGACGCCCAGGGGCGGTGCGTGCAGCCCCTGCAGGGGCCTTTCTCCTCCTGCCGGGCCCTTTCTCGAAGCCCGAATTACCCGGAAGCCCAGCGGTTCTGAGCGGCCCCCTCCCAGAAGGCGCACAGTCCGGGCCAGTGCTCCAGGCGCCCCAGAGAAGCCTGGCCAGGTGGCGTTTCCAAGAGGGCACAGTTAAGTTAGAGGAAGGCTAAGCACCGACATGCCCGGACTTGGCCAGGCCACCCGGGGACAGCTGCAGCCTGCCGAGCTCCGGTTCCGGGAGCGCCCGAACTTTGCCGGCAGAGATGCAGCTCCCGCCGGGACAACACGCGCTGCACCCGCTAGTCCCCGCCTGCCCCGCCCCGGGCCCTTCCCTTCTCTTCCCTTCCCTCTGCATCCTCTCCTCCCTCAGCGGCCCGGCTGCCGGCATTTTCCCGCAAGGTGGTCGCCAGACTGCCGGGCGCATTGTCTGATCCCACGTCGCCGTGTCCCTAGGTCCCCTATGTGTGTGGCTGTCTGCGTGACAGATGGTGCTCCGGGAGCCTGCGAGGGCATCGGAGTCAATTTTCTTTTTAAAGGCTCCCCCACGTTTGTTTAGTCATTTCTTTACGATTTCGGAGAAGCGCGAGGGGTCCAAGAAGCCTTCCCGCCCCCAGCCACTGGCTCTCCGCCTGCGCTCCAGGATGGGGATTCCTGACCGGCCGCACCCCAGAGCCAGGCGCCCCCGGCGCAGCCCCAGACCAGCGCCAGGCCCTCGGGCGCCGCGGCTGCCGGGTTGCTTCGCCGGAGGCCCTCGGGGCGAGAAGTGCACCCCGCGTCTCCCCGCCCCCGTGAAAACCCAGATGTATTCGTTGTTCGAAATCGCTCGTTTGTCCGGGAAGGGGACGAAGGGAGGGAGGAGGAATAGCGCGGTTGGCATTTGGCCGGAAGAGGCACAAAAACCCAGTCGCGACCCCACAGGCCTGCGGTTGTTCCCCAGGCCCAGGGCCACAGGCCCGCTGTGGCCGTCTGCAAGTCGAGGTGTCCAGTCTAGTATGCGGCCTGGGTCAACCGCGTCCCCGCCGGCTCCCGCGCCAGGGCGAGGCGCAGGGCTCGCGCCCTCGGGCCAGATCCTATCGGCGCCCTCCCGCGTCGCGCGCCGGCCTGCTGTGGGGAGGGGGCCCGGGCCGCGCGTCCGCTGGGAGGACCGGCGTGGTAGGCCTCGGCAGCCATCCTTCCAGCAAAATACCCTGATTCCTTTTACTGATTAATTTTCCGACCCCTCCTCAGCCTCCAAAATGATGCTGAGTCCGGACCAAGCAGCAGATTCGGACCATCCCAGCTCGGCGCACTCGGATCCGGAGTCCCTGGGCGGCACGGACACCAAGGTGCTCGGCAGCGTGTCGGACCTGGAGCCGGTGGAGGAGGCCGAGGGCGACGGCAAGGGCGGCAGCCGAGCCGCGCTCTACCCGCACCCGCAGCAGCTGAGCCGCGAGGAGAAGCGCCGCCGCCGGCGCGCCACGGCCAAGTACCGCTCGGCCCACGCCACCCGCGAGCGCATCCGCGTGGAAGCCTTCAACTTGGCCTTCGCCGAGCTCCGCAAATTGCTGCCCACGCTGCCCCCGGACAAGAAGCTCTCCAAGATCGAGATCCTGCGCCTGGCCATCTGCTACATCTCCTATCTCAACCACGTCCTGGACGTGTAGGGCGGGGTGCGCCGCGGGGGGCCGCCTGTCCCGGCGTCCGCGAAACGCTACGGATCCGGACGGGCGCCGTCGCTCGGGTGGCGGAGGCTGCGGTGGCCCAGCGAGACGGCCGCCTCGAGAGACGGCCGGGGAAGAAGCTCGCTACCTGTTCTCTCTGGTCAGCAGGGCGACGAGGGAAGGTTTCCGACGCAGGCAGGTGGGGTTGTCTGGCGAGCCCGGGGGCTCGCAGGGGGGATTTTCCAGGCCAGGAGAACCTCGTGGAGACACCCGAGATGAGCCACTTCTGGGGCTCCCCAAGGGTTGTGGTTTTAACCCACTGGAGACTTTGAGTTCTCCTACATTCATCCGCCACAAATCTTAATGTGTTGAAAGAATGAGGGCAGAAGTTCAGAGTATGCAGGCTCATAACTTTAGGCTATCTGGAATTTTTCTAATGGACAAATCACCAAACACTGGGAAGGAGGAGAGAGGAGGGATCTCTCCCATAGAGATGGAAGGCACAGAAAGGTGCGACTGGAAACTTTCCTTTCTGTTGTGAAAATAAAGATTATATTAGAATCCAAATAAACCCTGAATATTTAGTAAGTTTAAAAAGACAAATTGAGAACAAGTAGACACACTGTGGGAGGATCTGAGCTTGGTGATATTTTATCCCCAAGATATGACACCAAGGTAGACAGGAAAATCCATATTTAAATGGAAACTTTAATATCTGATTACTTTTGCAGGCGAAGTGCCCCTTTATATATCCAAAAACATCTATTTGTGACCTTAAACATGTGGACCCATAGGTGCAGTTAGAAAAAGACAACCTATTTTTATTTATGTTAGAAGGAGTAGAGTATTTTTTTCAAGACATTTATTTTTCAGAGTGGTGATACTTTTACTTTGGATACTCTGTGCCAATTTATTTATAGTCAAGTGTTTACACTTTTTCCTGTGGAATAATTATGTCTAACTTTTTACGTGTTTGTTGAGATTATACTGTGGTCTTTCTTTCTGCTCTAATTATATTGCACTTGTATAACAAATTTCCCACTTCTCCCTGTTTCTAAACATATTTTATATATTAAGATGTTTGTTCTTGAAAGGTTCTTTTGTTGTGAGATCAGCAACACTAGCACTTCACTATTATAGTTTTTTAAAAAGTGTATTATTCTTATCTGTAGTTATGTCTGAGAAGTCCTTTACAAGCTGTTTATAAGGAGAGTAGCTTCTTTGTGTGTGTGATGTTTGTGCGTGTGATGAATTTAGCAAATTAAGTTATTTTCCTAAAAAAAAAAGAAAAAAAGAATTCAGAACTACTTTCCTCTGTGACACCAAAAAGAAAAGTCTATAACCTGAAAATGTTTCATGTTCTCTGCTGTGAAACTCTTAAAACAAGGAGTGTATTTTAGAGACAAGGGAAAAAAACCACATCTGCTATCCAAAGATTTTAGTCTTTTTCAGGGTTTTTTTGTGTCTCTGTTGCTTTATATAATGCAATATTTTGTAGTGAAAATAGATATAATCTGGTTTCTATCTGACGAGTTTTTCATATCTCATGAATGGTGCGCTGTTTTGCATATAAATAAAGGTATCAAATAAAGTCCTCTCTTTTATTTTAAGCACACTGTCTAAAAATAATGGACATGTTAGCTGAGCATGAAATATCTTAATGGACTCAATTCCTTAGAAAGGAACTGGTAAGCACAACAAAATCTTAACATAAACATATTTATGTAGTGAAATATTTGATGCTCAAATTTGGACGTGGATCAGTCCCATAAATAGATGCCCTACATATGATGGTGACATAGATCATTCTACAATGAGGAAAAGAAGTATAGTGTTTATATAAAATATTACTTGAATTGTGGATTCTTTGCCTCTAAAAGAAAACTTAATAACTCTCTAACCCAGCCTCTTCAAATTAGAGTTGGGAAACTGAGGCCCAAGGAGTGACCTACACTAAAACACATAGCTATTTAATGGCAGTGAGAAGAAGATCCCTGATGTGATGACTCTCAATCCTCATGGCACTTATTAAGAACAAGGTGTGTATTACTATTGTAATACTCAAACATCCAATCAGTACACAGATTCAAGACAGGGCATCCGCAAACAAGAAAAAAAATTGAGCCCTGGACCAACCTTGAGATAAGAAGAATGACATCTGCAAAAACCTGTGGCTAGTATAAAAATGCGAAATGTATTGCTTACAAATAGAAGACATAAATGACTTAAAAACTATATGTACATATGCATATATAGAATATTATGAAGTATGAGTCTATATCACACCAAATCTCTGGTTTCAGAGTAAATGCAGTTAGATGGATGCTTGGCCTTATGCATATAAAATGTCTGTGGGATTGCTGGTATTCTTCACTTTTCACCCAGGTGTCTTCTTGTCAGCTTCACAGATACCTACTAGGTAGGACCTCATCCTCTCCCTTATATGAAGGTGTATAGTAGGAAAGTACTTCCTAGTGTGTGAAAAAGAACAGCACCTTCTGTTGCCTTGTATCTGGACAATGTCCTGGCCACTAGAGCAATGACTGGTTACTCTGTGACCTGCAAAACACATGAGTGCCTGTAGGCCTTCTCACCTCTAGGCAGTGTGGAAGGATAACCACTCCTAGTTCTTATAGCACCTCTCTATTATACAAGAGAATAATTAGCCCTGCTCCTATGCCAAGGGTATGAAGTCAACTTCTAACCTCTGGAAACCTTCCAAGTGCCTGTCTTTCCCAGTTTAGGGGCCCAACTTCCAACTGACCAACACAGACCTCCCATTCACATGTAGGAGGAACCTACTGATACACTCCCCTAGACAAAAGGCCCTTGGGATTTGGACAAAGGGCCTTAGGGATTTGGACAAAGGGCAGCATCCCTTCCTAGCTATGCAACCCATGTGATTTCAGGAGAGGATCTTTGCAATGTCATTTCAAATCCAAAGCTGCTGAGCACCCTCCAAGAGAGACAAGCATGGTGGCAGTCTGCTAGACCAGAGGGTGACTGGCTCATTCCCTGAGCACAGCGCAGACACAGTGATTATTCGCCCATCCATGAGGTCTCGATTCTTCTTTGAATGACGATGGTGAGCATTCATTCTTACATTTAACCTTTGTTTATTGAGGACCCACTGTGTGCCAAACATTGTTCTAAATGCTGAAAATAGAGCAACACATGAGACAAAGTCTACTGGAGAAAAGCAGTACACTGAAGCGAAAAAACCCCCAATATTTGATTTTAGATATTGCTAAATGCTATGAAGAAAAATAAGCAGGGTAAAGAACACAGGATGGGGGCTGGACGTGCTGGTGCTGGGTAGCATTTTAGAGAGGGCTGTTGGAGAAAGCCTCTCTGAGGAAATACATTGGTACCCTCTGCCTAGAGACTTAGGCCTGCTGGACCAGCTTATACAGTTGCTGCCACTGGCACTGCCTTTTCTTTTCTCATCCTATTAAAATGTTCTGAGTGCTCATGCGACCAAAACAGTCTGTGCAGGTCACTTACCTTTCCGCAGCTGGCCCCAGCCTCATCCTTTACCCTGAGCTTGGTCTTTCACCAAACAGACCCAGAACCACATGTCTTCCTGCTGTCCCTTCACCTTCTTCTCTTTGCCCACAGCCACTCAACAACTTGCCAGGCCATTGCTGCTCCCCAGAAAGCCTAGCCCCAGCTGGCCCAGCGGACAAGACTGCCTGTGCTGAATATTTCTCCACCCAAATGGACTTCCCCTCACTTCTACCACTGCCCGGAAACTTCCAGAGAACAAGGGTAAAAGTATTGGGCAAAACAACCTTCCTCTCCAGGGAGAGGGGAAGAGGAGGGGCAGTGTATGATGGGATGGGATGGTAAAGGAAGGGCCGACTGAGGAGAGAGGAATGGGTAAGGAGGAAATGAGACTGGGTGGGAGTGGGGGACTCTGGAGGGAATACCCGCTTCCCACAGGAATGCTGTTTGCAGGAGCTCCCTCCAGTGGCCCTGCCCCATGAACACGTATCACCAGAGCACTATGATAAGGCGAGTAGCCAGAGCCAGCCTCTGTGATGCTGTGATTTATCCAACTCTCCTCACTGCTGTCTCTGGCTACCAGTTTTCTTGCTGATGTTTGGGGTGGAGAGAATTTAAGGGGAGAAGAGGGCCAACTTAAGAGCATGCACAGCCAATACCCTTTTCCATATTTAGATGTGCTATCTCATTTATCAGTATTAGTAGTCGAAATAATAGCTAATGTGGGTTGAGTGTATACTACATGCTTACTAAAGTGCTTTGCATGCATTATCTCCTGTAATTCTCACAACCACCCAGTGAGGTAGGTACTTTTATTGTCTCCATTTAACAGATGAGGAATTTGAGGCTTAAAGAAATTAGATGACTTGCTTAGGGCCATGAAGCCATGTTTATCAGTTTATCAAAGTGCCTGCCCCTACCCATCATCCTCTAGAGTTGTCCTTTGATAGAGGGGTAGCTGTGCCACTCACACACCACCCCCCTTGGTGCCTGCACTGCATCTTTCCATCCATGTGCCTAGGGAAAGCTTCAGCTCATGTAATGCCTAAGGAGTGCTGCGTCTGCAGTACACACAGCTGCCCAACCAATGGGACCAGTGGAGGCCAAAACCAAGCCTGTGCTCTGTATGCCAAGTCAAGCATGTGCCTTGGCTTGAAGTTGGACTACCTGGAGGAAGGGGAGCATTTTTCTACTTTGCAAGAAAACACTATAGGATAATGGTGGCCCTGTGACAACTCCCCCACCAGGGCACCGTCATTCACTACCACATGGGTGAGGCTGGCTCCATCCACACTCCTCTGCACCTTCCAGCCCATTCTCACGCTGCTTCTAGACCTATCTTTAAAAATTAGCGTGCCATCCTCCTTCGTGAATGTCCATTTTATTTTTTAATAAAATTCAAGTTCCCAATCTAGGCATAGAAATGTTTCACAGTCTTGTTCCAGACCCTCACTAGTGCCATTTTCAGCCACTCTCCAGAGATTAAATATTCCTGCAAACTCGGTTTCCTCACTTCCCCAGAGAGGCCAAGTCTTTTTCTTTTACGACCTGGGCCTTTGTATTTACTTCCCCTTTACTCACAATGCTCTCCCCTAACCTCATTTTTTACCCAGAAAATTCCGATGATTCCACTGTGACCCAACTCAGACCACACGTAACCACACGTATCATTACAAAGCTTTCCGTTTCTTTCAGAAGCATTAGCTGCTCTGTTCTCTGAGTCCCACATACATACATCGTTTTAACTGAATTTACCTGTTTCTCCCATCTCTGTGTTTGAGACCCAAGACTCTGGAGCCAAGTTCGGGCCCTGGCTCCAATTATTCTAAGTGTATGACATTGAACATGTTACTATATCTCCTCAAGCCTCCATTTTCATCCATAAGATGGGACAACGTATGTACCAATCTCAAATGCATGTCATGAGGTTTCCATGGGATAATGTATAGTGCTTATCAGAATAGGAATACATGGGAAGTGCTCAATAAATGTGAGCTATTTTCATTACCTTTGTATTTATAATATGCACAGGAATTAACATAGGATAAGCTAAAATCAGCTTTAATTCTTTAATATAGTAATGATTTGTGGTTTCCACCAACTATATCCATCTGCATATGATACATTACTAACTCAACAGTCAGCCAGAAATCATCCCCATCTTCTAAGACAGGAAGCATAGGTAAATTAATAGTCATCCATGGAATACACCACACATGCACACCTGTAGAGTTATCTACAGGTCTGAAAGCCCCACTCGACTCATGATAAAGGCCCAGTCTATGCCTTTTCTCTTTTACCTTGGTTTTTCCCATAGCACGAATGCTGTGATAAGCACTATAGCAGACTGGTCAGAAGCACAGACTCTGTCAAAGCTAATTTTTAAAGATAGGTCTAGAAGCAGAGGGCCAGTTTTCAGGCCTGCTCACCCATGATAGGTCAGGCAGAGGGGGATGAGCGGGCACTCACATCCAATGTGTGTGTACGAGCAATTGCCAAAGTTAAGGACGACAAGGGGTAAATTTTTTTTTTTTTTTTTGAGACCAAGTCTCGCTCTGTGGCCCAGGCTGCAGTGGTGCAGTGGCGCAATCTTGGCTCACTGCAACCTCCACCTCCCAGGTTCAGGCAATTCTTCTGGCTCAGCCTCCCGAGTAGCTGGGATTACAGGCATGTACCACCATGCCCAGCTAATTTTTTGTATTTTTTGTAGAGACGGGGTTTCACCATGTTGGCCAGGCTGGTCTTGAACTCCTGACCTCAGGTGATCCGCCCCCCCCTAGGCCTTTCAAAGTGCTGGGATTACAGGCGTGAGCCACCGCGCCCAGCCAGACAAGGGGTACATTTTTAAGATAGAAGGAAAAGTCATCAGGGAAGGTGGGTTAGATCAGCTGTGAAAGTCCCCTCAAATATGCAAGTGCTCACAGATGATTTTCAGGAAATACTGTTCGTTTTACTGTGATAATGGTATATTTGTTGTTAAAAGAAAAAAGAGTCCTTATCTTTTAAGAGATACTTACTGATGTCTTCATGGATGAAATGATGTGATGTTTGGGATTTGCTTCAAAAAGTCTTAAGGGGTAGTGAGAAAGACAGGATAAGAAAATAAATGAAATGTACTTATTGGTGTTGTGTATATTTGAATCCATTTCACTATTCTCTTGGCTTTTGGAGATGTTTTAACAGTTTTCCATAAGAGCGTTTTTTAAAATGTAGTTGCTCAGAAAATTTGTGCCAGTTGATTTTTACTCACCAGGAAGTCGACTCCCGCTTAAACTAAGGCCACCACCCTCTTTCACAGAGCTCCACCCTTTAGCACAAGTCACCTCATGCCACTCAGAGAACCATCTCCAGCCCTGGTTACTTTTTGTGAATGCACCAGGTATTGCTCCACAGAGTCATCTCTGGAGAAAGTTTTTTTCTTTGTCTTTGGTCAATGATCCTCTGTCCCTCTTGGCAGACTGACTCCAGTGGCCTTTTATTTTCAGTTATTCCATCCTAACCCCAGGGAATCCTAAGAGGACCCGCCCCCATATACATATCTACCAATCACACCACCTTTCTCCTGATTCAAGAAGCCCCTGAAATCTTCCCTTTTTCTGATATATTGCTGGAATGATCAGCAAGGAGATGAAGAACTCCCTCCTGACCTGGAAATACTTACTGAAATGAAGCAGGAAATTCCAACAATTTCTCTCTCCATTATCTCAAGAATAATTAAACTGTTTAATTCATTGTTAAAAAGGTTTCCTGCCATAAATGCTAATATAGTGAGTGCTATTGAGCTCTTTATAAGCACAAGACATGTTCTAAGTACTTAACATGAGTTAACTTAATTAATTCTCCTAACAATGCTACTGGCTAGGTACTATATTTTCCCTATTTTACAGGTGGAAAAACTGAGGCACAGAATTAAGTAACTGGTTCAAGGCCACAGCCAGTTAGTAGGAGATGGAGAATTGAGCACAGAAGCCTATCCATGGCCCAAAGTTGCCCTGCGGGGTGTACTGGGGTAGCTGACAGCGGGGGGCTGGCTAAATACAGCCACAGGTAAAGGGGAAGCTATCAGGGACTGCTGGAACATGTTAGAGTGGATATGCTGCCAGATTCCAATTTAGGCAGATTTTAAAGATTAAATAAAAATCGGGTGGACTCTTTCAGCCATTGGCCAGGCACTAAACTCAGGAGGGAACTTTGGAGTGAGGACCTCCTAGACTTCCCTGGCAGCAGCAGCCTGGAGCCTGAGGGTCATTTACAACAGGCCAGGGCCTCTCTTTGAGGTCTGTTGCATATTCTGTGTCTGTGAGTCCCTCAGGCCCCTGGTAGAGAGGGCTCAGCTGACCTGAGTGGTTAAGTGACTTGCTCACAGTCTCAACATCCTGCAGGGCGGAGCCACCTAGAAGCCTTTCACACCAATCCTGTGCTCCTTCCACACATAGACCCCACACTGTCTACCCTGGGCTGCGGCCTAGGGACTAATAGCATCAGCAAAAACTGCATAGGCATAGCATTCACCCTGTGCGAGGCACTGTCCATTATTACCTCATTTAATTCTCTAAAAATTCAGTGAAGTAGAAGGTGTTATTATTCCTAAATTATAGATGAAGACACTGAGACACGAAGTTAGGTGATATGCCCTAGGTCACATTGCTAGTTAGGATTGAAATGGGAAAATGAGTCTTTAGGGCAATACAATTAAAAAGCAAATACTTTGATAAAAGGAAAAAAAATACGTTTCCTTTGTTGTGAAAATAAATAAAAATACACGACAGCAACTGAAAGTGAGAACAGGTTTTCCCTTAAGCGGCGTAGGCCCTGGACTAGAAATGGGCCCTGCTCAGTGGACTTGTCCTCTGGTGCCACTCGGAGAGTCCGAAACTTCAAAGGGACTGCAAAGCAGCAGGTGAGGGAGGCCTCCGTGTGGGCTGGTTCTGCGTGTGTCTGGAGAAGGCTCTGTGCTGACATCATGCCTTATATAAGCTCTGGATCAAGCCTGGGGGAGGAGATCCCGATGAGTCACTCTCACCAGAGGATCCTGACGAGGATGCTTAGACTTTGGGAAATATTCAGAAAGGCTTAGTGGTTAGTGCCCTTGCACAACGCCCACTAAATGGAGAAGGAAATGAGTGTCCTTCTTAATTTAGGCTAGATATGGGCACTAAAGGCCTTACACAAAGAAAGTGATCCCCTCCGGGGTCGCACACCCATCTTCGGCCGGCAGACGTCTACGCAGCCGCACACCTCCATCGCCTTGTTCTTTATACCTGGCTCTGGTTCCTAACCTCGCTGTCAACACAGCCTAACGCCAGGCACTTGGTGTTATTGTGAGGTGGTGTGAGTGGAAGAAACTATCACTTGCTGCAATAGTAGCTAACTCTTGATTTTTTAAAAAAGTGTAAATCTGAGACTGAAAGTTGTGGGTGATGTTTAATGTGAAGTTCGGGTGTCCCTGGATGGGCTCGGTGTGTGGTGGGCAGCGTCTGCCTCGCAGGCCGCGCTCCTTTCCGCGTCGGATCTGCATGTGGGCTGGGATTTGTCTTTGGCTTCTTGTCTGGTTTGGGATGAGACCCTCGCGTCCCAGGGGAGGGGGGCAGGTGTTGCTCCAGTCGAGCGAATGGAACCAAATTACAGGCCCGTCTGTCACCTCCTCTGGGAGAAGGTGGGGGAGGCGGGACGGGCGCGGGGTGGGCGGGGGAGGGGCCAGGCGGACCCGCGCGGAGGGCGGAGAGCCCCGCCCCCAGCCCGCCGCCGCCCGCGCAGCCTACACGCCAGGCCCAGGGGCTTCGACCACAGCTCCCGGGCCGCGCCACCTCGCTCGGCAGGCGCCTCAGACCCGGCCGCGTCTAAGGGGCGCCGGCGAACGCCTCACACTGGAAGTGTTTTCCACTGAATTGACTGACGTGTCTTCTGACGGCACTGACTCGGGGGCTGCGTCTGTTCTGCTGAAAACAGAAACATCCTCCACACAGATCTGTTTCCCTGGGTCTTCAGTCTAGGATAAGCCGCTCGCTCGCTCACGCACGCACTCTCAGGACGCCACACCAGTGGGCGCCTGTGGACACGGTGATCCCTGCCCCAAGTTGGCTCGCTCGCCCCTCCTCTCAGGGTGCAGACCTCAGGGAGAGCGGGCGGACGCGGACGCCGCAGGTGGGATCGCGGCCACGGGACCTTGGAAGTCACTCGGAGGCTGTCGGACGTAACCGGCGATAATGATGACACCTCGCTGTCTGCGGCAGTCTCGGGAGAGCGTCCCTCCACCGAAGGCCCCAGTGGGGCGCAGCAGTGTTAGTCTGAGCTACCTGAGAAAAACACCAACAGATAACGCCGGCCCTTTGTGGACAGCAGTGGACAGGAATAATAAATTGCCGTTATTTTGTTTGCTGTTATAAATAGAGCAACAAAGACTATAGGAGAGAATGAGGGGAAAACAAGATCTCAAACCAGACAGAGCGTTTCTAATAAGAAACAAGTTCTTGTCAAATTCTCCAGACTTCAATGGAGAAAACTGTTTCATATGCCTTGTTCTTTCTCCTTGCCTCTGGGGTGGGAAAGGCTAAAGAAATTGTCAGTTCCTGGGAGCTCTTTCAGTAAGAAAAGAGCTGAGGCAGAGAGGGCGGATGTACTGCGGGCCCAGGAAGACACACATTCCTTCCTCTTTTCTTTGACAATAAAGTGATTGACAGAAATAATTTCCCATGTGAGAGGATAAAAGAATTGCTAGCAGATAATGGCCCGTGTTTAGATTGTGGCTGATAAGACTCTGTCCATCCCATGTCAAGAGATGACTGAAAAGTGAAAAATTAATTCCATTATCCAGCTGTTGCTGCTGTTAAGTGCCAAAATACCCAGATATTTCCAAACATCTGAGTATTTGACAGCACGTTTTTACTATAGATCCAGATGTTTGGTATTGTGTAGACAAAGACCAAACCTAAACACGGAAAAGAAAAATAACGAACTGGGAATAAGGAAGCCAAGAGGTGGTTAAGAGGACAGCAAGAAGGGGAATTGAGTGGTGATGGGAAAGAAAAGGAGAAATTAAAGACAAAAAAATGTAAAGAAAGGTAAAACATAAAAACCAGTAAATTTTTTAAAAAAGAACAACATTCTATTTCTTCATAGCCCACACCTTGGCCTGATTCTTACCTGGCTCCATGAAAAGCATTTCTGCTTGTCCAGGTCTGGGTTATATGGGGGGTGGGGGGGTTGGGGGAGGCCGGAGGGGAAGGTTTAAAAGAATGACTGGGAAGAGAAATCCTGAGGAGACCTAGGGAAGCAAACTTGGCACTAATGCCTGGGCATTAGGCTTACCCAGGGAGGGCAGCTATATGAAGGGGAGAGGCTACAAAATGGAAAAGTGATTAATATACTGGGGTGGGGGCAGGGGTGATTTTCACACTCAGCAATGAAAAGCCAAAATTCCAGTCAAGGATATTCACGTTAAGCAAAGCACTGAAATGTCTTGATTAGTCAACTTTGTTTCCAGTTATCAGTCAGGATGTTGAGCTCCGTATAGACAGAGCCAATGATAGTGTAACAGAAGGAACAGGGTAATTGAGTGGGGGAAGGTTGTGCAGTTTTAGAGATTTAGGTGACAGATTTAGAGGAGGGGACATCATGTGATTGAGGTGATGGTGGGAGTGTTAGGCTTTCAGCACAGCTCACAAAGGCTCCTGTAATTCCCAAGCTGTCTGTTATCTATGAAATGCAAATCAGGAGGGGAGTGACATCATGTCGGATTGTGGCCACAGGGAGTAATTATTTAGACATTAAAGGCTATTGGAGGGAGTGGTTGACGATATTAATGATGTCCAGATGGACAGAGTGTGATGCTAAAATTATTTTCTAGTACAAAGGACAAGAGAATTTTTATCAGGTTTACTCTTCTATTGGACAGTCTATCTTTTGGAGGTTTGCCCCTCAAAGAGATGGTGATACTAAGAGATGGCCTCTGGAATCAAAGCACAGAGGGGATTGTGGAAGGAGCTTTGTTCTCCAGCTTCTCAGAGGAAAGGCACAGTCAATATGTGAAATATTCACACAATAATTTTGACTATTAAAAGGGGAAATTATCTAAGGGTAGTGTATGTAACAAGTCCCTCCATCTCATTCTTCCTCTCTTATCCAAATATAGCAGCACACAGGAACTTGTTGCTTTTCATGGTATTGTTCGCTCTCCACCTCCTGCAATACAAACACTAGTACAGACACCTTGGTCCTTAATGCTGGTATCAGCTGTATAACCACAGATAACAGTATTATCAGCCATTGATTTTTAAAAATGGTCTACATGAGGCGAAATGCAGCCTAGCTAACACCATAGCATAAACAAAAAAAGGAGGAAGCCACAAACCAGGACTCAAATTGGGAAAGATTCACAGGCAATGGGAAGATCCAGAGGCCATGTATGCTGATCTGGGCTGTAGACCTGACAATGCCACTGCAAGTTCTGCTCTCTTCCCAGAGCAGATAACCGATATTTGAGTGGGAACTCACAGGGGGATCCAAACCAGCTGCCTATCTTTCTGAATCATGTCAGAATGAATGATGCAGCCAAAATAAACAAAAATGTGCCTCTGATATATGTGGATTCTTGCATGAAATTAAAGGGACCGGGGCACAGGTAATTTTTTTTAGCTTTTTACATTTAAAAGTTATGAAATTGGTAAAGAAAGGAGGATTTGGAAAGTGAATAGAAACACCCGAAGACAATTTCAATGATTTCCCTCACCCCTGTCCTCCTTAGGTTGTGGCTTACAATACCAACATGCAAGGCTTTTGGGAAGGGTCAATTTAACATGATTCCCCTAAGCTAGGAGCTTTCTAAATGGTCCCATAACCCCTTGTACCGGCCTCCATCATAACACTGATATCACTGCACTATACTGGCATATTTATTTCTCTCACTTCTCTCCTAGGTTATGAGCTTTTCAAAGGCAGGTAATCTGACTTATTGGCCATTGAATCATCAGCACCTGTGATGTGCCTGGTATATAACATGCCCTCAATATTTTAATATAAACTAGAAGAACATCATAGCAAGCTTTGCAAACTGTTCAAGACGGTGTAACAAGGAAATCTCACAGGGAGGGAGACAAATGTTATGAAATCATTAAACCTATTATTATGGAGGATAATAACTATGATATATAAAGAACAACAACAGTGGAGAAGTTACCCAGTAATTATTAATATAAAATAGTTAGAAGAGGATCCGGAATGAAATGTGTGTCTCAACCATAGGCCAGTAATTCAATTCAGTTATTTCAATTCAATTCAACAGATACTTACTGAGTACTTACGTGCCATTGTGTATCATATATGAATAACTGTAAAAGGAATATACAATTTTACAGCAAGAAGATAAATATTTTATAGAAAGTACTTAACATTTTGGTGTTTGGGGACACATGAATAGAAAATGTCAGTAGTTCAAGTGGAAAGCAGTACAGCATCATGGTTTAAATTGAGGGTTGACAATACTCACAATATGAAAATGGCATAAAATTCAAATTTCAAGGTAGGTAAATAAAGTTTTATTGGAACATAGCAACACTTTATTTATGTGTTGTTTATGACTGTCCTTGAGCTGACAATGGTGGAGTTGAGTAGTTGTAAGAGAGACTTTACGGTCCACAAAACCTATTACTATTTGGTCCCTTACAGAAAGTTTGCAAACTCCTGGTGTAGAGGAAGAGCCCTAGAATTAGAATGCCTGGTTTCAAATCCCAGTGCTGACACTACTTTCTGGTCACAAGATTTGAATAAGTTACTTTTCTCTTCTTTGATTTCATCATCTATAAAATAGGTATAATAATAGTACTTTCTTCAAGGGACTTTTGAAGGAAAAAAGTGTTCAAAATGGTGTTTAGAGTGTGTCTAGAAAACAAAAAGTTCTCAAAACTCAACAATAAGATAACACACAATTCAATTAAAAATGAGGCACAAGATTTAAACAACCACTTCACTAAAGAAAAGATATAAATGGCAAATAGCACATGTAGAGTTGCTCAATATTATTAGTAATAGGGAAATGCAAATTAAATCCATGATAAGATATCACTTTACTACTGTTAGATTAACTTAAAAAAAAAAACTTATGATACCAAGGTCTGGCAAAGATGTTGAACAATTGGAACTCTCATACATTGCTGGTGGGAATGTAAAATGGCCCAGCTATTTTGGAAAATAATTTGGCATTGTCCTTCCTACCCTTATCAATGAGTCTTTACTTTGTGCTTCACTTAGGTGCTATAGTCACTTACCTGGATTCCTTAGGTCTTAGGAAGATACTTTTGTGCATGAATGGTTGTTCAAATTGATGTTTTTGTGAGGGGATGAGCACTAGAAAGTCCTATTATGCCATCTTGCTGATGTCAGTCTTAAGATAAGTACATTTGACACTAGAATTAAGAAAGATAATTCAGAAAATAGAAAACTATTAAAGTAACTGAGTAGTACCCTCAGGAGATTATATTAGTAAAGATATTGTATTATTATTATTATTATTTTGAGACAGAGTCTCACTCTGTTGCCCAGGCTGGAGTGCAGTGGTGCGAGCTCAGCTCACTGCAACCCCTGCCTCACAGGTTTAAGCAATTCTCCTGCCTCAGCCTCCCGGGTAGCTGGGATTACAGACGTGTGCCACCACACCTGGCTAATTTTTTTTGTATTTTTAGTAGAGACAGGATTTCACCATGTTGGCCAGGTTGGTCTGGAACTCCTGACCTCAGGCGATCCTCCCGCCTCAGCCTCCCAAAGTGTTGGGATCACAGGCGTGAGCCACTGCATCCAGCCTCAGATATTGTATTCTTAAAGGAACAAGATAAGAGAAAGTAAAATCAGAGATCAATATAACTTTTTAGAGTAAAACAACATAATTCATGCAGAAAAACTAGAAGAGTTAGAAAATAAAGACAGGAAAATCTTTCACAACATTGAACAAAAATATGAAAAATATAAGAGAAAACATAAATCATGGATATTAACATCTGAAGATCAAAAATAGTAATTCTAGAAAGAGAAAATGAAATCAATGGAGGGGAGAATATTATAAAGAAGTAACACAATAAAAATTTCTATAAAGAAAAGGATACTTCAGTATGCACATTATTAGGAAATTTTAGATCTTCAAAGATACACAGAAAATTCTGAGTTTTCAGGAAGAAAAAAAAAGGTATCCTATAAAAGAACATGATTTGTATTGCTATCAGCAACGTATTATGCCAAAAGAAAATGAAGCGGTATCTTCAAAGGGTTGAGAGAAAAATGATTTTGAAATTGGAATTGTATACCCAGCAAAGTTATCAATCAATTGTGATGACAAAAATAAAACCTTTTTTAAACAAGCAAAGCCTCAAGACATTTGCCTTTCACATGCCCTTTTTTAGTACATTATTTGAATACATACTGCAAGAAAAATAAGGGCTTAAACAGCCACAGCAAAACCAAGATATTATGAAAGCCAAAAAAGAGTGAATGCTGTTTAGGAGAGCAAAGAAGCAAAGTCCCAGGATGATAATGGCATAACTAATCTAGAAAGAAAATGGTCTAGTTTGGAGCAGAGAGAGAAGGTATTAGGATGGAGGTCCCTCATTATCAGAGGGATTCTATATACTTGAGGTCTGTGGAAAAATAAACTTGAAGGCATGCAAAAGAAATTGGAAAGGTCACTAGAAACATCAGGAAAAATACAAAGCTTCATACAAATGTTAAAGTTAAAAATATAAAGCAGCCATCCAAATATGAGCAGTTAGTGGGCTTCAAGTAGAAAACAGGAATCTATTCTCAAAGGTAAAATGCGTTAGAAGGGCATAGTCCAGATGTGAAACACCAAAATGTAACAAAATATTTAGCAGTTAGAATATTGCAAGAAAGGAATAAGTATTTAGCTTTGATGTTAGAAACATGTCTTTTGAGAGGCACAGAGTTTGGGACTTTGGGACCATAGTACACTATGCCACTTTGCATTGAATATTTGCATGGTCATAAACTGTAAATGTGGTTTGTAGTTTGTTTTTCACTTTTTATTCTGAAAAATTTTGAACACATATAAACATATTGTACAGTGCAATGAACTCCTTATGCCTATTACCCAGCCTCAATGCTGATCCATCTCATGGTCAATTTTCTTTCATTTATACTCCCCACTCCCTGTATTATTTGGAAATATATTCTAAGTCATTATATCATGAAATCCATAAATAGTTTAGTATTTAGCTCTAAATGATAGTTTTTCAAACTCTATACATTGCTTGATATGCCCCCTAAGTCCCTTTTAATCCATAGGATATTTCTTCTTCTTCTTTGCATTTATTTTTATTTATGTATTTTTTTTTTTGTAGAAACCAAATAGTTTTCTCTATTGAGTTTCTCACAGTCTGGATTTTTCTAATTAAATCCCCATTGTTGGGATTTTGCATTTTCTATAAATTGGTAAGTAGATCTAGAAGCTTGACCAAATTCAGTTTTCAATTGTTGGCAAATCTGCTTCATAGGCAGTGGTATGTGTTTCTATCAGAAGGCTCATGATGTCTAGTTGATTCTCTTTTTTTGATATTAGCAGCCACTGATGACCATGGCTTAGGTTCATTAATTCATTAGCAGTTATAAATTGTTTTTCTAATTCTATTATTCTTTCTTCATCTATTATTTGGGACACTTTATGAAGATAAACTTCCTGTCATCAACCATTTGGTTAACCTTAGGTACAGCTCAACAAATAGGAAAGACAGGATCAGTTGTTGTTTCTTTACATTAATTTACCAGTTTTCATTAATGAGTTGATTCTCTAGCATCTTCCAAAGGTGACTAATAAGATTTTTAAATGTTTTCTATGTGTTATAAAATCATGGTTTTAAAGTAGATGATGTGTTTCCATCCATTGCAGTTATTATCCTTATTAATACTTAAATTGCCCCATTCTTGGCCAATGACAGCCTTTTCAGGTTGGCTTCTAGGTCTTTTCAACATGATCTCAGTAGTGTTTCATAATATTCTTGCTTTTGATATGACAAGATGTTCCAAGTTTGTTTTATACATTTCCTTCCTCAGATCGTGAATCAGCCATTTCTCCAAGGTACCCTAGTTCTTTTTAGTGCACAGTGGTGCTTATAAACCACAATCTGTGAATAGGGGTCCTCATTGCTACTAGCTTGGCTGTTGCTACCAAATCTTTTCAATGTAAAGAGCTAGGAAATATTTTTGATTCCTTGTTTTGCTTTAGGATAAATTATAACTTTCAATTCAAAGTCAAGACTACAGGGCTTTTAGTTGCCTTCTTTTGATTTTATATCTCTATCTCCTTTCTTTCATGCTGAATATATCAGTTCTCAATGACACCAATATGATTCCTTTTTTATTTGCCTTATCCTACATAAAAACACAGTCTTAAGAATAACAGAATAACAGAAACAATATTACTGTAAAAAATATGATAACTGAAACAGTCTAAGATTTTTTTTTCTGACAGCCCTTTTTGTCTTAGAGTATATACTACTAGATAAAATTGTCATATTTATTTTATTTTATTTTATTTTGGTGACAGGTTCTTGCTCTGTAGCCCAGGCTGGAGCACAGTGGTGCCATTACAGCTCACTGCAGCTTTGACCTCCGCAGACTCAAACGATCCTCCCACCTCAGCCTCCTGAGTGGCTGGGACTACAGGCACATGCCACCACACCCGGCTAATTTTTTCTATATTTTATAAAGATGAAGTTTCATTATGTTGCGTAGGCTGGTCTTTAACTCCAAGGCTCAAGCGTTCCGCCAGCCTTGGCCTCCCAAAGTTCTGGGATTACAGGTGTTAGTCACTGCACCCAGCCTATTGTATTTTACAGTTACTTGAAATAGTTTCTCTCTGTGTGGTAATGCTACCAACTGGACTTATTTGTTTCACTTTTGCTTTTTTAAATTTAGTTTTATTTTAGAATTATGTTAGAATATAGAGTTTATTTTAGAATTATTTTAGAATATATTTCAAAGGCCATATCTATAGAATTAGGTATATTTTAAGAATTTTTATTCCCATGACCCGCTCCACTCTGTTTCCTCTCTCTATATAGAAACTTGTTTTCATGGTTTGTTCTTTTTTTATTCTGCAAATAAGTGTGTGTATACGTATACACACATATCTGCACATATATGTGTATGTGCATATGTACATATGTATGTGTATATATACAGATATATATGCACACCTTCCCACATACTTGTGTATATTAATATCTCTTACTTTCTTAGATAAATGGTGGCATACTATATGTATTTATCTTCATGTTGTGTTTTCATTTAGTATATCCTGAAAATCACTCCATAACAACAGGTAGAAATATTCAGATTCCCTTTAAAAATATTTTTTGCCCAAGTCTAATGAGGTATCACTGAAAGACAATAAACTACAGGTATTTAAAGTATACAATTTGATCTCTTTTGACATGTGCATACACCAAAACTAAGATGACAAACATTTCTATTACTTCCAGAAATTTCCTTGCACTTATTTATAATTTATTTCTCCATCTACCCATTTCCAATCTCTGATCAGCTTACTGTCACCATAGATTAAATTTCATAATCTAGAACTTTATGTAAATGGAATAATAGAATATATTCTTTTATTTCTGGCTTCTTTCACTAAGCACAATGATTTTAAGATTTATCTATGTATCAGTAGTTTGTTTCATTTTATTCCTGAGTAGTATCACATTGAATGGATATACCACAATTAGTTACTCATTCACCAATTTTTGGATATTTGGATTGTCTCCAGCTTTTGACTCTAACACATGAAGCTGCTATGAACATTCATGTGTCAGTACTTGTATGGACATATCATTTTATTTAAAAGTTAAATATATATGTATCACACAAGTCAATCATTTCATTCCTAGGTAATTACTTTTTTGCAGCTGCACAGTACTCTGTTGTGTAGATGTATCATAGCTAATAAGACAAGTTTCCTATGGATGGACGTTTAGGGTGTTATTAGTCTTTTACTATTATAAATAGTACTGCAATATAAAATCTTGTGCATACGTCTTTTGGTATTTTTGTTAGTGTATATGTAGGGCAAATTCCTAGAAGTAGGAAACCCCAGGCTTTTCTGCGAAAATAGCAGCAGAGGAGGGGCTAATAAGCAGAGAAATCACGTAGTTCCATGCCTTCTCATAGTGATTGGATTCTGGACACTTATCAGAGTCAAATTCGAAGGTGAACCAGAAATATCTAAAATTGTATTCAACACTCTCCTAGCCCAAATAATGAGAAAATCAAGGACAGATGCACTTTGAATTCAAAGTCCCAATAGGCTAAAAGTAAAAGGATGAAAAAAGATATATTATGCACACAGTAATCATAAAAAATCTGATGTGGCTGTATTAATATCAGACAAAGTAGACTTTAAGGCAAGAAGTAGTGCCAGAGATAAAGAGGAACATTTTGTAATAGTAAGAGGATCAATTTCTCAAGAAGACATAACAATCTTGACTGTGCATGTACCTAATAACAGAACTTTTCCCTTAGTCATATACTAAATTTTCTGTCCTTTTTTTTTTTTTTTGAGATGGAGTCTCACTCTGTCGCCCAGGCTGGAGTGCAGTGGTGCGATCTTGGCTCACTGCAACCTCCGCCTCCAAGGTTCAAGCGATTATCTTGTCTCAGCTTCCTGATAGCTGGGACTACAGGCGTGCGCCACCATGCCCAGCTGATTTTTTATTTTTAGTAGAGACAGGGTTTCAACATGTTGGCCAGGCTGGTCTCGAACTCCTGACCTCAGGTGATCCGCCCACCTCGGCCTCCCAAAGTGCTAGGATTGCAGGCGTGAGCCACTGCGCCCGGCCTATATACTAAATTTTCATATGTAGTTGAGTATTCCTACATTTTCAGAAAGTTTGTTTCATTGTTCTGTCTGTCTAGTCATGGGCAAATGCCATCCTGTTTTCATTATGGCTCAGAGGAGCTTTTAATATGCCTTAATATCTAGTAGGTCTAGACCCTGGTCCCACTACTGTTCTCAAAGGTTTTCTATCAATTATTGTTTATTCTCCCTCCAAAAGGACTTTATAATCAACTTGTGTAGATACAGAAAAAGAAAAAAAAATCCTGGTGGTATTTTTTATTGTATTACATTGGGTTTATAAATTTAGGAAAAAAAGATGTTCAGTCTTCCTTTTCAAGAACATGTATTTTCTTCATTTATTCATCTCTTTTGTTTATTAGTTTTTGACTTTTAGAATAAAGCTATAGACAAATAGCATACTTAATAGTAGTTACAAAACAGAATGTTATCAATCTTATCAAGGTTAAAAAAAAGTGTAGCTGATTGCAGTTGAGGGATAGAAGGAGAGCAGAAGGGGTGGAAAGAAGTATAGGGATTTTAATATCCTCAACTTACAAAGTAAGAAATCAGAGTTTACAAAACAAAAATGAGGGGTTTATGTATTTTTACTAAAGGTAGAGAAATAAAAAAATAGTTATATAACTAAATTGTAGGGAGGAAGAAAGGCCAGGAAGGTGTATAGAACTAAAGCATCGTCCACCTTGACAGAAGTTAACAGGTAACGTCTAATGTGATACTCCTATAATTTAGAAATATGGAAGGAACCACTCTAAGAATTCAACACAAAAACAATTGAAAGTAGTTGCCCCTCAGAGAGCAGACTTGGGTAGCCAGGTAAGAGCCTGTGGTATTTTATTATAGACACCCTTTGTACTATCTGATTTCTTAGCTATTTGCATATAACATCCAGGTAAAAATATTTTAATAATTATAGTATATCATAAATTAAAAGATAGCTGTATATTGCTAAACTTCAAGATAAATATTTTATTTATTAACTTATTTCCTTAAGTAGGAGAAAGTAATTGAGTAGTAATTAGACATCTCTTCTGCCTGGATATTAGAAGATAATACCCAGCTAACGATCAGCCTCCTACTTCTGATATAACAGCCTTGGGGAAGCCAGACCACAGTAAAATGATTATTTAATGGACAGTTGTGGGAAGTAGGCACCCTTAAAGATCTGAGCCCTGTTCTCAAACTTGGGCTGCTGCCACTTAAATTGCCTTCACCGGACCAGCACCTTTAAACCCAACCTTGTTTCGGAGGTTTTTCCCCTGAACAGCGGACAGGAAGTTGCACACCAATTAATGTGCAATAATTCCCCACCCTAGGAAGAACAAGATGGATTGAGGGTGGAGAAACAAGAACTACACAATGAGTGTCTTTCTATCTTTTTCATCTAATCCCTGTACTCCAAGGACTTTTTTTTCTTTTTATTAAGTTCCAGGATTTAATTGGATTGCTCATGTATACTAGGGGAAAATAAGTAGGCTGTAAATTTCTGAAGTGAGTTTACTGAATTCAGTCTACAATCACAAGTGGTGATTTGGGGAATTATTTAATAGATGATGGTGTAAAAGGACGAGGCGCCCTCAGTTAGTGTTAGAAAAGGCCCCAGCCTCAATTACACAACCAGTGCCTAAATCCTTCCATGACCTCCCAGCAAAGCCTCTCCCCACTTCCACCTGCTTCCCTCTGGCCACAGGTTGCCCTTTTATGCCTTTTATTTTTTATCCTTTAGGGCTGTCCCTTTACATATTTGGATTAAAAATATGTGGGTGGTGAATAGAGTTGGGGTTTGGGGAACAAGTAATAGAGTACAGAGTGCGATCTCTAGTTTTTTATCATTTTCCCCGTTTCTCCCAAGTTACATTCCAAGTTTTAAATTTTCCACAAGAAAGACGATTATTAAGGGTGGGCATGGTGGCTCATGCCTATAACCCCAGCACTTTGGGCATCCGAGGCTAGCAAATTGCTTGAGCCCAGGAGTTTGAGACCAGCCTGGGCAACACGGTGAAACCCCATCTTTACAAAAATACAAAAATTAGCCAGGCATGGTGGTGTGCACCAGTAGTCCCAGGTACTTGGGAGGCTGAGGTGGGAGGATCGCTTGAGCCTGGGAGGTCAAAGTTGCAGTAAGCTGACATGGAGCCACTGTACTCAGGCCTGGGCAACAGAGCAAGACTGTCTAAAAAAAAAAAAAAAAAGATTATTAAGTAGACTGGATTCTCCACTTTCCTGGCCTGCATATCTTCTTCCTATGGTGAGCCTACAAGTGAATTGTAATTTGAAGAGTGCTTGGTGATTATGGTGATCATGAAATAAAAGTAAAAAGAGCTGGAGAGAGCAGAAGGACAGCTTTCCCCATGAATAAAGGAAAATCGCAATATGACAAGCATCCTCATATCTCCCAGCCTCTCACCCCTGGCCCTCATGGAGCATCTTGGGTATTAGCTTTCCAGGAAAGTGTTCACCCAAGGCTAAATAGAGTGCTACTTTGTTTTGGAGATTATTCAAAGCCAAACTACTGAAACGGTACACTTTTGTGTTTCTATTCCACTCATGATGATAGAGTGTGGAGGCAGTTAGCACAAGGTCCCAAAGCCTTCATTCCTGAATGCTGTGATTTGAAAACCACCCCATCCTACTGAACTTTCTTGATATTTGTCATTGTGAATTACTGCGTGTTTATTCTGGGAAAATGAATCATGGTTGTAAACATTTGCCTGGAACCAAGAGGCTGTCAGTCTGGGCATTGGAAGAATTACTAAGGACAAGATGACCTAACGTGACCCAGATATGGGAGGGAAGGAGAATAAAAAAAGGAGAAAAAGAATAACAAGAAAGGGGAGGGAAAAGACCAGCAGCAATGAGGGAAAACTAGAAAATTTTGTGTCTGAGAAGGAATTATGACAGAATACAAGTTGGGGGACAAGTTTGCCTTTGCCTCAAGCTCCTCCCTCCCTTGTCCTTCACAGGCCAAAGGACCAGACTACCCTCAGAACCACCTGCAGAAGAATCCTGTTCCCTCCCATGCTAAGTTTCTGGGTGCATAGTTAGAGGTCTTGCCTGTCTCTAACCCTGTTTTTCACCTGGCTTGGGATAATGCAGATAATGCAAAGAGTTGGAGCCTGTGCTCAGCTCTGTTAACTACTTGTGAGAGGTGGACACAAGCACAGGCCTGTAGTCAACATTTGTTTGCACCATGAATTTATTATTTATTATTGTGTCCCTGAGACAATATGACCCATAAAGAGATGGTGCCAGTTAATCGTAGGTCAGTCTCCATTCAAATAAAGTCCACATTCTCTTTGGAGAGCAGACATCTTTGCAAGACTACTGACTACCAGTCATCTCCAGCCCTTAGCTTAGGCTTGATCACTGTGACTCTGATAAGCTTCTCCTTGGCATGCTAGCCTCACACGCTCTCTCTAAGTCTACTCCAAAAGGCTTTCTGGCAGCTCTATTTTGTAGGCTTGGTCTGTCCCACCCACATATTTTCTATTGCTGATTGCCAAGATGCCTGTAGCCAATGTTTGTTTGCACCATGAATTTATTCTCTAGTAGGAGGAGGGATAAGAAGTTCAATAGCCGAATTAGTATACAAAAAGGGCAAAAAGAGGTAGTGTGGAAATATAAATTAAACTCTGTGGGATCCCAAGAGAAAAGATGATTAATTACAACTAAGTGAATCAAGAAATGCTTCACGGAAATGGTATTCACACTGGGCTTCTGTGGGCAGGTTTCAACAGACAAGGTGGGAAAAAGGCATTCCAAGTGAGAACAATGTAAGATGGGGACAGAGCTGGAAAAGTTCAGTGTAGGTGGAGTTCTGATCATCAAGGGCCTTCAATGCTGTGCTCAGGAATTTGAACTTCATTCCATAGACAGTTGTGGACCAGTGGAAGCTTCTAAGCAGAGGAATGGTATCAGATCTGATGATAGTGACCATTTATTGAGTACTCACTATAATCTAGGCATCGTGCTAAACACTTCACAGGCATTCACTTAGCCTTCATAATCACCCCATGAGGATGGTGGACTTGGACAGTAGTTTGAGAATGGGCTAGAAGCAAAATAAATGGTTAGGGATGACATAGTAGGAGAGGCCATGGTCTCAGTGGTTTAGTCCCTTGTCCCTAAATTGTAAAGTTTACTAACAATGGCAATGAGAACTGGAGTTAGAAATCTGAGGTGGCAGAATCAGAGGACCTGGTGACCAGTTAGCTCCTGGGGTCAAAGGAAGCAAGTGGTTAGGGGATCTAGTAAACAATGCCAGCAGACCCTTGTCTTGGGAACTTAGCTCCCCTACCTTCCACCAAAATCCCAATCTCAGGAGAAAGGGGCATTTTGCTATCCACTGAATATGAGACTTGAAGATTCAGAAGATTATAGCCATGAAGGCTTTTCCAGTTGGTCCAGGTGGGAGACCAGACAAGATGTAGAAGCAAATCAATTAGGGGCAATAAAAACACTTCCCTATCTGAAGCGCTCATCATATGGCAGGCACTGCACTAGGCACTTCATAGACCTCATCTCACTGAATATTAACAATAACCTCATGATTAGGGTCCCTGCTGTACTCTAAGATAACTGAGATTTAGACAGATTAGGTAACTAGCCTGGGTTCACATACTAAGCAGAATTGAGATACACACCCAGAGTCTATGCTTATGACAGTGCAAGAAACTGCCTAAGAGGAAGACTTAGGCAGAGAAGACTATGACAGTGCAAGAAACTGCCTAAGAGGAAGACAGACTTCTCAAAAAGCAGCCAAGACAAGTCTGGCTCAAATTGGATTCATTCTCATGTCTACTAATGCATTTATTAATTTACCCTTTCATTTATTCATACACTAAACAATTGCTGAGCACCTGCTCTGTGCGGGCATTGTGCTAGCTATTTGGGATAAAAAAAAACTAATAAGACACCATGTCTGTCTTCAAGGAGACTATTCTAGAAGTGAAGGCAGGCAAGTGAACAGATAATTATAATGCACAGAGGAGGAAAGCAGCTAACCTGGCTTGTGGGGCTAAGGAAGGGAGTTGGAGAAGACTTCCTAAGGTGATACCTGAGCTCAGTCCAGGAGTAGAGGGTGGCTAGGCTAAGGCAAGGAAGTGAGAAGAGAGCAATGTTCCAGGCAGTAGGACTGTTGCAAAGGGGTTTGGGTCATAATCCTGAGAGACATGATCCAAAATGCCATAATCCTGAATACTGAAATCCCAAAAGATTTAAACCCCTAAAGTCTAAATTACAATCACAGTATAGACGTATCATTTTAGGCAGAACTATTACTTGTTATTGTCTTCATTGGAAATGAGGTATGTTTAAGGAGATGTGTGTGAGTGCCAAGTTGACAAGGGGTGAACTTGTGGACTTAATTTTAAATGTCAACTTGACTGGATTAAAGAATACCTAGAAATCTGGTAAAGCGTTATTTTAGGTGTGTTTGTGAGGGTGTTTCCAGAGGAGATTAGTGCCTGAGACTGAGTGGATTAGCTGGGGAAGATCTTTACCCAATATTAGAGGACACCATCCAATCGGCAAGGGTCCTGGAGAGAACAAATACAGAAGGCTATTGGCATCTGAGAGCTGGAACAGACTTTTCTTCTGCTGCCTTGGACATTAGAAAACACTGAAACTTCCTCAACAAATGAAGAGATGTCCTTTTTGTGCACCTGTATTTATGAAAGATAAGATTTCTCGAGATCGGCCGGGCACGGTGGCTCACGCCTGTAATCCAAGCACTTTGGGAGGCCAAGGCGGGCGGATCACGAGGTCAGGAGATGGAGACCATCCTGGCTAACACAGTGAAACCCCATCTCTACTAAAAATACAAAAAATTAGCCAGGCGTGGTGGCGGGCGCCTGTAGTCCCAGCTACTCGGGAGGCTGAAGCAGGAGAATGGCGTGAACCCAGGAGGTGGAGCTTGCAGTGAGCCGAGATAGTGCCACTGCACTCCAGTCTGGGCGGCAGAGCGAGACTCCGTCTCAAAAAAAAAAAAAAAAAAAACAATTTCTCGAGATCTCAGCTCTTTGAGAAAGTGCATATGATGAGTTGGTGACCCATTGCATTTTTTGATCTATTTCATCAAAAGACTTAGGTTGTTTATCACAGTATTTCAGATGGTTACAGTTATGAGACTGGGTGTACACAATTACCAACCATAATGATATTTATATATACATTTCACTTTTTGACCTATTTCTTTATGAATACAGTTGTCTGCTCATCACGATGTGACTGTCAGTATACCTGAGTAGTTATGATTGCAAAAATGTATTACTTTTATCTATTTTATTGTATAAAGTGGCCTGTGAGTGTTCTGTCATTTTTATATGTATCTCAAATAAAATATCTTTAAACTAATTTTAAAATTACTTTTCCCAGAATTGTAATTTTGTGATTTTGATTTTTGGGGATTTCAACATGTGGGATTATCACATTTGAGATTGTGTCTTTTGGGATTATGATTGGCTCTTGGTGCAAAGAAACAACAGACAGAAACAACAAGCTCTATACTGAGATCTACAAGCAATTTGGATTGTCAAAGGCAATCTTGAGAGGCAGAGGAGACAAGAGGCTGGAGTAGGGGCAAGAGAATGTTCCATTCAGAGTCATGGAGCTTGGATTTCATCCTACAGGCCATGGGGAGCCACTGAAGGGGAGACTTAGTTTCATTAAAGCTCACTCTGACTGTAGTGGGATGACAGTGGGCCAGGAGGCTGGGGAGGAGCCTGCTGCAATGGTACAAGTGAAGGATGACGTTGATCTGGACTAGGTAATGCTGGCAGAGGCTCAGAGGAAGGGCAGGTCTGAGTAATGTTTAAGGGTGAAATGGGTAGCACTTAGGAGTGATGCTCGGTGGGGACAAAGGGTTGAGGCCCCTTGAGGATGACTCATCCTTGAAGGAATCCCCCAGCAGGTTTCCCACTCTCAGCAGTAGCATAGGTAGTGTGGACACTATCAACCCTTATGCCCAGCACAGATGGTCTGACCAAATGCTCATGGTTACCAAAACACTGCTATTGTGGGGAGCTGAGTCTCTATGCAGAAAGGCTTCAGTCCTGAGGCCACTGGCCAGAAAAAGTCCCTCTGCCTCCAAACTACCCCTTCTTGCTGGGAAGGAAAGTGTTAGCTCAGGAGATCTGAGTTGCTCAAACCCTATACATTCCCAAGAAAGGCCTGATTTCCGCAATGGCCCTTGGCCAGTTTCCGGGAGATAAGCTCTGAGTCCCTGGATATTCTGCCTGATAAGGGACATTTTGTTTGCTTGAGGCCTTGGGTCACATGTTACCAGTTGGATCAGATTGTGCTAACAATGTGACTTGTGGCAAACACTTGCTTTTGGTCTAGGAGTGCTGGAGTCTGAGTAGCTGAAACCAGTCACACAGGTACAGCATGCCTACATGACAGATCCCCAATAAAAACTCTAGACACCAAGGCTTGGGTGAGCTTCCTTAGTTGGCAACACTTTATATGTGTTATCACACACTGAGGCTGAGAGGATTAAATACATCCTGTGCAGCTCTATTGGGAGGGAACATCTGGAAGCTTGCACCTGGTTTCTCCTGGACTTTGCCCCATGTATCTTTTCCCTTTGCTAATTTTAATCTATATCCTTTTGCTGGAATAACCTGTAACCATCAGTACAACAGCTTTCTGAGTCCTGTGAATCTCTCTAATGAATTGTCAATGAAACCTTGAGCGCCTGGGGACCCCTGACACACACCCAACTCTGGAGTGACAGAAGAAGGGACTGTTGGGAAAGCATGCAGCCAGAACCTGGCATTTCACCACAGAGTAGGTTCTGTGCAAACAACATAAGTGGGGCACTTATGTATTGCACAGAACAGATGGGCAGGAATGAACACTTGCAGAAAACACTGGGAGGATGTTTCCCAGCTTATCCAGAGTCCAAGGCCACTCCGCTCTTCTCCAAGTGGCCTTGGTGGTCTTGCTTTTGTCCAACACAGCACTTCACCTTTTAATTTTCAGCTTTTCCAAAAAGTCTAATTGTCCTTCTTCAACTCTCCAGCTTATTTCTTTTGCCAGATAGTCATGTCCAAACTGGGTACAGAACTGTAGGCAATTTTCAGATACTGTAAAGTAGAATTTACACTGAACAACAGTTGCAAGAATCTACAGTATGTCCTAGAAATGCAATACATTGCTGTGCCGGCAACTTATAGGTTATTTGAATAACATGCTGTAAACAGCTGGTAAATTAAACTTCTCAGCAATGGGTATAATCCATAGCCAGAAAACCTGAGGTTTGATTTTATGCAAATACAAGCTTTTTGTGCACAATCTTACACCTTACTTTTATCACTTTGTCAGCTGGTTTATAAAACATAAGATACATTTAATAAGTGGTGCCCACCTCCTCTACACTTTTTCCAGACGAGGACTTAGATTAATAGGTATTTCTGCTCATTATGTAGTCCAAGCCCATTCTTGTTTTTAATGACAAGCCTAGGCACTATGAACATTTTACATTCCAGTAAACATGATGACATCCTTGTATATATTTGGAAAGCCTCTCTGAGTTCTCCCCACAACCAAGTGTAACAGCACATGTAACAGCATACTCCCTTCCCCTGGCCCTGCCACTTCCTGGCTTGGTTTTCCCTTCATTATCTCCCACTCTCCACTACTGTTGGGGCCCTCAGTTCTGCACCTAGGTTAGTGGCAAGCAAGACAGGAATTTCTTCATTGTTTATGACCTCGTAGAGGCAGTGTTCTATGCAGAATACAGAAAGTTGGTTATTATAAGCACACAGAAATGCAATACAGAAAATGAAGTAATACAAAGTGATTGAAAGGGTGGGAGGACGGGATTCTAGGATGGGCCTCCAGAAAGCCACTACTGGAACTGCTGAGTTCAAAGACACGCCGCCATGCCTGCTACCCAAGGATCCACATCCTCTGCTGCCTCCACCACCTCTTGATGCCAGGAAGCTAGGGACAGACACTACCACAGTACATGCCCTCTGTCCTCAATCTTGCTTACCAGCAACAACAGCAAATGGGACAGGAAGGCAGCCTCTGCCTTGCTTCCACTATTCAAATCTCACTTGTGCATGTAAATGGCAGAACCTAAGTGTATGTAAGACCTTGCTTGCAAGGAAAGCTTGAGAAATGAAATGTTGAACTTTCCAGCACTCACAGTACAGGAAGCAGACCAGGAGGTGACAGGGTGGAGGTTGAGTCAAGCAGTTTGCTATATTCACCACAGGCTGGTAAGGTCCCTTTAAGATCTAACAGTCCATGTCTGACCAGGATCCTGAGGAAGAAAATGCAGTAATTTTAAGGAAATAATATAGAGAGGGAAGTGTGCCTTCTACTACCACCTCCTCTTCCACTACCATCTATAGGAAGAAATAATTTCCAGATCACATGCTGGAGTGAAGAGAAACCAAAAGAAACTTGAATCTGAAGCTTTGCCTTAACAGTTTGGAGGCTTTCATGGGAAGAGTACATAGCTTTTTAAAACTATGATTTCAAACTTATGAGCTGTTTCATGTCTTGTAAGAGGTGGAGGTCCATATATAACAAAATTTAGATACGTAAGTAGAAAGTAGGATCCACGCCTGTAATCCCAGCACTTTGGGAGGCCGAGGAAGGCGGATCATGAGAGGTCAGGAGATCGAGACCATCCTGGCTAACACGGTGAAACCCCGTCTATACTAAAAAATACAAAAAATTAGCTGCGCATGGTGGTGGGTGCCTGTAGTCCCAGCTACTCTGGAGGCTGAGGCAGGAGAATGGCATGAACCGGGGAGGCAGAGCTTACAGTGCGCCAAGATAGTGCCACTGCACTCCAGCCTGGGCGACAGAGTGAGACTCCGTCTCAAAAAAAAAATAATAATAATAATAAAAAAACAACATGAGAGAAAGAAAGAAAGAGAGAGAGAAAGAAAGAAGAAAGAGATAAGAAAGAAGAAAGAAAGAAAGAAAGAAAGAAAGAAAGAAAGAAAGAAAGAAAGAAAGAAAGAAAGGAAAGAAAGAAAGAAAAAAGAAAAAGAAAGAAAGAAAGAAAGAAGGAACTTGGGATGGGGATGATGGGGTGGAGACTTGTCTAGTGAGAGAAACACATCTGGGACATGTGATTTTCAAGGATATTACGTAACTATTTACAGGATAACTCTGAATGAAGAGTTCAAGAAATTTGAGAGTGTGATTTTAGGAATTCAGATGAAAGACAGAAGAATGATGAGAAACTAAGAGTTGGAGAGTTTGTACAATTCAATATCATTGTAACTTGCAAACAAATAAAATATTGTTTTAAGGCAGGATTTATTAACCTCAGCACTATTGACATTTTGGGCCAGATAATTCTTTGTTGTGCAGGTGTCTGATCACCAGCAATGTCTCCAGACACTGATAAATGTGTCCTGAGAATAAGGGGTAGGGGGTTGGGGGTTAGGGGATAGTTGGGAGCAAAATTGCCTCCAGGTAAGAACCACTGTTTTACAGTTTAGGCTTGGGTATCAGTGTGTAGGCTCACATTAGCAATGGGAATAATAGGGAAGACAACAAAGTTGGTAGAATTTGGAACTTGGAAAGTTAGCAGTTTCCTTTTAATCTTACATATTTGTTTTAAGGGTGTCTTCAGGACCTCAGCAAACCCTCCTAGCATTTCCTGTTCATTCCAACATCCCACAGGTATCTTTGTTGATAAGGGCTCCCCCTACTGGGCATGATGTCCTTAAGCCTTCAGTTTACAAAAGCTAAGATCTTAGCTAGGCTATTCGAGCAACCACCCCCTTTCTCCCCTGTCACTATTGTACTAAAGAAGTTCAGAGGCCATCTACCATCCCATTAGTGGAATAGTTCCACGTAAGGGCCTTTTAAAGTCCTAGTTAGATTCAAAGACTTCTGGAAGAGAGGACAAAGTTCAGTGCAAGCATCAGTGACCCCTCCACTCTGAAATGAGATATCAGGGTTCAAGTCAGCCAACTGTTATACAAAACATTGTTACCTGGAGTATCTCCTTGCTTCATTCCCAAAGTATGTGCTTATCTGTATCCTCAGTGAGTCTCTGCCAGTGACCATGTGTCTGACCCTGAGATGTGTTTTCTTAATTCAACAACTGGGAAAGGCTCTATAAAAGTATCCCTTCCTTTTCTCTCCTTATCTCCTCTGTGGCACCATGGACTTGGGAAACCCAGTCATGGCTAAAATACTACCTTGTTTCTGAGGCCCATACTGAGTCCAATAGGGTGGCAGAATTTCTAGAAGGAATGCCTTTGATATTAGCAGGGCTTTAAAATCCCCTGAAACACCCTAGACATATGTAACCTAAGAGCCAATTTATGGCATGCATCCATTGGTTTCAGGAGATGTTAGGGGCAGAATTCATTCATTCAATAATTATCGAATACCAACTATATGCCAGATATCGGGTTAGGTGCTGAAGACAGGAAGAGATATGAACCTGCCTTGAGGGAATTTACCATCAAGTAGAGAAAATTAAGGAATAAACTGTGGTACTAGGGAAGCACAGCATGCCAGAGAAACACTTTCAAGAGTGCAAACAAGGGTTATCCATGACATCTAAAACCACTAAGTGAAAGGTTGATGGAAGACTTTATAATACATGGTTCAGCTAAATGGCATCAGAACCCAATGATCAATTCCAATATCTCTAAAAGTGAAACAACCAGTAATAGTGTTCCCTGCAATGTGATGGAGATACAAAGCACACAGCTTTAGAGCATACCATTTAGTGTATTACTGTAAAAAAAAAAGGTACAGAATCTAGTTAAGTCTCTGGATTTAACTACTCATTTACAGTAAATACAGGGAATAAAGGAACATGTTAAATGACACCATGTGGATACAATCAGGCAAATTCAGAATGAGAGAAATTCTACAGGGCAAATAACCTAGTTTTTTCAACAAATAAATTGAATGAAATAACAAAAGAAAGAAATAAGAGAAACCGTTAGAGATTAAAAGAGATTTAAAAGTCAAATCAATCAAATGCAATGTGTAGCTATGATTTAGATCTTGATTTAAACAAATTAACTATAAAAAGACATTTTTGGGACAATCATTTAAAATTGAATATAGACTAGATATTAAACAACATAAAGGAATTATTATTAGCTTTGTTGAGAATAATAATGGTATTGTGTGTGTGGTTTTTTAGAGTCTTTATGTTAAAGATAGATAAAAAAGAACTCGTAGATTAAATGATATGATGTTTGGGTTGGCTGAAATACTCCAGATATATTCATGTATTACTGGTACAGTTAAAAAGTAAGTGAAAAGCAAAAGAGAAAAAAAGGAACCTGGCTTTTCTTATTCATGATTAACATACATTAGCATGCGAGAGGGACCTTATTTAATCTATGGAATTGGAGTGGAAGGCAGGGCTATAGAAACCAGGTTCCAACAGGTGAAACCTTCAAGAGGGAAGCAGGGAACAAGGTGGGATGTGTTCTAAGCCTTTGCATCTAAGAGTGGTTCATGGCCCAGCAGCACTGGCATCTCCTGAGTTATTATAAATGCAAAATCTCAGGCCCACCTCAGACCCACTGAATCCAAAGCCATTTTAACAAGATCTCTAGGTGATTCACATGCACATTAAAGTTTGAGAAACACTGCTCTAAGTGCATGCTCATGTTTTAATGCAGTTGCTCCATTTTCTACCTCTGAAAGCTCTTAGTGACCAAATCTAAGATTTCATGCAGGATCCCTTGAGAGCAAAGATTTGTGTATTAATCTGCTGCAACACCTACACTGGTTCCCTTACTAATGGCTGATCCACCCCCAGCCACACAACATCCTCCCCGCCATGCTTCCTAATTGATAATCTGCCACCCATGACCTTGGCCAGATGGTGTATTGCCTTGGGACCCCTGGCCTCATCAGCTGATTCCACACTCAGGCAGAACCACATTACAAAGGGAGGCTAGTGCCCAGAGCATCCATAGAGATAGAAGGGCCCCCAAAGATTGTGGCATGCAATTAAAGGGAAAGAACTCTATTAAGTATTTTTATGAGAGGTTAAGGCCCTTTAAAGATAGGGGTCATCAGACCTGCCGTTAATCTAGTCTTGCTCTGTCCTCCAAATAGAAAATACTTTACATATGAAGAGATATGAGGAGGGCATAGGGGCAGCTGTGTAGTGCTCCAAATCCATTCAGATAAGTGGGCCTTTTTTCCACCCTCCCTCTTCTCAAGACAGGAAGGAAGGTTTGTCTCCATTAGTGTTATCTCTCCTTTTGGGCAGAACCAACGTGGGAGTAGCATCTATGTCTTCTTTGTGATTAGCTTTTGTTCATGCACATGGCTGTTTAACGAATATTGATTCTGGTGATGGGTCTGATTAATAGGGTCTGAGGTGTTTCACACTTAATACCTGAGTGGAGGTGAGGCATGTGGCATATTTCAATTCTTGGGGAACTGGCAACCACATCCTAGCCTGTTTTATGAAGTGTCTCAGAAGCAATCTCTTCCATGTTTCTGAACATTTGCCATCAGTATGCCCAGAATCTTCAAGTCTGACTTTTTTGGTGTTGCTTCAGCTGCCTGAGGATCAAGAAGACAGGGCTGAGTAGTATGACTCTGTGTGGGTAGTGGTTTAGGAAACAGGTTTAAATCCAGTTTTGTCAGCTGTATAACACTGAAATTACTCCCTCTATGCCTCAGTTTCCTACATGTAAAATGGGGATGATAATGATATCTACTTCATTGTTTTCTTGTGAGGATTAGATGAGGTGATCATATCAAGCATCCAGAACAGTACCTGGCATAGAATGAGTACTCATTAATGTGATTTATTATGATTTGCTACTTTCTAACCTCAATTCTCCAACACCAAGTGGATATCTTAGAATTCAATTCAATTTTGACACTAACTACCCACAGTTAGGGCAGACTCTACAAGTTAAGGGCAAAGTTATTTGCTTTTGACACTAACTACTCGAAGTTAACATTAGATACCACAAGTTAGAGGGCAAGGTCCCCAATAAGACTGCCCTTACTTCAGATGTCAGCTGAAAGTAGTGTCCTTGGATATCTGCAATTCTATCTGAGTTGGCTACAAATTTAGGAGTTCCCATGACCACATTCTAGTCATTTACTAAAATGACTCACAGAATTTACTGAAAGCACACTAAAATTACGGTTTTATTATAAAAGCCACAATCGGAGAACACCCCAATGGAAGAGAAAAGCAAGGTCTGGGAGAAAGGCTTGGAGCTTCTTTGCCCTCTCTGGGTGTGTCAGCCTCCTAGCATATCAACCTCTTCACCAACAAGGAAGCTCCCCTGAACTATGGTGTTCAGAGTATTTATCTAGGGTCTCATTACATAGGTATCATTGATTAAATGATTGGCCAAGTGATTGAACTCAATCTCTAGCTCCTTTGCCCTCTTTGGAGCTGAGGAGGTGAGGCTGAAAATTCCAACATTCTCATTACATCTCGGTGTTTCTGTCATGGTCAGCCTCTCCCTTAAAACTAAGGTTTTACCATGAGTTGCCTCATTAGCATAAACTGAGGTATGATCAAAAGGGGCTCTTATGAAAACAAAAGACACTCCTATTATTCAGAAAATTCCAAGAAATTTTGAGCCAGGAACCATGGGCAAAAATCAACTACACTCTGTATTATATCACATTCAATAAATATTCTGAACATTTATCTTGAGCTAGGTACTATTCTAGGCATTGGGTATATAAGAATAATAATCTATGTTTTCAATGGTTTTCTTTAAATCATAAGACAGTGCCATATTCGGATCACAAGTTGGGATCACCAACCTTGCTTCACCTTCATAACTACTCATATAGAACCGCATCTCAGGGGTTTTGAGAATCAGAATATTTTCAAGCTGTGGGGCACCTAAGAATTTGTTAATACAAATCCACTCCTTCACAGATGGAGAAACCAAAAGTTAACTGCCAAAAGGTTACCCCATGACAAATGTCATGGCTGCCAATCTGGAGCTATTTCTGCTACACCATGATCATGGGATCAGAAACATTGCCATCTTTGACAACGGAGGGCAGTAGATATTTACAATCCTTTATATTAAGGACCTACTCATCTTCCTCTACCCACTTACTTATTATGGCCCTCAGAGTTGGTTCAGACGATGTATAGTACATGCTAGGGAGAGCTGTGGTCTGGAAAATAGACTACCATTGCATATTCCCTTCTTTTCTTCTTCTAAGTAAATCAGCTCTTCCACCACCAACTTCCACTGCTGGAGTAAAGATCCTAAAACTTTAGCTAGTCCATTCAATTCAGTATTTTGGGGGGCATCTACTATGTAAAAAGCATTCTACAAACTGTTGAGCCCACAGAGCTGAATAAGACTTTGTCTTACATACCATATGTACTTAACTTGAATGCAAAACCCAATGTGAGAAATGTGGTACCAAAAGCATAATTTGCTATTAGAATATAGGGGAAAGGGAGATTAATTACTGCAAAGAGTCCTAGTGAAACACTATTTTACAAGGTACTGACCCCCCATTAGTCTGAAGGCCAATGAGAAAGGATGAAAAAATATGTTTAGTATCTCCTATGCCATGCAAAGATACATTTTATTTTACTTTCAGTTTCCTAAATGAGAAAAGTTTTCAAATAATTTTGATTATGCACTCCAATTTATAAAGCATTCTGACAATGTTATAAATATATACATATTTAGTTATGTATAAAATATGAAGATGTACTGATATGTTGTGTAAAACACAAAATGTTGTATGATAATAAAAATGATAATTTTGTAAGATTGCATTTTTCAAAGATGGCCATATCAACATAATCTGTTCCTACCTTTTCATCTTGCAGTGTGACATTGACACTACTTGACTGAAAGGCTATGTTCCTTCCCCTTGAACCTGGCAGAACTTTATAACTGTGCTGGCTAACTAGACTAGGTCATAAAAGAAGTTAATGCTTCTGCCTAGCTCTTTTTCTCTTGGGACACATGCCTTGGGAGCCCTGAGCCAACATAGGAGAAGACGGCCCACATGGAAAGCAGCTGACAGTTAGCATTAGCTCCCAGCCTTCAAGCCAACCAAAATGACACCATGTGGAGGAGAGACAAGCTATCTCTGAAAGCTTTCCCCAACTTGCAAAATAGTGAGTAAAATCAATATTGTTGCTGTTCTAAGCCAGTAAGTTTTGGGATGAATTGTTCCGTAGCACAGTAACTGGAAAAAAATAAGAAAGATGAAATTAACATTTCTAAAATTATTTTTTATTAATGATACGAAAACTTTTTGTACTCTTTTATAATTATAATTCACAATAATATTTTTAGTGAGAGTAATGTAGTTGGATACACTTTATTTTTAAAAATCAAATTTAGTTTAATGTTTTACAATGTAGTAATTCAAAGTTGTGATTCTAAGCCTAGTTTATTTATCCACTAGATTTTCATGGCAGATGTAGCCAAAAAGATACCTCACTTCATGAAAACATAATACACACCATATAAATCATACCCTGTGGTTAATGATACAAAGCTGTATTTCAAAAACTCTTGTTAATTTTTAATTTTTTTGGCTGACTTTTTTCAGAGTTTATTATATCATCTTTGCTTTAATCTCATAACATGGCTGACAAACAACTCAGGCTAAGAGTAGAATGTTGGCTCTGCCATTCTGTTGTTTGTTTTAGTCTGCTATGTCTTTGCAGGAAACTCTCAATGCCACTAATTCATTTAGTGAGAAAGAATTTGGTTAAACTAAAGAATATACAGTTGATTCTAGAACAACCCAGGGGTTAGGGAAAACATCTCCCCATCCCCCCGCCCCCCTATCCTGCACAGTTGAAAATTTGCGTATAACTTTGACTACCTCAAAACTGAAGTATTAATAGCCTACTGTTGACCATAGCCTTACTAATAACAAGCAGTCAGTTAAACATATTTTACATGTTATAGGTATTATATACTGTATTCTTAAAGTAAGCTAGAGAGAATAAAATATTATTAAGAAAATCATAAGGAAGAGAAAACATATTTACTATTCATTAAGTAGAAGTAGATCATCATAAAGATCTTCATCCTTGCTGTCTTTATTTTGAGCATGCTGAGGAAGAGGAGGAAAAGGGGGGTTGGTCTTGTTGTCTCAGAGGTGGCAGAGGTAGAAGAAAATCTAAGTATAAGTGGACCTGTGCAGTTCAAACTCCTGTTGTTCAACGGTCAACTGTAATTGCAAATACAGGCATACCTCACTTATTTGTGCCTTGCTTTTTTGCACTTTACAGTCTTTTTTTTTTTTTTGTGCAAATTGAAGGTTTGTGGCAACCTGTGTCAAGCAAATCTATCAGCTCCATTTTTCCAATATCATATGCTCACTTGATGTCTGTGTCACATTTTGGTAATTCTCACAATATTTTAAACTTTTCATTATTATTACATTGGTTATAGTGATCTGTGATTGGTGATCTTTGATGTTGCTATTGTAATTGTTTTGGGATGCCATAAACCATACCCATATAAGAAAGTAAACTTAATTGATAAATGTTGTGTGATCTGACTGCTCCACCAACTAACCATTCCATGTCTTTTTCTGTCTCCTCACGTCTCCCTATTTCCTGAGACACAACAATATTGAAATTAGGCTAGTTAATAGCTCTAAAATGGCCTCTAAGTGTTCAAATGAATGGAAGAGTCACACAGCTCTCTAAATTGAAAGCTAGAAATGATTAAACTTAGTGAAGAAGGCATGTTGAAAGCTGAGACAGGCCACAAGCTAGGGCTCTTGCACCTAATAGTTAACCAAGTTGCAAATGCAAAGAAAATGTTCTTGAAGGAACAGTTCTTGAAATTCTTGAAGGAAATTAAAAGAAAATATGAATGATAAGAAAGTGAAACAGCCTTATTGCTGATATTCATAATAGTTAATAATAATAGTGTAGGCAGCTACACTAAACAACACATTTTCAAAGTAGATGAAATAGCCTTGCATTGGAAGAAGATGCAATCTATTGCTACAGCCACTCCAACCTTCAGCAACCACCACACTGATCAGTCAGCAGCCATCAACACTGAGGCAAGACTCTCCACCAGCAAAACAATTATGGCTCTCTGAAGGCTCAGATGATTGTTAACACTTTTTTAGCAATAAAGTACTTTTAAAATAAGGCATGTATGCTGTTTTCTAGACAGAATGCTATTGCACACTTAATAGACTTCAGTATAATGTAAATATAATTTTATATGCACTGGGAAACCAGAAAATTTGTGTGACTTGCTTTATTGTGATATTCACTTTATTGCAATGATCTGTAGCTGAAACTGCAATATCTGAGGTATGCTTGTTTCTCAGTGATCTGCTCACACCTTCTCTGTTTTCCACCTCTAGTACCTCCTCATCACCCTCTGGATAAATATCCAAGCCCCAACCTGGCAGACCATATTCTCCACTCCCTCACATGTACCTGGACAAAGCATTTTTTAATCCATTACAGCCTTTATTTAGTGTCTCACAATTAATGGTCATATAATAAATTGATACATCTAAATTCAAGTCTCACAATGAATGGTTATAGAATAAATTGACAAGTCTAAATTTAAGTCAAATGTGAAGAATACATTGCCTCTTTAAAATGTATATATACCTCACCAATGATAACCGACAGAAGAGGTCCCATTTACTTGTATAATGACCTCATATGAAATGGCAGCGAAAACTACAGAACAAATTTTTTTTTTTAAAGCAGCCTGAAACTGCAGTGCTAGGGGCACAGGTTGGGGGAGTCCTTGTCATACCTAAGGAGTCTGTCTCAACCATGGCATGTTTGTCTCTTGTGGCTACTGTGGACAGCATAGTGAAAATCGTCCAATGGAGATCATCCAATAGTTAGCGTTGATCATTTTTTCAACCTTATATGTACTATATCTTTATGTGATTTTTCCAGTGGGTTCTTCCTGCCCACTGCACAGGCAAAATCAATTCTCTGAGACCACAGCATTGGAGTAGAGAAAGAGTTTAACTGATGTGAAGCCAGCCCATGAGGAGGAACTGAATTTATCACTCAAATTAGTCTCCCTAAAAACTAAGACATTAGGGGTTTTAAAGGATAGTTTGGTGGGCAAGAGACTAGGGGATGAGGAATGTTGCTTGATTGGGTATGAAATCATAGGGGTGTGGAAAAAGGTCTTGATGTGCTGAGTTGGTCTCTGGGTGGGAGCCAAAGGACCAGTTGAGACACGAGTTGGGGGTCTGGGTAGGGTCAGCCCTCATTAGCAATGCAAAAGTCTGAAAAACATCTCAAAAGGCCAATCATAGGTTCTACAACAGTGATATTATTTACAGGAGTAATTGGGGAAGTTACAATTCTTGTGACCTCTGGAACAATGGCTAGTTGTCATTTAACTACGCCTACGTCTTAGCAGAAATCAGGCCCCTCATAATCCTAACCTTGTAAGCTTTCATTAGTTTTACAAAGGCAGTTTAGTTTTGGGAAGGGCTATTATCATCCTTGCTGTAAGATTAAACTATAAACTATATTTCTCCCAAAGTTAGTTTGGCCTACGCCCAGTAATGACCAAGAACAGCTCGGAGGTTAGAAGCAAGATGGAGTCAACTACATCAGATTGCTCTCACTGTCAGAATTTTGCAAAGGCAGTTTCATTTAGAGTCATATTGTTTTGTAAATATGGCTCCTATTATCTCCAAAAGCAAACTTTTTACATGGTATACAACTTTAGTTTTGAGATGGACAGTCATGGCAAAATCTAATTTTGTTAATAAAAATTTTTTTTGTAGCTGACCCTTTAAAGAACTCAGGTCTTCTATAAAGTAGGCATATTTATATTCCTGTTTTCCTTTAGGAATAAAGGAGGAAAATGGAATAGGCAAATGCTTTCAGCTGCCAGTTATTAATGTTGTGGATTACATTCTCTGTGGATTATCAGGGGTGTGTTTTTCATTCCGGGCCAACACTGACTGTTGTACCAAGGGAATAAAAACTCATTTTAAAATTAGCCCAAGCAAAAATAAATAATAAGGAAAGAAAACGCTTTGTAAAAAAAGAATAATATGATGCAGGTGAAAGCCAGATAATATGGTTTTGCTCAATCACCACTTTGGACTGTCTTTTCCCTGCTTTTGCTTCCATTTGCATGCACAATTGTATGTTGATGACACAATAAAAATGAACATTTATGAGAAAATGTTCACCGAGATAATCAAGATTTGCTAAACTCATACTTTACACAAGCTTACTTATCCTTCAGAGGCCACCCCCATCATTCAGGAAATTTCTTTTCCCTTAGATTCCAGGTTTGGTTTGCCTTTCTTAAGTAGCTGGTGGCCCTTCTATGGAAGGAGCCAGACTTTGTGCCTCAGCGTGTCCTAGGTGTTCTAATTGCATTTCCTTATAAAATTTTCTCAGGCTTTCACAATTCCCAGGAGGTCCTAAGATGACATTTCTTAATGCTCACATTTACTTTTTATTTTCCCCTTCCTTTCTCTTTTTTTGTCATTTGGGAAATATCCTGAAGATGTGGATTTTTTTATTTTTCCAAATATATAGTGACCTAAACATCTTAACTCCTGGCAATCTCAGTTTGTGAATATCTTCATCCTTTCTTATTTTCCTTTTTACAGAAGTGATAGCATCAAAGTTAAGAGGAGAGGGTAGAATTTATTTTATACACTTTTAAAAAAATGGTAAGTCTGTATGTATGTGATGGTAATGCAGCTATTGCGGTGACTGACTTAAAATATATGGTTTATAATACAGATAAAAGAAAACTGATTGCAAATTCACCTTCCCATAGATGGTAAGATGGCCCAATAGCTCTGGCTTTAATTGTAGAGTAAATACCCAGGAAATCTTTTCTTCTCCTGCCTTAATGAACAGCAGCATGTATCAGGGCATTGGCAAATCTTGTGAAATAATCCCTTGAGGGTGGCCCATTGGGATTTAAGCAGTCGTCTCTAAGAGCCAGTCAGCCTCAATGAACTGCTCCAGGGAATGTTGCTCTGACCTTCCAGAGTTGCTTGCCATGCTTCTGCGGGCAAGCCGCTAACCTGATGAACCGAAGGCAACTGGTTTTCTTGTCCTCAACTGGAAATCACAATATTTTCATGGACCCTTCTTAGGAAGTTAAGGAAGTGCCTTTTTTTTTTTAACTCCTTTTATTATAATGCTCATTACTTGTCCTTCAACTTCATTCAAAGTAGGTGAAATTGGTCTTCTACAACTGTCTACACAGGTGGATTACTCAGCAGATTTCAGTACAAATTGCTTTTTTCCTTTCCTTTCATAGTTCTCATTTTTCAATCTAGACTTACAAATGTAGTTATTTAAAAAAAAAAAAAAGACCTTTGGGCCTAACGTATTTTTTTTTAATTGTAGTTTTAAATGGAACCTACATTGGCCCGACTTCCTTTTGTCTGAATAAAAGCTTAAGCACAGTATAAAAGGGTTGCATGTGCTGAAATGTTGCCCAAGGATATGTGTTATTATTCCTCCCCCCTTGACCAGCAGGGTCTCAGTTCTCTTTCCCTTTCAGCCTTTTGTTTGAACAGATGGGATTGGGGAAGCTAGGGGAAGAAAGCCATTCTGTTCTCATTAACTCTCCCCATACACAAACACAACCTGGGCTTCAGGGACTCAGAAACGGGACAGCTCCCACTCCATTGCCATTGAGACCTGATGTACCGAGATACAAAGAAAGCCAGGCTGAAGACCCACATCACCGTATCAACGAGACAGCTAACCAGTGAAGTCACATTTATAGATGTTTTTAGACATACATTTATGAAAATAGCACCTGAATAATATACAACACAAATATTATGGGTATAGAATAAGTCAATCTGTCATATATGGTATATTTAATATATATTATTTTCAGAAATTCATTCATCATGGAGAGTGATATCTTGAGTGTTCTGTGAACTACACAATCCTTTTTATTTTTACTATATCTTTTCTGTATACAATAGAGTCAAAATATATGAAGAATGGTGGGGTTTCTCTTATTTCAAGCATTTTTGTGCAGTTGTAATATAAAAATTATTATTAAAGTTCCTAGTTTGGATGATCTTGTTTGTTAAAGCATTCCTGACCAAGAAAAAGTCACACAAAATTTTAAACTATAGACCAAATATTGAAGGCTCTCTCTTTATGGTCCTTTTAAAAGTATAGGACTTTTTGAATATTTTGAGAGAAAGGAAAAGATTTTCCACAACTAGATGAGAGTGTTTCTCTCCCGAGGAGTTAATTCCAGGAAGTGCTATCTTTTGTTCTGAACCTGGATTAGAAAGGGGTCTGGCCTATTTGTTAGATCATATTTGCTTTTAAATCTCTGTCCATCCTCATTACTATGATGAGGGTACTGAGGCAGAGATAAAGAGAGCTGAAAAGGCTCCTTCTTATGGCTAGATGCACCTGAGCTTTTGACGCCATGAGCCCTGCGTCCCAGGAGAGCAAGGGAAAAAAGAAAACTCTGTCCAGGAAGAGATACATTTATATTTCATAGCACATCCATGCATTCAGAAAGCAGTCCCAGCGGAGTGATATGCTCCTCTTCGTCTTCCAGGACTTCTAGATGTGTGGAATACACACAATAAAAACGAAAGAGATTTACCCAGCATCTTTCTTGGTAAGATCCCCAAATGGGGGGAAATAATTGTGTCAAAAGACAAAGCATTTCTAAAGGATAAACAATCCTTTGTAGTCCTATCAAACATTTCTTGGAGTTTGTTGTAAACACAAATTAGTTTATTTTATTTACATCTGAAGAAACTGAAGTACAAAATGCCCCAAGTCTGAGTTTACAGTCAGAAAGAGAAACTGAGTGAAATTTTTACTTTTTATTAGCAAACGTTAACTCATGAAGACAGGATACCAAAGAACTTGTTGAAAATAAAATATTAAGTCAACAGTACAGATTATGGTTAACATAAAAATATGTTGATATTTAATGTGGTGTTATTCAGTTTTTACCCAAAATTGTTTCCTGATATATAGAAACAGACAAAGATTTGGACTTTAACTGGAAAAGCTTGGGATATCTCTCAACATTTTTGCTCTCACATTCGGCTCTAATTGACTAGGCTGAGGACAGGGGGAGGTGACTGTAAATTGGACAAAACATTGCAAGAAAAAAAGGCCAATGATAAAAGGCAGCCAATCCCAAGGGGGGCTGTCTAGCAGGGTGCAGCAGGGGTCAGCCCTGGGTTTAGTCCTGTTTAATATTTTTATTACCAGTCTGAAGGGGGAAGGGAAACTGCATAAAAATGAATCTGCAGATGGCTGCTCATTACAGAGGATTTGCAGACCCCAGGAAAAGCAGGAACATAATTCTGAGGTTAGTTTGGAAAGATGATCAGAGAAGAACAAAGACAATACAGACTGGAAAGCCATGAAGTGGTGAATCCGAGGGAAGTAACTCCAGTGTGGTGGGTGAAAGGCATCTCATGCTGCAGGAATTCTGAAAATGCCCTGGCAGAGGTCATTAATACAAGCAGGTTTCGCCTCTGCTTGTTGGGGAACACATACATCATTTTAGGTACTTGGACTGGCAAGGTAAAGCTCTTTTCCACCTAACATTTATGAGATTGTCCTTAGATTGCTGAATTTGGTCATACGAATAGAAAAGGAATTCAGGTTAGAATATTTGACTTCATAATTGCAGGTGCTCCTGCTGAGGGGTGATTTAAGGGATATGGAAGGCTAAAAAGACCGGTATGTGACCAGGGTCTGTGCCATGGAGACATAGGAAGGCCATTCTTTGATATGCACAGGCAGGCTCCATCCTCAGAGCCTGTCACTCCACGCAGTTGGCTCCATGGACACACATTAGCACAAAGCCTTTCTTCAGCAGAACCCTCCCCACATGCCTAGCCTCCCTAGGACTGAAGTTTCCCAATGGTCTCATTGTTTGAAGTGCTACCCCTGAAACTTCTGCAAGTATTTCTTCTATCTTCCTCATCTGCTCAACAGAGAGAGTTCATCATCAACTTATTAAATCTCCCCTATGCTCAGCAATCCTCTGTGGCTCCCCACTGCCTGTAGAAATTAGGAAATCTTAAGCATTCTTTAGTTTAGGATTCTGATTATCTCTCAAAGAACATAAAGATTATGGCATTGTCCCTGAAATCAGATTGACTGACTTCAAATTGTATTCCTCACCAAAGGCCCACGACTAGGCACTTTCTTCACCTACCAAATGGGAATGATAAAAATAATATCAGCTGCCTAGCATAGTTGTCAGGGCCAAGGGAGGTAAATATATATCAAATGCTTATACAGTGTCTCATACACTGCAAGCTCAATGGATGTCAAGCTTTCCCTTTGACGATTATCCAAATCTTTTAGAAGTAATCTTCCTTGGTTTACTTATATGTGTTTTATTTTCCAGGAAAATATTTAACCAATCACATAAAAGTAATATTTTTATATGAAGTAGAAGCTTCATGAACTGCTTCATGTTCACACAGGTGCTGATGTTTGCAACTGATGCTTGTAACTCTGCCTGCCTCACAGCATGTCAGATAGCATCCTTCACCCTCTATCCTCAGCCAGACTTTCCAGCCTCAGCCACCCCTCCCCTGGTGTCTTCCAGGCATATCTGATTACTCACCTTCTCTGACCCACCATGGACATGATTACCCATGCTGTTCCCCCTACCTCACTTGCCTTGGATCTCCATGCCTCTGTGTGTTACTCAGCGACACATAGTAGCAAACCCCAGTTATTCTCTTTAAGACCGACCAAGGTGGCACCTCTTCTGTGAAGCCTTCTAGAACTACTCCCTGCCACCCCTTCTCTGAGAAATCTAGTCTCTTCCTGGGGGTTCCCACTATTGGAACTGCTGCATATCTGTTTCTATCTCTATTCTGACAGCTCCTGGGGTCAGAACTGTGTCTTACTCAACTCATATCTCAAATTCCTGGCACAAAAGTCCTCAATAAATGTTTGCCAACTGTTTTAGTTAAACTTGTTGAATTCATGAATGAAAGTTATTCTTACTAGAGAAAGTACAGAAAACCAAGGATCTCCTAGGAAAGGGGCAGATCTGAGGTATGGAGAGAGACAAGAGCCTGGTCTATCCACTAGGACCCCTGCTGGAGAGAGAAAGTTCTTTGAAATTAACAGTGGAACTCAGAGCCAGTCGCCTGTGGGACTGGGTCTGGGTTAGCCAAAGAGAGGTGTTAGAAATGAGACCCTAAATGCAATTCCACTATTGGAGCCGCCTCCTTCCTCCAGCACGCAGCAGCACGTCTGTCCTGGGACAGGCACACAGACTGTGTAATCAGGCTCAGCTGGTAATCAGGAAGCTGCCAAACGGACGCGAGACTAAATTATCTCCCTGTCCCAGACAAAGTGGCCTTCTAGATGAGGGTTAAAACCAGTGATGGTAGAGAAAACAAAGGAAGGAAAGTGGCAGCTGCTACCAAACACCTGGCCAGTGGACGGCTCCCAATCCGTCCTTATTCACTCACAGACCCTCTGAAGCCAGGGCTGCTTAATAAGAAACCGGTGTTTCAGACCTAGGGTACTTGGTGCCAAAGTCATCGTTAGAGGAGGAAAACAATTTATGCCCACAGGGACAACATAAGGGGGCAGAACCAGTTTCCTGTCAACAGCTCTAACACTTGCCAATGGCTGGCCAAGTAAACTTGGATGAGAGAATGTGCCTCAGTTTCTTCCTTTGTTAATTGAAGAGGTTGTGTCCTCACATCCAAGATGAAGATGGTAAGACCTTTTTGTGTGATCTCTTTGTTTCTATGACCTTGAAGGGCTGGGAGAAACCTTGCAGTTGTGGTCAGAACCGTATGAGTTCATGAGCTGTGGGATAAAAAGTGCTATAGAAAGGAAAGAAAACCCAGGTAATCAAATGATTACCTAGAAAAGGGGCAGATCTGAGGCTTGGAAAAAAACATGAGCCTATGAGTCTAGTCTATTTAGCAGATACTTATTAAACGCTCCATGTGCCAGGCATGGCAAAAGCAACCTGAAGCTTGCCCCTGCCTTCATGGAGCTCACATATTGGGACAAATGGACAGTAAACAAATCTTCCTATGAGTGAGCATGAAATTGTACCTCTAAGTGGTGTGAAGAGGAAAAGAATTATGGAAGTGGCTAGTGGGGGACTTTATCTCCTCAGGGAAGGTCACTGAGGTAGTGTCAACTGTGCTGAGAGCTGAAGGGTAAGTGCAGTTCACTCCACAAAGAAGGGAAGGATGGGCATTCCAAGCTGCTGGAAGAGCATGGCAGTTGCAAGTGTGCCAGGTCTTCTTATTCACTGCAATTATTGTCTGGTTCAGACATATTTTATACTATACTATACTATACTATACTATACTATACTATACTATACTATACTACTCTTTAGAGCAAGACTGCTTTCCACTGTGGGAGTGGGCATGTGTGATGTGGCAGGGGTTCTTCCTGAGCAGGATGATAAACTTAACACTTCATCAGCAGCTGGAGGCAGGTATCATGTTTTCCTCAGTTGCACTGGCCAGTAGGAACGAGGTCAAGATGTCCTGATACAGCACCTGGGTAGCAAGCAATAAGATGGGCAGGACTTCCTCTAAGGGAGGCATTTTAGACAAGACTTGTCATGTGTATTAATCAACTATTCTTATTGGAATGCTGAGAAACAAGTTGGCCTAGCACCCAGTGGTCACCACAGCCAGCCTTTACACTCAGGCTTATGGTCTGCAGGTTTTCTACAATTTAGCTGCTCTAGGATGAGCCGCCCAGGAGTCTCTGCTTCAGGCTGTGGGTTTTCTAGGTGGTGCTCCTGGCTTCAGGTTGGGCTTAGGTCCGGTCCACATGTCATTCTAGGGTCTAGGCTGAAGGGGAAGTGCTACTGAAGGCTTATCTTCTCATGGAAGATCAATGGATGCAAAAGCCAAACGACACACGCACATTTAAGGTCTCTGTCAATGTCACGTCCATTAATATTCCATTGGTCAAAGAAAGTCAGGCATGGCTCAGCATCAATGAGACAGGGATGTATATTCTGTCCACAGTGGGAAGGGATAGGGAATGAATATTTGCTGAACAATAATCTAAATTATCACACTATCCTTAAGACCACCCCGTGGTTACCTTAGGATCAGAAATCAGTACTCTGGAAAGTCGCTATTTGTACTGACTGCTATAATTTCATTTTTGTTCTCCCTTAGTATTTAGTTAAATTCATTTTGAAAATGTCAGATTGTCTCAGCTGTGCTATGAAGAACCAAGGGAAACAATTTTGTCCACTTTTGAACTTGACTGTTAAATGGAAACTGATGTGCCCTAGGGTGAGAATCTCAAGTGGGAGGTGAAAACTCAGGAGAATGGTTTCTAAAAATTCTTGTTCAGTTGCCTCTCCTGCTTGGGTGGATTCTTCTTCCAGCATTCTTCTCTGCTCACACCTTGGAGGATACTGGGGTTTGATTTCAGAAGAAAACAGTTTCTTTGCAGCGTGCGTGATGTGTCGGACTACAGCATAAATACATTCAATGTGCTATCTGTACTAGGCCAGCATCCTTCTGGTTGCCTTGCCATCCACAGCTGCATTGCTATTAGTAGAGCAGGGGAGCTGAGAACCTCCCTGTAGGCCCACTTGACACATCCTGGGGCATTTCCGTGGAAGCCAACAGCTCCAGGAATTTAGTTGGCAAACCACAACAAATTATTGGCCTACATGACCTCAAAGGTCCTTCCTGTTACAAGGCAGGGCTCACCTCGTCTGCTAGAGTGCCCTCTAAGACAGGCGAAAGATTGAAACTAACCCCTCCCAACAGTGGGACACCTGGCTATAAAAGACTTGGCCCCCTGCCTTTTGCTCTTTCACACACAAATTCAGGTTTTCAGGGATAAAGAGTATATGTTAAAAATTCTGAGCATAGTGTACTATTTTCAAATCTTTAATTGCAAAGGACAGAAAAAAAAACTTGATCCAGGTTAAGCAAAATAGGGAGAATTTATTAGCTTGCACATTCAGCTTCAGAAAGATCAGGGAGATTTGATCTGAAGACAACGGAAACGAAAGATTCAAAAACCTCTCTTTCTTCTCTTATCTCTGCTTTTATTATGTGTTGATTCTCTTATCTCCTCCTGATGTGTCTTGAGTCAGCTCTGGACTGCCATTCTTCAAGCTTAGTAACTACAGAAGGGGAAAATGTCTTTTGGCATACCGTATCCAGTTAAGAAACATCTGCTTGGGGGCTCTGCTTGGACCATCCTGGGCTGTGTGTCTCTCCTAGGACCTATCACTATGGACAGAGGGTGGGGTGTGCTCTGTGTGGGGCAGAATCCACTGGTGCAGCATGGCTGCTGGCAGAAGGCTACTACGAGAAGAAGGGGGAAAGTAAGAAGAAAGAGAGATAACAGAAATCCATCACAGCTGTCATTCTAGGCTTCCTTCAGCCGGGATCCAGCATACGTTCACAGCATTATTGCTCATTAAGGCTATACACAGCCTTCACTCCAGCCAGACTGTCCCTTGGTTTTTGCTTTTGTTTCTTGTGCCTGGCATGTCCTTTTCTTCCTTCTCTAACAGGCTAAATATTGCACGTTTTCCAAGGGTCATTTCAAATCCAGCCTCCTCCAGAAAGATCTTTTCATCCATCCTATATATTCCCTCCTTTTCCTGAGACAGAATCTTCTATGCATATATTCAGTGGTGTGCTGGCAAATGTTTAACAGTGCTCCTGGAAAACAAACAAAACCCTAATTTATTATTTGCCAGTTTCCATGGTGTAAATATTCTCATCATGATCAATTTCATGTTACCAACATGACATCACTGACTGCAGAGTTGGTAAGAGGTGTGCAATAGAGCACCATTATACAGAATTTCTGCAATACAGATAGAATAGATTAAAATAATTTGAAGAGCATATCTATTAGGAAATTATAGTAAAATAAGCAAGAAGTGTATGACTGGGGTATTTGTTAACTTTGTTTTAATATAATGTATTTAATCATGTTTATATAATTTAATTTTCAACATGGTCATATTTAATAATCACCTCATAAAATTTTCACCTATTGAAAAATTAATAGCTATAGCTTGTCTTTTCTACAATTTCATTTATATAGAATCATATACTATGTAGTCTTTTGACTCTGAGTTCTTTCACTAAGCATGACAACTCGCGTTGTTGCATATATCAGCAGTTTGTATTTTTTTATTGATGAAGAGTAGTCCATTATATGGATACACCACAAAGTTTTACCTGTTCATAATTTAATTTGTTTCCAGTTTTTGGCTATTATGCATAAATCTGCTAGGAACATTCATTCATTCGTTTACAGGTCTTTGGTCATGAGTTTTCACTTGTCTTGGATGAATATCTAGAGGATCGTTGAGTTGTACGGTAAGGGTGTTTAACCCTAAAAGAAACCACCAAAATGTTTTCCAAAGAGGATGTACTATTTTGCATTCTTACCAGAAATGTCTGAGAGTTCCAGTTGCACCACGTGCTAACACTTAATGTGGTCAGTCTTTTTAATTTTAGCCATTCCAGTGAGTAATGCAGTGGTATCTTACTTTGATTTTTATATACATTTCTCTAATGATTAGTGATGTTAAGCATTGTTTCACATGTTTATTCACCATTCATGTATCTTCTTTGGTGAAGTGTTCATTCAAATATTTTGCTCAATTATTAATTGGATTATGTGTCTTATTATTGTAAAAATTACTTGTATATTCTGGGTGCAAGTTATTGATCAGATATATATTTTGCAAATATGTTCATGCAGTCTATGGCTTTCATTTTCTCAATGATATCCTTTAAAGATCAAAGGTTTTTAATTTTAATGAGGTTGAATATCCTTTAAAGATAAAAGGTTTTTAATTTTAATGAGGTCCAATTTATCACTTTTTAGTGGTTCTTTATTTTTATGTTCTACCTAAGAAGACTTTGCCCAATTCACAGTCACAAATATTTTCTGTCACATAACTAAAAGTATCATTATTTTTTAGCTCTTACATTTAGGACTGCAAGGAATTTTAATTTAATTTTTGTGTATAGCATGAAGCAAGGTTTAAGTTTAATTATTTTGCACAGGGATATCCAATTTTTTCAAGGCTATTTTTGAAAACTATCTTTTCCCCATTGAATTATCTTGACAACATTGTTGAAAATCAATTCATCATATTCATTTGAGTCTGCTCTCAGACCTCTGTTTTGTTACATTGTGTCTAGGCTTATGCCAATATAATACTATCTTCTTTAATGTAGCTTTACAGTAAGTCTTGAAATCAAGTAGGGTAGGTCCTCAAGCTTTCTATTTCAAAAGTCTTCTGACTAGTGGTGATCATTTTTATTTCCATATAAATTTTAAAGTCAGTTTGCCAATTTCTATAAAAATGATTTCTGAGATTTTCATTAGGATTATATTGAACATATAGTCCAGTTTGTTGAGAATTAAAGTCTTAACAAAATGGAATTTTCCAATCCATAAGCATGGTGTATTGCTTCATTTGTTTAGGTAATTTTTTTATTTCTGTTAGCAATATTTTATAGTTTTTAGTATAAAGGTTTTGTACATGTTATTAAATATATCCCTGTAAATGTTGCTATGGTAAATAGTATTTTAAAATTACTTTCTAACTTTTGATTACTAGCATATAGAAATAAAGTTGATTTTTGCATACTGACATGTCTTTTAACCTTGCTAAACTCACTGATTAGTTGTAGAAGCTTTTGTTGTAAATTCCTTAGAATTTTTTACATAGACCATCATGTCATCTACAAATGGAAACTTTTTTTTTCTTTTTAATCTGTATATGTTGTATTTCTTTTTCTTGTCTTATTGGATTGGCTAGGCCTCCAGTACAATGTTCAATAAAAATGGTGAGAGTTGAAAGTCCTGTTTAATTTTAGGAGGAAAAATGTGTTCAGTCTTTCCCTGTGAAATATGAAGTTATTTATGATTTTTTGAAATTGCTCCTTTTCAAGTTGAGGAAATTCCTTTCTATTTCTCATTCGCTGAGAGTTCTTTTTTTTAGTCATGAATGGATGTTGAGCTTTCAAATGCTTTTTTATCCATCTATTGAAATGATCACTTTTTTTTTGTTTTTCTGTTTATATGATAAATTACATTGATTAATTTTCAAAATCAATCTTGCATTTCTGAAATATATCCCACTTGGTCATGATAATATACTGCTGGATTCAGTTTGCTAAGGTAATTTTAAGAATTTTTGTTTTGTAGTTTTGGTTTGTAGTTTTCTTTCTTACAATATCATTTTCTTGTTTTCTTGCCTTCCTAAAAATGAGAGGGGAGGGTTTCCTTCTTTCTTGTTTTCTCGAAGAGTTTGAGTAGGGTTGGGATTATTTCTCCCTTAAATGTGAAGCCATATGGGCCTGGAGTACTCTTTGTGAGAAGGGTTTTAACAACACATTCAAATTTCTTAATAGATATAAGGCTGCTTTGCTTATTTATTTCTTCCTGAACAAATTTTGGTAGTTTGTATCTTTCAAGGAATTTTGTAAGATATGTAATGATGTTCCTGCTTTCATTCATAATTTTGGTAATTTGTGTCATTTTTCTGATTAGTATTGGTGAAGTTTTTTTATCGGTTTTATGTATCTTTTCAAAGAACCATCTTTTGGGTACATTAATTTTCTCTATTTTCTCTTTTATTTCATTAATTTCTGCTCTCATCTTTACAATTTCCTTCTTTCTGCTTATTTTGGAGTTAATTTTGCTTTATTTCTGGTTTCTTACAAGTGAAGCTGAGATAACTGCTTTGAGACCTCTCCTCATTTCTCAATAAGCATTTAATGCTCTCAAATTCCTTTAAAGAAATACTTCAGAAGTATCTTACAAGTTTTGATATCTAGTGTTTTTATGTTTATCCAATTCAAAATATCTTTGAATTTTTCTTGTGATTTTACTTTTGACCAATGAGCTATTTGGAGGTGTCTTATTAATTTCAAAATATTTGATGATTGTTTTCATATTTTTGTTATTTATTTCTTTTTTTTAGACAGAGTTTCACTCTTGTTGCCCCGGCTGGAGTGCAATTGTGCGATCTCTGCTCACCGCAACCTACAGGTTCAAGTGATTCTCCTGTGTGAGCCTCCCGAGTAGCAGGAATTACAGGCATGTGCCACCACTCCCAGCTAATTTTGTATTTTTAGTAGAGATGGGGTTTCTCCATGTTGGTCAGGCTGGTTTGAACTCCCGACCTCAGGTGATCCACCCACCTCGGCCTCCCAAAGTGCTGGGATTACAGGTGTGAGCCACCGCGCCTGGCCTTTGTTATTTATTTCTAATTTAATTCTACTGTAATCAGAGAACACACTCTGCATGATTTCAACATTTATATCCACTGACACTTGTTTCATGGCCCAGAATATGGTCTACCTTCTTGATCCATGTGTATTTAAAAAGTATGCGCATTTTGCCACATTAAAAAGTGAAGTATTCCATAAATATCAGTTAGCTCAAATTGATTGACAGTGCTATTCAAGATGTCTATACCCTAATTTTCAGCCTACTTGTTACTGAGAGAGAAATATTAAAATATCGGACTATATAGAAATATTAAAATCAGTTATTGAGAGAGAAAAATTAAAATATCTGACCGTAGTAGTATATTATCTATTTCTCCCTTCAGTTCTATCAGGTTTGTCTTATTTATTTTGAAGCTATATTATTAGGTGCATATAGACTTATAGATTTTAGGTATATTGGTGAATTGACCCATTTATCCTTATGAAATGTTCCTCATTATCTCTGGTAAATTCCTAGTTTCAAAATTAATATGGGCATTCCAACTTTCCTTTGATTAGTATTAATATTTACTTGAAATTTCTTTTTCTGTCCTGTCTTTAACATATCTGCATTTTATATACTGCTACTTCATATATAAAATAACAACCCTACAACAGTAAATCTCCATCTCTCCCATTCTATTCTTTATGCTATTGTTATAATACATTTTACTTTTTTAAAAAAGAGTCAAGGTCTTTTTACTTTTATATAGGCTATATATCCCATAATACATTTATATCATTTTTGCTTTAAACAGTCATACTTAACAGATTCTTCTGGAGCTACACATTCCTTTGTTGAGTTCCAAATTTTCAACTGACATCATGTTCCTTCTTCCTGTGGAAATTCCTTTAACACTTCTTGTAGTGAAGGTCTGTGGATCATGAATTTGTCAGCCTTTATTTATCTGAAAAAGTCTTAATTTCTCCTTTTTATTAATAATTTATATAGCATTATTGATATATAATTTGCCTATAGTAAGTTGCACTATGTAATGTACAATTTTATGTGCATTTCTGTGCATGTATATATAACCAAAATCAAGATGATAAACTTTTCCATCCTCACAAGTTTTTTTATGCCCTTTTAAAATCCATTCTTACTTGTTACTCCTGAAACATATTTTCTCTTAGCAAAACATTCTAGGTCGACAGGTTTTTTTCTTTCATTTTTCTCTACAGTTATTTGGCTTGGATAGTTTCTAGAAAGAAGTATGCTATCATTCTTATACTTGTTCCTCTGTAGATAAAATATTTTCTCTAGTTGCTTTTAATAATTCTTGTTATCTTCTGTCTCCAGAAATTTCATTATAATTTGCCTTGTTTTCCTTTTATCCTTTCTCTGATGGGGTTTGTTAAACTTCGTGAATGTGTAGGTTTATAGTTTTCATCAAGTGTGGAAAGCTTTTAGCCATTTCTTTCTTTCTTTTTTTTTTTTTTCAGAGGCAGAAAATCTAACCTGTTCCAATTTGTTCCTATTTTTTTTTATTATACTTTTAAGTTTTAGGGTACATGTGCACATTGTGCAGCTTAGTTACATATGAATACATGTGCCATGCTGGTGCGCTGCACCCACTAACTCGTCATCTAGCATTAGGTATATCTCCCAATGCTATCCCTCCCCCTCCCCCCACCCCACAACAGTCCCCAGAGTGTGATATTCCCCTTCCTGTGTCCATGTGTTCTCATTGTTCAATTCCCACCTATGAGTGAGAATATGCGGTGTTTGGTTTTTTGTTCTTGCGATAGTTTGCTGAGAATGATTTCCAACTTCATCCATGTCCCTACAAAGGACATGAACTCATCATTTTTTATGGCTGCATAGTATTCCATGGTGTATATGTGCCACATTTTCTTAATCCAGTCTATCATTGTTGCACATTTGGGTTGGTTCCAAGTCTTTGCTATTGTGAATAATGCCACAATAAACATACGTGTGCATGTGTCTTTATAGCAGCATGATTTATAGTCCTTTGGGTATATACCCAGTAATGGGATGGCTGGGTCAAATGGTATTTCTAGTTCTAGATCCCTGAGGAATCGCCACACTGACTTCCACAATGGTTGAACTAGTTTACAGTCCCACCAACAGTGTAAAAGTGTTCCTATTTCTCCACATCCTCTCCAGCACCTGTTGTTTCCTGACTTTTTAATGATTGCCATTCTAACTGGTGTGAGATGGTATCTAGCCATTTATTTCTTGAAATTTTTTTTTTTTCTGATCCCTCCTCTCTCTGCTCTTTCAGGGCTTCCAATTATGTGTACAATAAGCTATTTATCATTGTCTCATAGGTCACTGGGATTCTATTTTTTTCAAATTAGTTTGTCTATACTCTATTTACGTAGTTTTCATTGCTATTTCTTCTGGTTCACTGATCTATTTTTACCCCAATGTCTAATCTGGGTTTAATCCCATATAGTATATTTTTTATTCCAGATACATTTGCTCCTCTATTTGTAGTAGGGTTATGTCCCAATAAATCCATTCTAAGTTGAAAATAAGTTGAAAATGCATTTAATATACCTAGTCTACTGAATATCTTAGTTTAGCCTAGCCTACCTTAAACATGCTCAGAGCTCTTATATTTGCCTATAGTTGGGCAAAATCATCTAACGCAAAGCCTATTTTATAAGAAATAATTGATTATCCTATGTAATTTATTGAATACTACATTGAGAGTGAAAAACAGAACAATTGTATGGGTACTCAAAGTATGGTTTCTGCTGAATGCATATTGCCTTTGCACCATGGTATAGTTTAAAGAGTGTTAAGTTGAACCATCATAAGTTAGGGACCATCAGTATTTTATTTTTCAGATCTAGAAGTTACATTCAGGTTTGTTGGTGCAGACATACCCTTGTTGCTTAGATACTTGGATCACTTAATTAGTCCTATCCAGTATTAGGTAAGGCCAAGGAATTTCTTGGTAATAGCCCAGCAGAGAGTAGTGAATGTGAAATATATAGACATGGATCACCTAGCTTATTAGTTGTGTCACCTCAGAAAAGTCACTTAACTTCTCTGAGTTCAAGGATTCTCATCTATAAAATTGGAGTGAGTGATAATAATATTAACTGACTGTATACAAATTCCTTGGAGTAGCAAACAAGTGGAGTAGGTATTTGGGACCATGAGGCCCCTCCCTCAAGCTCTGCAACCTCACCACTTTGAAAGCTGGCTTTAGTTATGAGTCAGAGGGAGGATTAGCAGTTCCTTTACTCTAGGAAGGAGTGGCAATGGAATGTCTCTGAATGCTACCAATGCAGACCACATGTTGCAAGATACAGCAGCTATTCCTGAAGCAGTGCTGAGATGCTGCCCTAGCAGATATCATTCCTGTTCTTATGAGCCCACAGGCCTTGGGGTGCCACTGCACCAACACCACAAGGACCTGCCCCATGCTTTACCTCAGTCATGTGTCTATGCACTCCAAAGCACCTGAGAGCTCTGACCACAGGACAAAATCACACAGAAACCTGAGCACCTCAGCTGCATCAGGCTGGTTGTATGCTGAGGATGACAGGGGATTTCAGAGACTGGGTGGCTGCTACCACAAGAACCTAGCAAACAGGACAGGCAGAAAGAAGAATCCAAGGACTATATTAAAGCATGACTCAGAAAACCTAAAAGAGCCAGACACACTGAGAATGCTTGTCCTGGAACAGTTAAGGAGAAAGTATTCCTCCCACTCTAAACTTATCCCATAGCTTGTGAGGCAAGGAGACAGGGCTATAAAGGGCGACACAAGCTGAACCAGTGCTCATATACCTAACAAGGAGTGAAATGTGCCATGTATTCTTCAGGCTCTGTGAGCAGGGTTAGGCACGATGACTGCTACTCAAGTCACAGGGACAAAACTCCGGGAAGTGTCCATAGAGAGGGGATCTCAATGCACACATTGCAAGCTCTGTTTCAGTGTAGCTCAGGGTTTTTCAACCTTAGCACTAGTGACATTTTGGTTTGGACAGTTCTTTGTAGTGGAGAGTTGTTTTGTGCATTGTGGAATATTTAGCACATCACTGAGCTCTGTTCACTAGGGGCCAGGAACACCCCAGCCAACACATCTCTGAGTTGTGGCTATCAAAAATGTTTCCAGACACTGCCAAATCAAAATCACCTCTGATTGAGAATCAACTAATCTAGACTTCTGGTATTAAGCCTCAAAAGAAGTGAAAGCACTTGCAACAATACTTCCTGAGACTAGAACTTGGCGTGAAATACAGAGACCTCTGCTAAAAATCCAACACTTATGTTGATTTATTCATATCTGTGAAGCCAAAGCCATTATTTAGCTAAAAATTTTGCCCCAAGCACTTAACAGAAGTGTACAGTGTAGTGGTTAATTACACATACTCTGGTGCCAGAATCCCAGCTGCTTGGGACACAACTTTACTGCCTACTATCAGGCGACATCGGGCAAGGGAATACCACCTTTTTTCACCTTTTTATTTATCTGTAAAATGTAGACAATGCCAGTGACTACTTCTGGCATTCTTCTATTCTGCCTCACAGAATATATATCTGTGAGGATATATATTCTTCATTGCATGTAAGATGCTCGGTACGGCACTTGGGACATGGTGAGTCCTACAAATGGCCTGTTTCAGCACTTCTCAGCTGGGGGTTGTGACAGTGTTCCCAGGGTTCATGACATTAATGGCACTATGGCATCTTATTCAATTTTATTTTTTTATAAGTATCTTAAATACTAACCTAAATGTCTTGCCACTTAAAATAAAACTGCTGAGTGCCTCTGATTAAATATATTAGTCCACATGGCCCTTAGTGGGGTCAGATGGGCCAGCTCCTGACTCACGCTCTCAGATGATCACTCAGCTGCCACAGTGGTTTTGATTCTTGCAGAGCTTTCAATTATCTTTGTTCTTAGTCACCATATTGCCTAATTTGTGCCTATAACACATAAAGACAAGAACATACAAGAAACTTTGGTACTGAAACACAAGGGAAGAGGAACATACCAATATTATTAATTCTGCAAGTTCACCTCAAGGTGATTTTCATAACTCTATTAGTTTAATTTATCTGACCTAAATCCCATGTACACATCCAGATGTCTCCTAAAATATCTAAAATGAGAGTGCAAAAGATACTATCATAATTATAACAGATTTGGCTTTTCATTTATTAGGAAGGAAGAGATTGCTCACACTTATGTTATCTGTCTCAAAGCATTTACAAATGGTCTGATACCCACCCAAGTGGACATTGTGACTGCAGTGTCCTCAGTCTCCTCAATCCTCTGACTTTTGACAGTGACCTGAGTATTGTTTGGGTATTCCACCCCTCTCTGGCAGCCCAGCTTTCAGGGAACTGACCCCACCGGAGTCTGAGTGGATTCTATTTTTCAGTTGTGAGCACATGATTCAATTTTAGTTTATGAGATTGGAGAAGATGGCTGGGCTGGTTTCTGAGGGGACAAAAAATCGTCACACTCTCTTTCTGGAGGAAAAATTATGGAGCCCTGGAGTTGTTTGCAGTCATCTTTCAACAACCAGGCTTAGCCACTACTATGATGAGGGTTTAAGACAAGAGAAGGCAGTCTTTCTAACTGGTGTGAGATGGTGTCTCATTGTGGTTTTGATTTGCATTTCTCTGATGACCAGTGATGATGAGCATTTTTTCATGTGTCTGTTGGCTGCATAAATGTCTTCTTTTGACAAGTGTCTGTTCATATCCCTTGCCCACTTTTTGATGGGGTTGTTTGATTTTTTCTTGTAAATTTGTTTGAGTCCTTTGTAGATTCTGGATATTAGCCCTTTGCCAGATAGGTAGATTGCAAAAATTTTCTCCCATTCTGTAGGTTGCCTGTTCGTGCTGATGGTAGTTTCTTTTGCTGTGCAGATGCTCTTTAGTTTAATTAGATCCCATTTGTCTATTTTTGCTTTTGTTGCCATTGCTTTTGGCATTTTAGTCATGAAGCCCTTGCCCATGCCTATGTCCTGAATGGTAATGCCTAAGTTTTCTTCTAGGGTTTTTATGGTTTTAGGTCTAACATTTAAGTCTTTAATCCATCGTGAATTAATTTTTGTATAAGGTGTAAGGAAGGGATCCAGTTTCAGCTTTCTACATATGGCTAGCCAGTTTTCCCAGCACCATTTATTAAATAGGGAATCCTTTTCCCATTTCTTCTTTTTGTTAGGTTTGTCAAAGATCAGATGTTTGCAGATGTGTGGTGTTATTTCTGAGGACTCTGTTCTGTTCCATTGGTCTATATATCTGTTTTGGTACCAGTAACATGCTGTTTTGGTTACTGTAGCCTTGTAATATAGTTTGAAGTCAGGTAGCATGATGCCTCCAGCTTTGTTCTTTTTGCTTAAGATTGTCTTGGCTATAAGGACTCTTTTTTTTGGTTCCATATGAAATTTAAAGTAGTTTTTTCCAGTTCTGTGAAGAAAGTCATTGGTAGCTTGATGGGGATGGCATTGAATCTAAAAATTACCTTGGGCAGTATGGCCATTTCCACAATGCTGATTCTTTCTATCCATGAGCATGGAATGTTCTTCCATTTGTTTGTGTCCTCTTTGATTTCATTGAGCAGTGGTTTGTAGTTCTCCTTGAAGAGGTCCTTCACATCCCTTTTACATTGGATTCTTAGGTATTTTATTCTCTTTGTAGCAATTGTGAATGGGAGTTCACTCATGATTTGGCTCTCTGTTTGTCTGTTATTGGTGTATAAGAATGCTTGTGATTTTTGTTCATTGATTTCGTATCACACCAGTTAGAATGGCGATCATTAAAAAGTCAGGAAACAACAGGTGATGGAGAGGATGTGGAGAAATTGGAACACATTTACACTATTGGTGGGAGTGTAAACTAGTTCAACCATTGTGGAAGACAGTGTGGCGATTCCCCAAGTATCTAGAACTAGAAATGTCATTTGACCCAGCGATCCCATTACTGGGTATATACCCAAAGGAATATAAATCATGTGACTATAAAGACATATGCACATATATGTTTATTGCAGCACTATTCACCATAGCAAAGACTTGGAGCCAACCCAGATGTCCATCAGTGATAGACTGGATTAAGAAAATGTGGCACATATACACCATGGAATACTATGCAGCCATAAAAAAGGATGAGTTCTTGTCCTTTGCAGAGACATGGATGAAGCAGGAAACCATCATTCTGAGCAAACTATCACAAGGACAGAAAACCAAATACCGCATGTTCTCACTCATAGGTGGGAATTGAACAATGAGAACACTTGGACACAGGGCAGGGAACATCACACACCAAGGCCTGTTGTGGGGTAGGAGGATGGGAGAGGGATAGCATTAGGGGAAATACCTAATGTAAATGAAGAGTTAATGGGTGCAGTGAACCAACAAGGCACATGTATACATATGTAACAAGCCTGCACATTGTGCACATGTACCCTAGAACTTAAAGTATTAAAAAAAAAAAAAGACAAGAGAAGGCAGAGCAGAGAGATGAAAACAGAAAACATCTGAAGGTGTTCTTGAGCAGACAAATCACACTGACCCTACAGCCCTCCCCATCTCTAGTTACACAAGCTGAGCTAGCTTGCATTGGATTTTTGTTACTTGCATTCTAGCATAATCTTACTGATATACCATTAGCTTTTTTTCTTTTCTTTTCTTTTTCTTTTTCTATTTTTTTTTTTTTTTTTTTTTTTTTTGAGATGGCGTTTCGCTGGGATTACAGGCGCACACCACCAGGCCCGGCTAATTTTTTAAATGTTTTTTAGTAGAGATGGGGTTTTGCCATGTTGACCAGGCTGGTCTTGAACTTCTGACCTCAGGTGATCTGCCCACCTCGGCCTACCAAAGTGTTGGGATTACAGGCATGAGCCATGGCACCCAGCCTATCATTAGCTTTTCTAATTATTTAGAAATAAACAAAACTTTATACAAACTAAACTACTTGAAATAAGTAATCTGCAAGAATACTCACCATCCGCTCATGAAAGCAGTTTTTGTCTACTTTTACTTGTATAATACATAGATAAATGAAGTGGACTGAAATTTTATGGCCCCTACCTCATTGATATGTTGAAGTCCTAAACCTCAATGTGATGATATTTGGAGGGGGGACCTTCAAGAGGTGATTAGGTAATGAAAGGTAGTCCTCATGAATGAGATTAGTGTCTTTATAAAAGGGACCCCTGTAAGATTCCTCAGCCCTGCCACTGCATGAGGACACAAAGAGAAGACAGTTGTCTATGAACCAGATAGCAGGCCCTCCAGTGGACACCAAATCTGCTGGCAGCTTCATCTTGAACTTCCCAATATCCAGAACTGTACGAAATAAATTTCTGTTGTTTATAAGCCACCCTGTCTATGGTATGCTGTTATAGCAGTCCAAATTGACTAAGACACACATTTTCAATTTTCTAAGGCTTCTGCTTCCAGGCAAAATGGAGTAACAGGGACCAAACCAATTTCCCCTCCCATCTGAAACAACTAAAAAATAAAAAAATAAAAAACATTTGAAGCAACAGTTTTTAAGATACTGCACAGTAGGCAACAAAAGAGCATAATCCCTGGGAGATAGGAAGCAAATCATTTAAAGCCTACAGTTGCCCCACAGAATGCCTGGAGAGAGCTTTTAGGCAGTGGCACAGGGAGGGGTAACTAAGGAGGATTCCTCTGTTGGGAAGATAGAACTGAGGATCCAAGGAGACCAAGGAGTCTGAAAGCTGCACAGAGAGACAGCCTGGAAGAGTGGCAGGGCGTTACCCTCCGGTTCTTGAGCAGAGCACTGATCAATGCATGTGTTTTAAGGAAACTATGTCAGACTAGCGAAAAGAACAATCTAAAGGATTCAACTAGAAAGAATAGTACCCAGTGCCCACACAGAGCCAGTGATGATGCCGACTTTCACCAACCAGGCTGGAAAACCTCAGAATACCTGTGTATTCTGATTATGAATACATTGGGTGAGCTTTCAGAAAAGTCTTGCCTCAGTAGTGGAGAATAACTAGTCTTAGGCTCATCGCTGCTTTTGCCCTACCAAAAACAAAACGAAACAAAACAAAACAAAATCTTATTATTAAGACCTGAATGGATCAAACTGTTTCCAAATAACTTAACTGCATTTCAGAACAAAAGTAGAAAAGATTTAAAAATATTTTTAAAATCAGTAACTAATGAAGTAAAATGTACAAGGTCTTGCCTCTAATCAAATATTATTAGGTACTCAAAGAAGCAGAAAAATATGAATCATAATGATGAGAAGAATAATAATTGAAACTGACTCAGAACCGACACAGATATTAGAATTAGCAGCCAACAACATTAAAATGGTTACTGTAATTGTATTTCATATCTTTAAAAACCTAATTCAAGACAAAGAAATATGTAAAAGACACAAATCAGGGTTTTAGAGGTGGAAACCATAATTTCCAAGATTAAACAACACTAACTGGTATTAACAAAAGACTATGTGTTAAAAAAGAAAAGATTAGTGAATTTGAAGACACAGCAATAGCAACTATACAAAATGAAGCATAAATAATAATAATAATTTTAGAAAATAAAAAGAACATAAATTAGGAAACCCCATGTGGCTTAATATATATAATGAGAATCCCTTAAGAATGAGGAGGAGACAGAAAAGCCATTTGAAGAAATAATGGCGAAATATTCAACAAATCTCAGGGAAACTATGAAAGCACAGATCCAAGGAGCACAGGAAACATGAAAAAAAAAAAAAAAACAAAAACCTAAATCATGAAAGCAAGGCACATCATAATCAAATTACTCAAAACTATTGATAAAAACAACATCTTGAAAACAGCCAGAGGAAAAAAGAAATTATATACAATGGAACAAACATAAGGATGACAGTAATTGCTTATAGAAAAGAATATAAGCAAGACAACAGTGGAGCAACTCTAAAGTGCTGAAAGAAAAAAAAGTCAACCTAAAACTTTTAACCAGTAAACATATCTTTCAAAAAAAAAAAAGCAAGATAAAAACATTTTCAAACAAACAAAAGCTAAAAGAATTGTCAGCATACCTGCACCACAAGAATGTTAAAGGAAGTTTTTCTGGCAGAAGGAAAATGATACCAAATGCAATCTGGACCTGCACAAAGCACTACAGATCAATATCCGTCATCAACAAAGGTGCAAACATTCTAAACAAAATTCTCATAAATGAAATTGAAAAATTTATAAAAATGATAATACATCATGACCAAATGGTGTTTATACTAGATGTCCAAGGTTGATTTAACTTAAAAAAAATCAATTTGGTAATTTACCAAATCAACATAGTAAAAAAACAACAACATATGATCATCTCTATGGATGTAGAAAAAGGATTTGACAAAGTGCAATATCCATTCTTGAGAAAAACTCTCAACCAACTAGGAAAAGAAGTCAATTTCCTAACCCTAGCAAAGGGCATCTGTATAAAACAAACAAACAAAAACTGTAGCTACCACCCTGCCAGTAAGTGAACTGAACTCTTCTCCTAAGATCAGGGACAAGACAAGGATGTTTAAAGTTACCACGTCTGTTTAACATTGTACTAGAGGTTCTAGTTAGTGCAATAAAACAAGCCAAAGAAAAAAAAGGCATCCAAATTTCAACTGAAGAAATAAATAGGTCTTTGTCTGCAGATGAAATAACATCTATGAAGAAGATCCAATGGGATCTACAAAATACCTTCTAGAACTAATAAATTTAGCCAGTTTACAGGATATAACACCAACACACAAAAATCAATTATATTTATATTTGCTATCAACAAACAAATTGAAATAAAAAATTTAAAACTTTATCATTTTTTTAAAGCACCAAAATATGAAATACTTAAAGATTAAATCGATGAAAGATCTAGTACCTAAATAGGGAAAACTATAAGACATTGCTGAAAGAAATTAAAGACTTAAATTTATAGAGAGATATATCTTGTTCATGTTTCAGAAGACTCAATGTTGCAAAGATATGAATTCTCCCCACTAAAACTCCCAACAGATTTTTATTTTAGAACTTGTTGAACTGATTCTAAAGTTCATATGGAAATGTAGGGGACCTAGAATAGCCAAAATAACTTGAAAAAGAAGAAGAAAGTTGGACAGCTAACAGTACCTGATTTCAAGACTTTCAGAGCTACAGTAATAAAAACTAATACATAGCACTGACATTTTAAAAAGATAAATAAAAGGAACAAAACAGAGAGCCCAGAAATAGACCAACATATATATGGATGACCACTTTTTTTTTTTTTTTTTTTTTGAGACAGAATTTCGCTTTTGTCCCCTAGGCTAGAGTGTAGTGGGGCCATCTTGTCTCACTGCAACCTCCGCCTCCTGGGTTCAAGCGATTCTTCTGCCTCAGCCTCTGGAGTAGCTGAGATTACAGGCGTGCACCACCATACCCAGCTAATTTTTGTATTTTTAGTAGAGATGGGGTTTCACCATGTCGGCCAGGCTGGTCATGAACTTCTGACCTCGAGTGATCCGACTGCCTGAGCCTCCCAAAGTGCTAAGATTACAGGCATGAGCCACCACATCTGGCTGGGTGACCACTTTTTAACAAACATGTTAAAGCAATTCAGTAGAATTGGAGTCTTTTCAAGAAACAGTATAATATAGAACAATGGAATATGCCAAAACACCCCTACTTTGATTCATACTTATTCACATTATATTAACTAGATTGAATCACAGATTTTAATTTTAGCTTTATGTGTAAAAATGACACAAATTTCCATTAATGGGGAAAGAATAAACAAATTGTATATGTTGATACCATATAATTCTAGTTAGTGATAAAAATGAAAGACAATATAGGCAACATTACTGAATATCAAAATAGGTATGCTGAGTGAAAGAAGCCACATCAAAGAAAAAAAAAGAGAATAGGTAATGTATGATTCCATTTACATAAAACTATAGAAAATAAAAACTAATCTATAGTGACAAAAAAGATTGGAGGTTGCCTAAGGACTAGTGGGAGGAGGAGGGAAGGATGCATTATAAAAGGACTCAAGAAACTTGTAGGCAGTGGATATATTCAATATCTTGATTGTCGTGATAGTTTCATGCATGTATGCATATGCCCAAATGTATCAAATGTCACACTTTAAATATGTGCAATTCCCTGTATATCAATTATTTCTCAATTAAAAAAATTAAAAAAAGGAAAAACTTCAATCTTTATTTCTCATATATATTTGTTTCCTAAACCAATATGCCATTTAAACATTTGCTAACAAATCAACCTTTCTGTTGTCTATTTTAATTAAATTAAACAATGAATCATTTATAAACTGGCAAAGTATAATTTATCTTCATTCTGTATATAATGATTATTAAGAATGATATTAAAATGAATTTTATAAGAGTCTGTAATAATATGTCAACCTAGACATATTTGAAAATCATTTCTTTTTAAATATATTACACAAAAACGGCAACTTTAAAAAAACTCCTAAGGAGAGATATTGAGAGATGGTATATTAACATAAAAAAGAAAGGTCAAAAACGTAGGAGAATGTGGATCTAGATTATTTTAGAGGCCTTCAGAGGTGTTAGTGACCTGCCTCAAGAGACATATGTCCCAGCTCCCTCATGGAGTGAGGATCAAAGGAACCATAAATGTAAATGACCCTATCAACTGAACTGTGCCGAGCTGTTTTCTCATCTATTTGGTACAGGCAATGGGGCTAGGTGAAGGTACAGGTTACTTTGCAGATAAAACAGCTGAGGCTATAGGATAGGCAGCTTTTTGTCACTTTAGGAGTCGGTTTTCACTGTCACCCTCTATTAGTTCCCCATTGCTGCTGTAACAAATTATCACAGACTTAGCGGTTAAAACAACACAAATGTATTATCTTATAGTTATGGAGGTTAAAAGTCTAAAATGGGTTGTGGGGCTGCATTCCTCCTGGAGGCTTTCAGGGAAAATCCTCTCCTGGCCTTTTCTACCTCTTAGAGGCTGCCTACATGCTTTGGCTGCTGGCCTGTGTCATTCCAGCCTCTGCTTCCATCCTCCATCTCCTTCTCTCACTCTGACCCTCTTGCCTCTGTTTCACAAGCATCCACCAGGATAATCCAGGCTAATCTCTCCATCTCAAGATCCGTAATTTAATCACATCTGCAAAGACTCCTTGGTCATATTAGACAACACACACACACACACACACACACACACACACACACACACACACACACACACAGGTTCTGAGGATTATACTGGACATCCTGATGGGGGGTGGGGGAATGGGAAGGCACTATTCCGCCTACCATACCCTCCATTTGGACCCTTTGATATGACCTCCATATTAGGGTTTTTTTTTTCTGTTCTTTTACTGCTACCCCTGAGAACCCTGTATTTCCCCCCTAGTTCCAGGACAAAGTAGCCCTAAGCTTTCCATTTATCTGTTCTTGTCTACTGAATTAAATTTTTCCTTCCTTCTTTCCTTCCTTCCTTCCCCTGTCCTTCCTTCCTTCCTTCTCTCTCTCTGTCTCTCCTTCTCTTGTTGCTGCTGTTAAAATACCTGGCTTTTTTTTTTTTTTTTTGAGATGGAGTCTCACTCTCTTGCCCAGGCTGGAGTGCAGTGGTGCAATCTCGGCACACTGCAGTCTCAGCCTCCCAGGCTCAAGCGATTCTCCTGCCTTAGCCTCCGAGTAGCTGGGATTACAGGCAGGTGCTATTATGCCTGTCTTTTTGTATTTTAGTAGAGATTGGGTTTCGCTATGTTGGCTAGGCTGGTCTCAAACTCCTGACCTCAGGTGATCCTCCCGCCTCAACCTCTCAAAGTGCTGGGATTCCAGGCGTGAGCCACCGGGCCCGGACACAAAGTAATGCTACAGATTTATTTAATAAGCATTTAATGAGAACTACTACTTGCTATGAGGATGCTGTGAACAGATGCTGCCCCTGAAGCAATGAGGTTCAGCGGGGAGAGGGAGAAGGATCTCCCGTGAGAGGAGTGTTTCCAAGGAGAAGTATAGTGTGTAAGGGGAGTGAGTGTCCGCTCCTGGTCTACACTGAGGGCCTCCTTGAGTAGGTGACATTTGTCAAAACCTGGAATCATATCGGTGGAGCTTTGGGGCTCTTTTTCAGGATAGCATTGATCTCTTTCTGCTCGTTTCTGTTGAGGAGTTTCCTGGTGCAGAGGAGGCAGGAAGGCTCCAGGGACCACCTGTTAAAGTTGAGAGAAAAGGAGGGCCTTGGGGTTGCTAACAGGCTTGTTTAGATCTGGCCAGAGGATGCTGGAGGCTCATGGAGCACAGGGCTCTAGACCCGAGCATTTCTGCACTCTTTCTACCAGGCCAATAGGCTGTGCTTCCTTCCAGGAACGGGAGCAAAGAAATAGGCCATTTTCTGTTTTGTCCACTGGGTGGAGTATTTTAGCCAAAGAAGGGTCCTTTGGCAGCAGTGACATTGTAGGCGATCTTTGCCTTGGAGAAGAGGCAAGCTTGGACTCGTCCGGAGTCACGCCCATCAAAACCCTCCTCCGCAGCTAACACTCATCAGACTTCATCACACTGTGTGTTGGGCTGAGGCCTATCCTGGTAAAAGAAAATCTTATAACAGATTTTAACATCTTAGAGCCAGAAAGGGGGCCTTAGGAGCTTGGTGACTCTAACCCTCTTTCACAAATTGGAAGTGCTAGGGCCCGAGCCTCAGGGCTCCTGACCTAATCACACAGGCAGGCGGAACGCAGGTCTCCTGCCTTTCTGGGGGCGGTTCTTTCTCTGAGGCACCTCAGAGGCGCCCAAATGGAGACCTGCAGACCTTCGAAGGGAGGCGTGAGCACATACGTTTCTCTTTGTAGATAAAATGGTCTGAGAGAAAAATCATTCTGCCACCTGTCAAGAATAAACAAAGTAAATGAGCTAGGTTAGATTAAGGGACTGTAGTTGGCGGCCACTCACAGTGAAGGACTGGAAATGGTTAGCAAAACAAGGGGCCTACGGCATATATTGTGACAACAATAAACATTTATTTGTATTGATTTGTGTGTTTTGTTCTACCCCTTCTTGTTTAAAAACAAAACAAAAAGTACCTACTAATGGCACATAAAAATGCACACATTTCAGCACAACCACATAAACTAGAAGTACATGACACATTGGCTTGGGGCGCAGCTAAAGCTGGAACAAAACAGCTGATTTGCAGGATGTAAGGTTGACTCAGAAATGTGTGAAGCATTCTTTGTTTAAAAAATAAATGAATTGGCTGGACCTGGTGGCTCACACCTGTAATCCTAGCACTTTGGGAGGCTAAGGCAGGCGGATCACCCGAGATTGGGAGTTCAAGACCAGCCTGACCAACATGGAGAAACCTCGTATCTAATAAAAATACAAAATTAGCCAGGCGTGATGGCACGTGCCTGTAATCCCAGCTACTCGGGAGGCTGAGGCAGAAGAATGGCTTGAACCTGGGAGGCGGAGATTGTGGTGAGCCGAGATCGCGCCATTGCACTCCAGCCTGGGCGACAAGAGCGAAACTCCATCTCAAAAAAAAAAAAAAAAAAAAAAAATTAAAGTTGGTGAGCAATAAGACAGAGGAAAAACAAAAATAGGAAAATGAAAGGCAGACAGAAAATAAGCCTGGTACGTTAAATGTAAACTATGAAAACCTACCTTTTGCTGAGAGTGGGGCATGAATGTAGACCTCATATCTACCATGGATGCTTGGGGGAAACCTGATCACCACAGCATATGTCAGTGGCTGCATGTCCTCAGGGCTGGGCTGCCTGGCCCAAATCGAGTCCATGATCTAGGGGCAGGAACTTTCCACAGCTCGGGCTTTTTGTAGTAAACCAGAGTTGAAGGCTAAACTAAAGTTTAAAAAATTATTTCTTTTCCCTTATAGTTTTGTCAATTATAAGTCAGAAGGAAATTAAAAGACTCTGACTTTAAATAGCTTCCAATTTTTCAGTAACAGTTAAAAAAAACCTACTTACATATTAAGAAAAGTGGAGCAAATTCTAAATAAAGGTAACCCAGTGAGATCGAGACAACTGGGAACAGTCTGGGGAGGCTGACCTCAAAAAGACAAGACACACATTGTTTCACTCGGAAATCTTTTTCCCCTTAAATTTCCTAAAGAAAGCAGAGATCTTGCATGCTTGCCACTGACTTGGAAAGCTAAGTGCACCTTAGAATGGATATTCTTGGCTCCATCTTTTGAAAACTTAGAGACTACACCATTAGAAAGAACGGAATACCGTCAAGGGTTTTAGTGATGGGTTCTTCAAGGCCCCAACTTTCTGCACATGAGAGTGTAGCATCAAGACAACCCCTTATCAGCCTGACTCTCAGTGTAAGGCCGTCTGACTGCAGGGGAGCCTTGCTTTACTCAGAGAGGCCACGGATCTTCTCTTTGCCTTCTAGCCCCTGCAGAAGCTGTGCATGACAGAGTACTCTGTCTTTCCAAAGCTGATTTATAACTGAAGGAGAACAAAAACTTGGTCAGAATCATGAATGCCCTAGATGCCTTTGAAGAGTGGAGAGACATGACTGGACTAGGGTTGGACTGGAAGAGATGGTCAAGAAGGTACTTAAGAAAAGGGGTGTCTGCAAGGGAATCACCCAGAGTCAGAGGCAAAACAGCCAGGAGCAGCAGCTTTGAGGCAGGGTTGGATTCTTGCTCCGGCAGTTAGAAATGCTGCAAACTCAGACAAGTTGCTGTTAGCTCAGCGGTAGGATGAGCCCTGATCCCTTTTGCCCCAATTGCCTACTGGATTCAAGGAGAAAATGGACAAGAAAGGGTTCACAAACCATTCATATTAGAAACAGACAAATATCCATTATATAACCAATGTTCCACCAGCTCCAATGAGAAGTAAGTATAATAGCTACTATTTTTGAGCACCTATTTTGTGCCATGCTTTTTCATCTATGTGTTTGAAACTTTATGGTTATTATCAGCCCCACTTTACATAGAGGGGAACTGAGAATCAGAGAGGGCAAGTGACCCTCCAAAGTTCATTAGCTGTTAAAAGGCAGAGTAGGGATTTGAACTGTGAACCTTGTTTCATTTTAGTTTAATGAGGACAGGTTCTTCTGGTGTCAGCTGGGTTCAGCAGGGTGTCCCTGCACCCCTCGCCCAGTGGCTGGCAGAGGATTTTTAAGAAGAGAGGAGGGAAGGCAGAAAAAGACAGGAGTAGAACATGAAGAAGTCTACCTCGGGGCTCCATTTTGTTCCATGTTGCAGTGAGGAACAGAGGATGAACAACCACCGTGAGGGGACAGGCTGAGTTACCACCCTGGGGTGATTTAACAATTCAGTAATGTATGAGTGTCATTCCGTATGTTTGAACTCTCCATTTGCTTATTGGCACCATAGTCCCTTATCTCTCTCCCTCTCGAGTTTCTTTCTCTTCTTTGACCTTTCTAGCCTCCTTATTTCATGCGTGTACATTCTTGTCTTTTTCCTTCTGCCTCTTCCCTCTTCACCAGTCGGACAGACTGTATCAGCGAATCCCTCTACAGTGTCGTATCTAACTTTTTTATTCATTGCATGATTTATTTTTAGCCTGAAACAACTGCATCCTAAAAATGGAGTTCCTAATGAGACAGAGGCTGAGCAGAGCTATGTAAGGTATCTGGGGCTTGGCCTCCCAGCCTCCCTAGCTTGGCTGTTTTTCTACTCTCATGCGTGCGTGCGTGCGTGCGTGTGTGTGTGTGTGTGCCTCTGCTCTTTGTCCTGAGCCCACGATTCCAGAGCTGGCTGGACCCAAGGAGGTGAAGAGTCACTTTTCAGCCCCAGGAAGGGCAAAGAAGAGAGAAAATCAGCCTGTCTGCTCTCTCCTTGGCTCAACAAGGCCTCTAACAGTCTTCTGTCCTCTATTCTGCACACAGCATATTTGGGAACGAGAAACAAAAGTTTTCCCAAATGAAGAGAACTCACTTGTTTATTGTGGGGATTTATTTTCTGTCCTCTTGCAGGGCAGAAGAGGGGCTTAATTTCCCCACATATGATGGGAAGGACCGAGTGGTAAGTCTTTCCGAGAAGAACTTCAAGCAGGTTTTAAAGAAATATGACTTGCTTTGCCTCTACTACCATGAGCCGGTGTCTTCAGATAAGGTCACGCAAAAACAGTTCCAACTGAAAGAAATCGTGCTTGAGGTAAGTAACCAAAGGGCATGCTGTCTGCGCTGCCTCAGTGAGGTGCCGAGGGAATGCCTTTGGCCAGGGGTTGGGATATGGGAACGAGGATGCAGAGAATATATACTGAACTCTGCTTTATTTTGGCCTCACGTGAATCAGATGCCCTTGTCACACAGCTGGGATGTGTGAACAATGAGGGGTGGGTCCTAACTCTTCAAATGAAGAGGACCAAACGTGCTACACTACGATGGGTCTGATGTAAAGTCTTTATGGCCCCCTTGACTTTTCAAGGGCCCTTGTCCCAGCCATTGTTTCCCAGATAGAATGTAGAAACTATTGTTAAAACTGTTGGCTGAAATGAAATCCAGGGACTACTTGTGGATTTCATTCAGTGTGCCCACTTTGCTCCCTCAAATCTCCCCATGATCCTGGAGAGACCAGAGTTACTTGACCTTGCGTCTCTCTGGGGGTCAGACGGAGAATATCACTAAATGACTTTCCTCTCTCTTGTTTTGCGTCAGTCAGCATTACAGAATGTAGTTGTGTGCAGATCTTCTGAGCAGCATATTCATTTATGTGATTTTTTTTCTCAGAAAGTTCTTGGTGTGACTTTAGGGCAGAGCTGAAGTCAGTTCTTATTTTATCCGCATTACATGGCCTGCCTGTTTGTAACCTGGCACTGGGGCCCATTTTCTAATCCTTTGCGAGTGCCCCAGAAACTATTCCTGCAGCTCCTCCTGGACAGCTTAAGATGGCTTACACTTTAAGAGGGCCTGAGGGTGCCAAGAATGCTAGTGGGCACCAAGATGCCTCATCAGTCTCCACGCCTAGCCCAGGCGCAAACCTGTGAAAGGGATATTTGAGAATTACAGTTTATTAACCAGCACAATCAGAGAACTCAGGTTGATGAAATAGTTTAATAGGATTATCATATAAAACCCATGTGGATTTGAATTTTTTCAAATTGAAAAATTGACTGTAATAAAATCCAGCAAAACTATCCCAAATACATCAAAAGTATATCTCCAACCTTGGGTGCTGAATGTGGAATTTCAGTTCTCTCTGTGGGTTGCAAGAAAAGAGAAAGCAGGGATAGTTATTAAGACTTTATTTTATAGAAATGAGCAAATCACAGGCTGGAAAAGAACGAGACATAGAACTTAGCTGCTGCTTAGCACATGAAACCAACACTTACATTATATCTCCATCTCAAACTGCCATACTCAGTTATCAAGAGACATTGTTATGAAAACTTAATTGAAGGCATAAGGATTCTCCCCTATATGCTCATCGCTGTCCAGTTAGCCTAGAACTCCAAAAGAATGCCTTTGGGTGGCCAGTACAGGCAAGGACATTCATTTCTGATTCTAATTTTTTTTAAAAAAGAAATATCTTTCTATCATCCTTCTATCTATCTATCTATCTATCTATCTATCTATCTATCTATCTATCTATCTATCATCTCTAGCTCCCCCAAGTATATCTGTCCCCAAAGACTATGCAAAATCATGAACAGAAACTTCCCCTGGGCTTACCATCCCTCCAGACACCTTTGATCCAAGAGTGCCCTTTTCACAGTGGGTGCCGGCCCAGCAGAGACCGATAAGGAAAAGTTCACCACAGGAGTTAATTTGATGCCCCTCAGGCTGCTAAAGCTGGAGTGAGGCATCATTAGGAGAAAAAGAACACAGACCTTGAAGTCAGGATATCTGGATTTAAGTTCTGGCTTTGTCTCTACTAGGCACAGGACACAGGGCAAATTACGTAATTTCTCAGAGCTTCATTTTCTTATCTATAAATATGGAAAAATAGTAACTATCATGCAGCTTAAGAAATGATTAAATAATAATAATGTTGATTAAATGCTTACTAAGTGCAGGGACTGTTCTAAGCACTTGGTATGTGTTAGCTTGTTTAATCCTTACAATAATTCTATTAAGTAGGTACAGTTACCAATTCCATTTTATAGATGTGGAAACTGAAGCAGAGAGGCTAAGTTGTCCAAGGTCACACAGCTACTACAGATGAAGGCAGTTGTACGTAACACCTACACGGTACTACTCCTGAAATCAGTGCGAAAACGCCCAAGGGGCTTCTGGGTAGCCTGTTTAAGATGGTTTCAAGAGTCTTCCTTAAACAGAGTTGCTCAGCCTCTGGACCCGGGTCTGATGATGCCAGCTGTACACCAGCATGGCCGAGAAGTACATGGCCTGGAGGCGCTGCTCATGCAAAAGTGCAAACTGAGGAGGAGGCCTGGGCTCCATTAGTGAAGGTTGAGGAAGGGGCGGGCCTTTGTTGAGATACTTGTCAGGCGCAGCATCAAGGGAAAAAATGGCTCCGGGAAGTCCATGAGTGGAAAGAGCGAACATGCCTTTAAACTTTCTTCATGGTCAAAACATCTATTTTGTCCTCTTAATCCTCTAGACCCCACACTTGCACTAAGAAAAATAGTCTGTCAGCTTCCAGGGCTGTGGCTGTTAGGGGGTAGGGGGAAAAGAGGAGGCAGTTCCCAGTGTCCATCCAACAGGCAGTGTGGTCTCAGCCACGGACAAATAGCTGGAGGGGAGGCAGCTCCCTTCCCCCTCGCAGCTTAAGGCGGCTTCTGACACTTTTTATCATAACCGACTATGACCCAGTATATACAGACACACACAGACACACACACACACCAGAAACAAAAATTTCATATGAACTATACTTATTATTATTACTTGGGGAATTAAATTTTTTTTTCTATTTTTATCCTGTTCTCTTCTATTTCATTTTAAAAATTGATCTCAACCTATTAAGTTGATTTCCCTCTCCAGTGAGGAGTTGCCATCCCCAGGCTGAAACACCTGAGGAATTTCTAGGAATTAGAAACTCATAGCTCCTCACACTAGGGCCACCCCATTCATTCTAAGAAACTCCAAGGGCACTGTGGCCAGTCATGTATATTTTGTCTGCATCTCTAAGGGATGTCAATGAAAAAAGCCAGAAACAGCTCCATCCACAGAGTGAGGAGGTCACTGCCTGATGAGGGGCACTTGAAATACCATTCAATTAGTCATGCATCTGCCACCTAATTTTTGTTGGGGCCCTGGGATAGATGCTGTGGATACGGGGAAAATGAGACCCTCAAGTGGCTCACAGCTGAACATGGAAGAAAACATGCAAACTAAGAGCTACAGTGCAGGGAGGTTGCTGTAACAACACAGCAACTTAGAAGTTTATCAGGGAGAGTAGAGGAAAGAGGAAGGGCCAGAGTTGGTTTGTGAAATGAGTAGGAATTTACTGGCAAAACAGCAAATATTCTGATGGCTCTCAAGTATTTTTCCACCTGCTAGCTTTTTCCTAAAATTTGGCCAAGAGGGCCTCATTTCTTTAGGGTAAGATTTTTGTCCCTACTTAGTCAAGGTCCTCTGGGAGAGGTAGATCTTTGAGATGTTGCCAATTACTTACATCCCCTGAGTCTGAATTCTGTCGTGAGAACAGGGCTTGACAAGGGGAAGAGGAGAAGGTGGAGAAGATAAGGTCTATACAGCTTAGCAAGAAAAAGGCAAGTAATATGACACCAGGAGGCAGCAAACTCAAACTTTGCTTTCCAATCTGGCCAGAGTCCAGCTCTGGAGGGCCCAAGGGTCATTGTATAATCCATAGTTCTATGCAGATGTTCTACACATGATTGTTGAATGAATGAATGAAATGTTAGAGCTCAAAAGAACTGTGGGAGTCATCTAGGTTGCTCTGAACCCCTCATTTCATAGCTGTAACCCTGACTTAAACAGCTGGCAGTTCTGATTCCTTGGGTATTCTTCATCAACAAAGCAGCATATATGATTTAGAAATTTCAGAGTATGTGGAAAAGAACTAAAAGGCAATAAAAGTAATCACACCAAAATAAACATGGATAATGTTCTGGTAGATTTCTTTCCAGTATTTTTTTCTATACATAAATATACATTTTTCAATTGGGAATTATACCATTTATACAGTTTTGTTTCCAGCTTTTTTTCACATCCATATATTGTATTTCTATATTATTAAACAGTAATGTTAATACCAGCATAGTATTCCACTGTATCATCATACATATTTTTAAAATAATTACCCTATATTTGGATCTTGACACAATTTTTAGAGTTTTAAAAATCTTCGCTTTTCATTGTTGTTTTAATGAACATTTCTTTGATTTCTGGCTAAAGTTTTCTATAAAATTCTTTTGCCATTTATGTATTTTTTCTTTCATAAATTATTTTTCTATGCCTTTTCTCATTTTTCTATTGGGGTGTCAACACAAATTATAAAGGGAGTTGCAATTTTGCATGCTGTCTCTTACAGCTTCCACCAAGATAGTAAATTTAGTCACACCACAGTGGCCAACTTCCATTAGCATTACAGGACTCAGAGACAGAGGACATGGGCAGGTAATTCAGTTTCTCCTTGCTGCTTTGTTTCCTGCTTCCTCTTTTTCCTTGAAACTGCTGTGCAAGCCACTGCTCCTATCATGTCCTATAAATATTGCCAGAGAAAGTCCTTCATTTCTCAACCTGAGTTGAGAAATGTCACCATTTCCCTCAGGTTGAAGTGCTTGAGAGATGGCATGCTCTAACACGGGCTTCCAGATCAGATAGACCTGGTTTCCTTGTTTGCAAGATGGAGATGACAGTGCTGTTGTGAGGATTGAATGAGGCTGCCCAGCAAGAGCATAGCTCTGGCACACAGAAGATACTTAACAAATGCTAGCTTCTTTTAGCCCACACTCACTATTTCATCAGGATTCTAAACACAATACAGCTAACCCCATCAGTTGATAAACTGAGGAAATCAGGCCTTGGGAGCTGGGTACTGGAAATGCAGCCATCTTGCTTATTCACAGCCAGTTTGATTTGCTCCTCCTCTTATTGCTTATTCACTCCTCCTCTCTGGGGCTAGAGAGGAGGAGTGAGTTGCCAGCGGTCACAGGTCGCTCTCGATGTACTCCTGTTTGGCATTCCCTCTGCTCTCAAGGCTTTGCTGAGCCTGTGTCGGCTATGTCCAATCACCTCATCCATGCCATTTATTAAATTAGGCCTTGCCCCATTTTCAGTCATGGTTCAGTCTCACCTACTTTGAGAGGTGCTTCCAGTTTCCTTCTAATCCTTTCTACCTTACTCTTTCCCCCCATGGAGACATGGGTTGGATTTTTCCCTCTAGATTAGAAGCCTCATGAAAACAACCTGAATTAAAATCAAACTTCGTAATAGGGGAAGCAAAAAGCAAAGCAAAACAAAACAAAAGCAAACTGAGCCAAGTTCACATTGGGCAAGGATCAAGAAACTGCTTGCGACTCAAAAACACAACTAAATAAATGCACTGGTCACATGACAACATGACAGGTGGAGCCCCAGCTGGCCAGGCATGAGCAACATGGCCTCCACATTGTGAGTTCCTGAGCCCTCTATACATGGCATTACCTTTCTGCCTAGCACCCAGCCTGGGATGAGGAATCATCGACTCCTTCCTCTTCCCCTTCTACCTTGACACAGATCCTGTCCCTAACTCCAAGACCTTTATCTTTTCCTCTACACCACTTCACTGCTAGGAGTCCAGCATTCCAGCCTGAAAAAGAAGGCAAGAAAAGGACAAAAGCTTTTTCCGGGTGAGCTTCACACTTACATAGAAACAATTTTATGGCCACTTAAATCGTCTATAGAAGGAAAAGAGGAAGGAGACATGCAAGGACCTCAGAGCTCAGTTTTAGGACCTCTGGGCACTTTTCATTTTATATTCACATGTTTTGTAGTTAAAATTGATGCTGTTAGCCATGTATATGTGTTTTGGGTGGCAGGGTGGAGAGTGGGGAATAGCAACTAAATAGACTAACCTGTAACCAACATGCATTTATTGGATTAAGGAAAGCTATGGGGGATTTTTTCAGGCAGCTAGAGAGTGTTTCAGAACATGAAAACAAGTATTGTAAATCCCTGAATAGAAATATTCATTCATTTATTAAATTTTCATTGCTATTAACAGACACTCAATAATCTTTGCATGAGTAAATGAATGTATCATTGAATGTATGGATAAGGAACAAGCAATACTTTCCAGATTCTGAACAGTAAAGCTTGGTTCATTCATTTAGGGTGAAATAGGTCCCTTGCTCAGTCAGGGTATCTGGAGTCTTGGCACAAAAATGGCCATATCTTCTTGGAAGTTGAACCAGGTCTACCTGCCAGTCCTGTAGTTTTTCAACAGGCTGCAACTAGAGTTCAAAGTCTAAGGCTGCTGCCCGGTGTACACTTGGTGTAGTTCTTCTGCTTTTCCTGCTTAAGAAGGTCTCATTTTAGCTCACCAATAGAGGCTGTTGGGATGCTCTGCTACCATCCACACAGTGCCTGTCCAGGGGATCTCTCGTAAGCTTTCTTCGGTATTAAATGGCAGGACCACTACCTAAAAATGCAAACCAATTTTCCTGTGCTGAAACATAGGTTACTTTCCAATAATATTTAGAGGATGACTCATGCAGATTATCTATTAAGCCCTGTAGCGGAGAGGGATGCTGGTTTCATCATCTATGACAGGATCAAGAATCATAATCCTGGGTAATGTAGGCCTCTGAGTTTTGCAGCTGTTTAGTGGATCTCTTGATGCTTCTGCTTTCAGTCTGCCAGAGCCCCTAACAGACTGAGCTTCCTTCTTCCTTCGGGCCTCGGTCTCCTAAACTATCTGTATATCAATAAAAAGTAAACTTTAGCGGAGAGTGACTGTAGCCTCTTCAGGCTTTGCAATGTGCCCAGCATCATCATTGACAAGACTCATGTGCACTTTATGAACTCTTCTTCTTCTTCTTCTTCTTCTTCTTCTTCTCCTTCTTCTCCTTCTTCTTCTTCTTCTTCTTCTCCTTCTTCTTCTTCTTCTTCTTCTTTCTTCTTCTTCTTCTTCTTCTTCTTCTTCTTCTTCTTTTTTTTTTGACTGAGTCTTATTCTGTTGCCCAGGCTGGAGTGCAGTGGGGCAATCTCAGCTCACTGCAACCTCCTCCTTCCGGGTTCAAGCAATTCTTCTGCCTCAGCCTCCTGAGTTGTTGGGATTACAGGTGCCCACCATCATGCCTGGCTAATTTTTGTATTTTTAGTAGAGACAGGGTTTCACCATGTTGGCCAGGCTGGTATACCACCATTTTTCTATGTCCAACCTCAGATGAGGTAGCAGTGCTTGGGAAAACTGAGAGCCGAGCACCTGAACTTCTCTTCTATTTACCCACTATCCTGAGTAAGTCACACAGATTCACCTCTTTACACTGACCTACAAAATCTATGTGTAAAATCATCTATAAAATCAACCATTAGCTCCTACCTCCATGAATTAGGAGAATTAAATGAAAACAGGTGAATAAGAATTTCTTATAAAATTATAAGAAGGTATAAAAGAGTCAGGTTTTATTATTTTTGTTACATCAGTTACTACTGAAGAAATTCATCTATGTATTAATAGAATGACTAATTGAGTGCTTGAAGTATAGTGGGTGCTTATCAATGTGAATTTTCTTCACTAGTCACTTGAACTTTTACACGTGTTCTTAGTCGATTGTAGTAGTTCTCAACTTTGGCCACATATTAGAACCACATAAGGAGTTTTAAAAAATACCGATTCCTGGGTCTTATCCCCACAGGTGCTGGTTTAATTGGTCACTGGGTAAAGGCTGATGTCCAGATGCTACAGTTTTTAAAAGCTTTCTGAGTGCTGTTAAGATGCAGCCAAGTTTGAAGGCCACTTGAAACCTGACGCTTAAAATGTGGACCCCAAGGCTGAGAGCAGCTCAGCTACTTGGGAGGCTGAGACTAGAGGATTGCTTTAGGCCAGGAGTTTGAGGCTGCAGTGTGTTATGATTGCACCTGTGAGTAGATACTGCACTCCAGCTTGAGCAACATAGTGAGACCTCATCTGAATAAAAAGGCGGACCCCAGACCAGTAGCAAATGGCATCACTTGGACCCTGTTAAAAACAAAGAATCTCAGGCCATATCTCAGAATCAAACTTAGCATTTAAATGAGATCCCTGTGTCGTTTGTAGGCACATTAAAGTTTGCAAAGCACTGTGACAGTCTATTGGGTTGGGAAAGTTTTCCAGATGACCAGAATCATGTTGTTACCTGTTTGACCTTTGGATCATTCATTCTTCAGAATGGTGTTGGAACTGTCAGTATAGCTCTAATTTGGAGAGTCGCTGGGATGTTAAGTTTGTTCTAGGGGTGCAGGGATTCATATCTGATTTGGGACTCAGCCAGGCCTCCCGGGGTTCTCCCACTGACCCATCACTCACACAATCAGTGACTAATCCTTTGGACCTCCTTAGAAGGAAATGATCTGGGACTTGAGAAGTATTACCCTATTTGAGATCTTTCTAGTTGAATTGCCTGGCTTTTAAAGACCAACTCAGAAGGTGGCCTTCTAACTATCCTCAGGTCAGGGTTCAGAGTTGACCTTCAGAAAGAGAAGACATGCGTCTATTTGGTTGCTGTGGCACATTAGCCCTTTCCCCAAAAGAGATGGCAAATCTAAGAACCCTGAAGGTAGATGGAAGTGGGATATTAAGATGTTATGATGTTTAATGGAAACCATGGGAAAGCTTCTCAGAGAAAACTGGTGAGTATTTTGTAATATAAAACTAAGTCTAGTGAACACCTGAATAGAAATATTAATTCTTTCATTTATTCATGAAATATTCATCTTACTTACTTACTGTCTAAGTCTGCTTAGTGTTGCTATAACAGAATACCTGAGGCTGGGTCATCTATAAAAAGAGGTTTACTTGGCTCATGATTCTAGTGGCTGGAAAGTTCAAAATTGGCAGCTGCATCTGGTGAAGGCCTCGTGCTGCTTCAACTCATGGCAGAAAGCAGAAAGCAATAGAGGAGTGGGCAAGGAAATCATGTGATGAGAGAGAAAGAAAGACAGAGAAGCCAAGGAAGTCAGACCCTTTTAAACAACCTGTTCCCTCAGAAACTAATTTGTTCTCATTAAAACTCACTTACCCTTGAATGAGGGCATTCATCTATTCATCTGTTTATAAGGGGCCCACCCACATAACCCAAACACCTCTGACTAGACCCTACTGCTGAACACTACCATATTGGGAATAAAATTTCAACATGAGTTTTGATGGGGACAAACCACACCCAAATCATAGCACTTACAAAGATGCAGATGGAATGGCCCCAGTGTCTAGGGAAATGTCCCTCTTTTATTGATGATAAGAACTCACTTCCTTTAGGTCTATGCTTAAATGTCACTTTATCAAAGAAGTTATCTCCCTGACAACCTATGTAAATCACACTTTCCATGCACTCATTTTACCTTCTCTACCCTCCTCTATGCTTTTTCTACATAGTACTTGGCTGACATATTGCATATTGTCTGACACCCCTTCTTGCAGTACATTTGTGTTGCTATAAAAGAATACCTAAGACTAGGTAATTTATAAAGAATAAAAGGTTTATTTGGCTCACAATTCTGATGTCTGAAAAAGTTGAAGATTGGGTATCTGTATCTGGCTAGGGCCACAGGCTGCTTCCACTCATGGCAGAAGGTGAAAAGGAGCTGATGTGTGCAGAGATCACACAGCACCAGAGGAAGCGAGAGAGAGAGAAAAGGTGCAAGGCTCTTTTTAACAACCAACTCTCAGAGGAACTCTAGCAGGAACTAATAGAGTGAGAACTCACTCAGTCACTGCCCCACCCACGGAGGACATTAATCTATTCATAAGGGATTCACCTCCATGACCCCAAGACCTCCCATTAGGCCCCACCTCCAACATTGGGGATCAAATTTTAATGTAAGATTTGGAGGGAAAAACGTCCAAACTACAGCACCTGCTATAGAATGTGACATTCACAAAGGCAGGGACTTTGTTCTACTCATTGCTATACCCCAGCACCTAAACCAGTGCCTGACTCAGTAGGTATTCAACAGCATTTGTCAAATGAATGTTGAATGAAGAGAAGAGGAAGGAGGAGAAGGGAGAAGCACATATTATGAACTTACCATAAACCATGCCAATATGGGGCTTTACATATGTTATTTTATTTAATTCTTACAATATTACAGACAGAGAAATTAGCCAGAGAGTTAAGTAAAAATTGCCTAAACTCACAAAGCTATAAAACATTAGATTGTGAAGCAGAGTTTGAACCCAAACCTATTTGTTTCAAATGACATGTCCCTTCCAGTATGCCAAGGAGCAGCTGAAAGGGATTGCTTCATGTTTGTAAGCAGTGCCAACTTATGAAGGGACAGATGTCTTTAGTTTGTACTCTGGATTTTCACTCACACTTGAGCTGCATTAAATTGTGCAACTAGACTATGTGTTGAACCTAAATGACTAATGCGAGCCAATGGGCTGTTGCTTGGCACTTGGAATTTAATAAATGTTTGCTGGATGGTTGGATGGAGAGGGGAAGAAGGGAAAGGTCAAGAATTAGAAATAAATTGCTTATACTGAAAATATACTTCTCCTTGATCTCTTTTTAAAATTGAGTTAAATTTTTTAAAGTATTGAGTACAATTGTAAAGAGGTTGAATCTGCCAGATTCAGGAACCTGTTCGTTACCCTTGCTTAATCCCACCAAAATATGGGTAAAATTGATTTTTTTTAAGCCATGGGATTCTTAGCCCAAAATATATATGCACGTGGGCAGAAGCCTCCAAGCTTTATAAGGCTGACCCTTGTTCTAAACCTATTTAGCACTGGCAAATATCCCAGTGGTGGTTGCATTTCCAAACCCCAAGAGAGGAAGGCAAAATGAAGTTGCTGGAGTTGAGTGAATCTGCAGATGGAGCTGCGTGGAAACGCTGGGGAGGGAATAGCAACACACACAGGATTCAGGTATTTTTTTTCCAACTGTTCACTGACCAAAAATGGCAATCTCCAAATTCACACCTGCTCCACTCTGAAAAATTAGATGAGGTCAGACTTATTTTGGTTTGGCTTGGAGAACAAAGCCTCTCATAGAGCCCATACTTTCTCAGGAGGTGCTCACTTTTAAATCGCAGTTCTCTGTGAATCCCAAGTGCTGTTGAATTCTGTGTGGAGGGTTGCTGGGCACATATCGGTAATACAGGGGATCCTTGGAGTGAGACGGTAAAAGAACAGAAATGCTAGTTGTAAAAGCATGGATTGAGTTGATTACAGTTAAATTTTTCCTTTCACCTATGGAATTATAAGGAAATAAAGGTTTCACGAACTGGAAAATACATGGTTGATTCAGAAGTTTTTAGACCATTGGAACCTTTTCTCACTACTCCTATCTCCAAAGCCCCCGGTATTGCGCAAGCCCAAATAGGACACCTATTCATAACATTCCTGAGGTAGACCTCCTCCCAAAGGTATAAGTTTTTTTTTATTTATTTATTTAGAGACAGAGTCTCGCTCTGTCACCCAGGCTCCCCGGCTGGAGTGCGGTGGCACAATCTTGGCTCACTGCAACCTCTGCCTCCCGGGTTCAAGCGATTCTTCTGCCTCAGCCTCCTGAGTAGCTGAGACTACAGGCGTGTGCCACCCTGCCCAGCTAATTTTTGTATTTTTAGTAGATACGGGGTTTCGTCATGTTGGCTGGGCTGGTCTTGAACTCCTGACCTCAGGTGATCCGCCTGCCTCAGCCTCCCAAAGTGCTGGGATTACAGGCACACGCCACCATGCCCAGCCCCCAAAGTTATAAATTTTAAAACGGGGACGTGAGATACCATGAAAGTCACCACTGCAGAAATATTATAAGGGCTATTATGATATAAGGCAGTAAAATTAAAAGTAAGAAATAAAATCTGATTCCAAATCACAAGATTTTTCTTTACTCAGCAGCCCTACTCTGCGGCAGTTTGAGCTTTACAGGTTGGTGCAGAGTATTTTTGCATAATTGTCAGCTTAGCTTTAGTGCTCATTCAAAATGACTTGTTCCTCCTAGAAAGTCAGCCCCCTGAAGAACTGAGCCTGTTCAAAGAAGCCTCTAAGGCTTCCCTTTTTATAAACTGGATGTGGTAGGCCAGAATTATCCAGATAAGCTGTTTCTGTTTGGACAGCCATGCAGGAAAGGGGCCAGTAAGGCATCTTGCAATGTGATGGGCTAGGCAAGCCAGAGCTGCTTCTGTGTGCCCGGAGTGCCAGTTCCAGGAGCTCCCACCTGCTGCCCAGGTGCCCCAAGCCAGACAGGCCTCTCCTCACCATCTGCCATGAGCTGGGTGTCCAGGAGAGCCAACAGGTACTCCCTCACATGCTCACCTGCTTCTACCTATACAACACACACAATTACTCTGGCCTCGGATATCTAACTGTTAGCCCGACCACACACCTCTGATTTATGAAGGGAGTGAAGCATCCTCCAGACACAGAAGAAGTGAATGCAACAATGCAACACATAAACGACTATTGGCAGTAGCACCTAGCTGTGTGAGATGCACAGGCTTTGGAGTTAGAGCCAGCTGGGATTGAGTCCTTGCACTAGCTGTGTGACTGCAGGCGGGTCACTTAGCTCCTCAAGGCTGAGTGCTTCCTTTATAAAATCTAAGCCACAGTACGCTCCTCATAGAGGTTTTAAGAAGACAAAACAGGTAACATGTGTGAAGTGATGGGCACACGCTTGGTGCTGAGTGAAGGGCTGCTCCTGAAATCATTGTGTATGTGAAAGCACATTGAAAACTCCCACTCTCCACTCAAGTTAGTTATCCATGGCATTTGCTGTCATTAGCAGATGCTATCAAAATAAACACTAGTCAGACATTTCAGAAAGTTCAGCCAAGCAGGAACAGGTTCCTTTTCTGCTTATTGCACTGTGGAAGCAATAAGTCAAGGATCTCTTCGTTCAGTCATTATTTTACATTCATGAGGCCTCTCCATGAGAGGAAGCACCTCACCCCCTTTTTAAAATGAGGTGTACCAACCTCCACTGAAGGTTAGTTTAAAAAGGGATGATCTCTCTGGCTCCAGAAAGCACTGAGTATCATGTGAAACTTTTTCCCAAGGAGAGTTTGAGGGAGGGACTACCAGAGGAGGTCAGGGCCTGGGCTTCCAGACTGCATTTTCACAGGCTCTGGGGCACAGAATTCTGTTGAGAAAAATTGGTAAAGGGCATGGCCTTGCCCCATGTCAGTCAAATTCACTCTTTAAAAATTCCATTGCAATAATATTTTTAGATAAAACAAAACAAACCTGGCCTTCAGGGACAGCTTCCCTCATTCTGTCAGTTTGGACATGGCAAAATGCTACGCAATAAAAGATTGTGATTTTGTGTTAGAGACTGGAAGAGCCACAGCTCTCAATGTGTGGGCCCGAGACTGGCAGCCTCAGCAGCACCTGGGACCCTGGCAGAAATGCAAATTCTTGGGTCCCATCCCAGACCTGCTGAATCAGAAACTCTGGGGTGGGCCCAGCAATCTCTTTTTACTGGCTGCCCCTCCAGGGAATGCTGATGTGCACCCAGGTTCTAAAACCACTGACTTAGTGTAGTGGGGTTTGCCCTGTAGTTAATTGGTAGGGAACTTTCACTACGTACTTGTATACATGATACTCCTGTGAGATTGGATCTCTAAGGAAATTGAAGATCAGTTAAGTTGTGACTTGCCCAGAGTCTCACAGCTGATAAGTTGCAAAGCCAGGATTTGGGCCCAGGTCCCTCAGAGGCCCAGGTATAGGAACAAAAGGTAACAGATGAAAGTTCGGGCTCTGGAGCCAGAGTGTCAGGGTTGAGATCCTAGCTGGGTCACTTAAGCTCTGTGTGTCCCCAGGCAAGTTGGTTAACCACTCTGTGCCTCTATTTCCTCATCTGCAAGCCTCTACCTCATGAGGGTTTTGTAGAGATTCAATAAGATAATTCTTGTAAGGCAGTTGGAGCAATAGCTGGCATATAGTAAACACCCAGTAAGTGCTTTTTTAAAAATTGTTGTTGTTATATAGCCTCTCAGAATTGTGGGGTGGAAAAAATACATAGCATCTTCCCTTGGGTCTTTTCCTTGGCATTGACCAACGTGATAGTCCAAAATGCCAATAAAAACAATCAACAGCCTCTCTCTCCCCGAAGGCTCTTTCAGAGGCCACCTATTCCAGCCCTAAAGAGGCCCCCGATACTCGCTTGAACCCCATAAAATAGCCGTCCCTTCATTGAGCCAGCCTCCTTCGTGAACACATCACATGCCAACTGCCCAGCTATACATAGCTCAGGCCTACTTTGAGGGCGGCAGAAAGTGACAGGAGATTACCGGAGAGAAACGTCGGCTCTCTGGTTTCAGGGAAGGACACACAGTTGTTGAATTGCTTGACATGTTGCCAGATGGCATGAGGGACAGTGGGTACAAACAGCCGTTTGGCTCTTGGCTTACATGAAAAGAGCAGGGTTACAGCCAGGGTGTTTTTAATGACTGGCCTGAGGGACATTCACTTGGAGCAGAGATCTGTGACATTTTCCCCGAGGCTCAACTTTTTTTTTTTCAGATTCTTGGCCCTGCAGAAAGTAATCCCCACCCACCTCCCTTCAACAAGTAACCACCTCCTTTTTCTTTATGACCCTCCACCTCCCCACCTTCCCTCTGACTGTGTAGTAAATTAGTCTTTCTCCTCTACAAAGACAGTTCTTGGGAAATGGTACAAATATAACTTTCTTCCTGTCTTTCCCTGGGTTAGAGCTGGTAAGTCCTATGAAGAGACTGGATTGGGTGGGGTCTTTATGGAGGTATTGGATGTGCTGCCCTGGGAGCCCCAGCGGCAGTCACGCAGCACAGGGCGCCCCTCTCGCCTCTGTGTGACACCTTGAATAAGCGAGACACACCTGCTCTAACATGTCTTTGCCACCCACCCAGCAGTTTAACTCCCAGTGCTTGGCTTCTGTCTCAGCTCTTCTCTAAAAGGTCACCCGTGACTTACCAGTCCTGAGATGAGAGGCCTCATGGGGGTCCTACCCCTCCTTGACTCCCTGCAACATTTGATATGACCACCCGCTCCTTTGTGACTCTGGAGTCACTACACCAGGATCCTTTCTCTCCCCGCACTTCTCCCATAGCTCCGCTCTGCCTCCAGGGTAGGCTTCTTTCTCTTCCTTCTGAGACAGCCAGCCCTTGACCCTGTGGCTTTCTTTCATACTCGTCTCCCAAAGATGTCACCTGTCCTCAAGCCTTGACCTCTCACGCAGGACCTCTCCCCCGAGCCCTAGATCAGCACCTCCGGGTCTGGGCTGGACTGCCGTGACTGTGAACTCTCTGGGTCTGAATCCATGCTGAGAAGCTTCCCCAGTTCTGTCATGCCCTCCTGCCATCACTGTGTGTCCTCCACTTTGTTTCCTCATGGGAGACCCTCAAACTATTTTGCCTCCTCCCTCTTCTTTGATCTCTCTCCCTTTTCTCTCCAAAACCAAGGAAGACTTACCAGGTCTGACTGATTCTCAACTTGTAGCACCACCTGCACGTGTCACTTTTTCTCCCACTGACACTGTCTTGGTCTGAGATCAGAGACATCTCTCACACAGACTAGGACATCAGCCTCCCAACTGGTGGCCTTTCCTTTCCACTCTCCTTTCTGTCTGCTCTACGCACTCAGATCCACTCTTGCCAAACACAACTTAGTCATATTACTCTTCTACTCAGACGATCCCCAAATCAGAGCTTCCAGTCCTAGTAGTTAAGTCCTTCACACTTTTTTTCTAATGTGATTTTAACACAGGACTTCTTTCAGCACCCCAAATAAGCCCACTGTTCAAGCAGGTCAGCCTGTTCTCCTGCACACCCCTGCACATTCCCACCTGCAAACCTTTTCTTATACCATTTCTTCCTCCTGGGATGCCCTTGCAGCCCCCTCCGCCTATCCACACACTCCTCCTCCAAGTTCTAGCTGGCCTCCCCTTTTCTAAACAGCCTCCCTCTTCATTCATTCATTTACTGAAGAAACTACCGCTTTTATTTGTTTTTATTTTTTATTTTTGAGATCTAATCTGTTCAGGTATTACGCTAGGTGCTGGAGATAGCATGGGAGAAAAACAGACGTGGACATAGAGCTTACAGGCTACAACATGGACAATTGCTAGACAAAGAATCATATAAATTAATGTGCACTTGCAACTGTGAAATGGTTGCAAAGGAAAAGCATGGAGTGTGATGATCAAGGGTAAAAAGGGAAAAATTGAGATTGGGAGTCAGGGAATGCCTTTTGAGGAACTGACATTTAAATGCAGACTTCAAGGAAAGTAGAAACCAGCAAACAGTCGGGGAAAAGGAATTCTATTTGGAGTGAGGGGTGTGTGTAGAAGCAGAGCATGTGTTGGTGGCTTTGTGTGAATTAGAACAAGGCGTCCCTGCAAGAAGCTGAAGCTTCAACTGGCCTAGGGCTTGAGAGCACAGCTGAAGGAGGTGATCCTGTGCAAACACCTGAGCCAGGAATAAGCTTGATGTTTTGCGGAGCTGAAGACAATTGTATTAAGTAAGAAATAGAGTGACCCCAGATGAGGCTGGAAAGACAGGTGGGACAAAGAGTGCAGGACATTCTTGGCCATGTTAGGGATTTAGGTTCATCCTGAGTGCATGGAAATTTAATCCACAGTATTCATCACAGCCCACTGGGCTCTGCAGGATTTGACCTCCCAGCCCACAAACTCTCTAAGTCTCCACAGCCCTTATTTTTTTGTCCTACTCCTGTAGCACCTAGAGCTATTTTTTTTTTTTTTAAGATGGAGGCTCACTCTGTTGCCCAGTCTGGAGTGCAGTGGCGCAATCTCGGCTCACTGCAAGCTCCACCTCCAGGGCTCACGCCATTCTCCTACCTCAGTCTCCCGAGTAGCTGGGACTACAGGCTCCTGCCACCAAGCCCGGCTAATTCTTTTGTATTTTTTTTAGCAGAGATGGTGTTTCACCGTGTTAGCCAGGATGATCTCTATCTCCTGACCTCGTGTTCCGCCTGCCTCGCCTCCCAAAGTGCTGGGATTACAGGCGTGAGCCACCGCGCCCGGCCCTAGAGCTATTTTTTTTTAATGAATTTCCTACCTCCTTAAATCACAAGGCCCTTGGAGCTGACACGTGTCTTACACATTTTTGTTAACACAGTAGGTTCTCAATTAATAATTGTTCTCTTTCCATTATAACACTTTACACTATGGCATTTTTGAATTGGCACAAGATCCAGAACCCTAGCCAGCTGTCATAATATTAAGAAGAAAATCTAATGTTTACTAAGCACTTACTGCATGCCAAGAACTGTGCCAAGCACTTTACATGCATTATTTCAGTTAATCATCAAAACAGTCCCATTGAATAGATATTGGTATTGTCCACTTTTTACACTGGAGTCACAGCACAGGCTTGTGGACAAGTCAATAATACGGGTCTCTGATTCCAAGCCCTGTGCACTTAACAACTGGGACATAGTATCCATGAGTCATTTATTCATTCGAAGATGAGATCTACTTGGATCCACCCTGTCATTAGGTGCGATACATACCTACAGGATACAATCTTTTAACAAGAGTAAAGCTATATTATAAATATCCACTTCTTTCCTATTGAATTATGCATATTATTTAAATAGAATTTTTAGGCTGGGCGCGGTGGCTCATGGCTGTAATCCCAACATTTTGGGAGGCCAAAGTGGGAGGATTATTGAGCCCAGGAGCTCAAGACTAGTCCTGGCAACAAAGCAAGACCCTATCTCGACAAAACTTAGACAATTAGCCAAGTGTGTTGGTGCAGGCCTGTAGTCCCAGCTACTCAGGGGACTGAGGTGGGAGGATTGCTTGAACCTGGGAGGTCAAGGCTTCAGTGAGCCGTGATTGTGCCACTGCACTGCAGCCTGGGCAAAGGAGTGAGACCAAGTCCCAAAACAAAACAGAACAAAACCTTAAGGACCTTAAAATAACTTTTAAAAAACACTTTTTTGTACTTAAAAGAATCAGCAATGGTTAAAGCAAATCCTAATGTTTCTAGAAAGAATGAGCACTGACCAATGCCCAGAGGCTGCATATAACCAACCGATAAGAGACAACCCCATTCACTAGGATGGACTATCTGAGAGGTAACTGACCAAACAAACAAAACCAGCAGAGAAACAGTTGTACGTCAACAGGAGAAAATTGCAATCCTATATGAAAAGTCTGTACTAGTTTTCTGGGAATTTAGGAGATATATTGACTCTACCTTTTTTTCTCACGTATGTAACTCTTTGTCACTGTATTTGATGACAAGTGCTTCTAACTCCTTGGCTCACAAGGCCCTTGAACTTGTGAAGTACTTGGACCAATCCACCCATTCATCCACAAGTATGCTGAGTGTCTCCAAGAAACTGCAAGATACAAAAGAAGCACAAAACAGGGTCCTTCTTCTTATGGAGGAAAGAGTCACAATGTAGAGACTATACACAACTCTAATGATTACACAATAAGTGCCAGAGTACTGTGCCCTTGTGAGGGGCTTTTTGAGTTCCAGAGAGGAGAATGGGGTGAAAGATGAACATGGAGCTGCGCTCTGCAGCCAACGGTGGCCAGGACTGGTAGCGACCTGAGAATGCAGTGAGACTAGGTTGCAGGAGAGAAGGGAACATGTGAGCTGCAGATTTAGGGCCAAAGTAAAGGTGGAGGCAAGGCCAAGCCAAATGTGAGAGGTAGACAGACTCCTGCCTGCCCCACTGGCCCAGCAGAGGCTCCTGGCTGCCATGTCAGGAATCACCTACCTGGCACCCTTGGCTCCCATGAAGGAGACTTGCTAGGACTGGCGGCAGTGACCACAGAACTCAAGTGGGCAAGTTTTGGGTCTTATCAGCGTGGGAGGCAAGAGTGATGGGAATTCTGGAGGGATTTTGCCTAAGGGTGCCAAAGAGGAGGTGGGAAAGTCTCAGTTAGGCATGGGATCCTGGCCCATGTGTTATTGCCTGCTCTGTTTCTCCATCTATGGCACAGGACAGTGATTGGCTGTATTTAGTTAACCAGGGAATCGGGAAAAAAGAATCGAGTTCATTTGAGATAGCACCTCCCACTCATAAATCTTCAAAAATCACATATAAATATCCATAAGATAACCAGAAGGCCATGCTTTACATGCCTACGAGAGGCACACATTTGGATCTACCTAAAACCAAATAAAACATGGTAGTGCGTACCTAGGAGAGATCAGAGTTAAGTTCTCTGTTTAATTCTCAGAGTTAACTTCTTATTTTATGTCATTGGTTATTCTTACTATTATTAATACATCTCTCCTATGCCAAAGGTAGAGAGAGGGGCTTAAAGAGCCCAGCAGTTAGAAGAGCACTGTGTCATATCACTTTGGATGTGCTGACAACCATTTATAGCAGTGTTTTTCAGAGTCTGTCTTGAGATCTGCTGTATTAGAATAATGGGGTGTGGTAGTGTGGTTTATAAAAACGTAGATTCCTGAGCCCCACCCAGGTCTATTTTCTACTGTATTGTGCTGAGGCCCAGGAAGCCCCACTTTAGTCCCTGGGTGATTCTTATGCACACTGAAGTTTAAGAACCACTGTCAGAGGCTCACGTACTAGGAGTAAGGAAACTTACTATACCGCAAAGCCATTAGGTACCATCATTACTGACTCTGAGTGATATACAAGGGAACATTTAACTTAAGATTTTGACAGCACTAAATAGAACACAGGGGCTTATGTTGGAAACCAGAAAAGTCATTAAAAAATGGCTTTGTCTAACAGATTAAATGCAATAGAGTGAAGCCAAGTGACTTGCAGAAAGGTTGGTCTGTTTAGGCACTGCAGAAAATCTCAACATGAGTCATACATAAACACTGATGATGCCTTTCATCTTAAGTGTTGCCTAGTTACAGGCAAAATAAAAGAAATAAGAGAAAGCTGAATGAGGGGTGGGGGTGGGGGTAGGCTTATTTGTTACCTGCCATTCCACTCCCACCCCTCAGTCCCCAACCACCAGAGGTATTCCTCGGAGCTGCTCTTGGTGCTTCTGCTCACAATCCTTGCTCTTCGAAGAAGGGAAACAGTTAGAAGCCAGAGAGAAAGAAAGAGGCTGGGAACAGATGAAAAGGTCTGGGAGGGAAGAATAAATATGCAAAGAAAAACCTTAAGATATTCAGAAGAGGAACTCTGAAGGAGAAGACACAGATTCTAGGAACAATGAAAGGAAGACATAAAAATGAAGAAGATATCAAAGAAACAAACATAGAAAAGAAAGTAGAGGGATTTATAGTATGAGTTGTAGAGCCAAACAGATCCAGGGTCAAACCATCAAGAAGACAATAAATCCTAAATGTGTCTGGACCAAACAATAGAACTGAAAAGTACAAAAAGCAAAAACTGATAGAACTGAAAGGAAAAATGAATAAACCTCTAAGAATGGGAAAGAAACAAAAAATTTAAGAAAACAAGACATTCTTACCACTCTTATTCAAAATAGTGCTAGAAGTTCTCACCAGTGCAGTAAGTAAAGATAAAGAAATAAAATGGCATGCAGAAAAAGGAAGAAATTATTAGCAGGTGACAAAATTGTCTACCTAGAAAAATCCCAAGGAATCTACAAAACAAAAACCTCTTAGAACTAATAAGTGAGTTTAGCATTAACATTAACAAATTAATTGTATATCTATATACTTGCAATAAACACATGGACATGAAAATTAAAAATACAATACAATTTACAGTAGCTGAAATAATTTAACTGATTAGATATAAATCTAACAAAATGTGTGCCAGACTTGTAGGCTGAAAACTATACAATGCTGATGAAAGAAACCAAAGAAGATCAAATAAATGGAGACATACCATATTCATGAATTGGAAGACAACATAGTAAATATGTCACTCTCCCCAAGTTTATACACAGATTTAATGCAATTGCTATCAAAATTCTAGTAATATTTTTTTTTGTGTATAAACAAGATTATTCTGAAGTTTATACAAAAATGCTAAAGGACTAGGATAGTTAAAGCAATTTAGAAAAATAAAGAATAAAGTGAAAAGAGATAGTCTACCTGCTTTCAGATATACTTGATCCTAGCTACTGCAATCAAGACTATGTGGTGTTGGCAGAGGAACAGACATATAGAGCAATGGAACAGAATCGAGAAACCACAAATAGACCCACATGAATATGCCAACTGATTTTTGACAAAGTTACAAAAGCAATTGAATGGATGAAAGACAGCCTTTTCACCAAAAAATATCGGAACAGTCGGACATCTATTGGCAAAAAAAGAAAAAGGAACCTCAACCTATCTTAAATTTTATCAAAGTGAATCACGAACTTAAATATAAAATGAAAAACTATAAAATTTTTAGAAAAAATAAGAGAATTCAGGATCTGAGGCTAGACAAAGAGTTCTTGGACTTAATATCAAAAGTACAATCCATGAATGAAAAAAGTGATCAACTGGACTTCATCAAAATTGACAATTTTTGTTCTGTGAAAGATCCTATTAAGAAGATGAAATGATTAGGATATTGAATGTTCTCAACACAAAAAAGTGATAAATATTTGAAATGACAGGTATGCTAATTACCCTGATCTGATCACTATACATTATATGAATCAAAACATCACTGTGTACCCTATGGATATGTACAATTATTATTTGTCAAATCAAAAAAGAAGATGAAATAACACACATACAGAGTAAAAAAAAATGCTTGTAAACCATATATCTGAAAAAGGACTGGTATTTAAAAAAACTCTCAAAATTCAACAGCCAAAAAGCAATCCAGTTGAAAAATGAGCAAAAGATGTGAACAGGCATTTCATAGTAGAGAACATACACATGGCAAATCAGGACATTTAAAAATGCTCAACATTGTTAGCCATTAGGAAAATGCAAATTAAAACCACAATGAGATAGCACTACATACCCGTCAAAATGACTAAAATGAAAAATGGTTATGCTACGAAGTCCTGACAAAGACGTGGAAAAACTGGATTATTCATACCTTGCTCATGGGAAGGTAAGACAATACAGCTACACTGAAAAATATTTTGGCAGCTTCTTTAAAAACTAAACATGTAACTGCCATACAACCCAGCAATTGTACTATTAGACATTTATCTCAGAGAAATTAAGACTAATATTTAACTCAAAAACCTATACACTAAACTTTATAGCAGCTGTATTCATACTAGCCAATCACTGGGAACAACCCACATATCCTTTAATGAGTGAATGATTAAACAAACTATGATACATTCATACCATACATTCTACTCAGCAATAAAAAAAAAAACAGCGTATCGATACATGCAACAACCTAGACAAATCTCTACATAATTACACTGAGTGAAAAAAGTCAGTCTGAAAAGGTTACATACTATATAATTCCATTTACATAACATTCTTGAAATGACAAAATTATAGGAATGGACAACAAATTAGTGGTTGCCCAGGGTAAAAGAGGGGATAGGGACACGAACCAGTGGGTGTGACCATGAAGGACAACAGAGCGATCCTTGTGGTGGTGGAAATGTTCTGTATCTTAACTGTATCAATGTTAATATCCAATTTGTAACATTGTACCTCCGTTTTGCAAGATGTTACTGTTGAGGGAAACTGGGTAAAATGTACAAGATATCTCTCTGTATTATTTCTCACAACTGCATGTTAATCTACAATTATCTTTTTTCTAAGTTTAACTAAAAAAAGTAGTATTAATATTTCATGATCTGTCTGGTAGCATCTCCATTCTGTTTCTGTTTCAAGTCCCTGTTCAAACAGATGGCAAGAATTAGGTCTCAGTCCTGAAGTAAGCAAGTATTGCCTACTTGCTCATATCTGCATTGCAGGAAGCTTAACATAATGCCAATCTTGTGCTTGATGTCATCATCTATGCTGGTGTCTACCCAGAGAAGTTTTCAGCTATCTGTCCATCTAGGACACTGCTGCATCCTCTTGGCCTTTGGAGCCGAACCCCTGACCCCCGATACTCTACTAGTCTCAGTGTGCTTCAGGAAACCTTGAGAAGACATCTCAGGTCTATTCACCCAATGGGCATTCCTACTTCACAAGCCCAGGAGTGGGGGAATTGAGCGCAATGTTTGGATATTGAGGACATAGGCCTCCTTTATTCTTAGGTCCTCTTGTGTTCCCACTCTGCCCCAGGTACATTTGGCAGCTAGAGAAGGGCTCAGGGCCCCTTGTCAGGCACCCATGCTTCCTTCCTGATTCTTCTTTCTCCCGATCCAGGTTTTATCTACTCCAAGGGCAGAAACTGGTATGTGACAGTGGATATATTCTTCCAAATTTTCTGTCTTAGGTCTGCTCCTCAGATTTTCCCTCCTTGATTCTCAGCATTCTCCTGAATCATCCTTCCCCTGAGGGGACAAGAATACATTTCCTTTGCTGCTGCTCAACTTGGTCACATAGTAACAGCAAGTATAGAGGAAACCCTTCCATTGATACATGAGGATAGTAATCCTGTAATATTTTCTACCATCTTTCTGCCCTTAGCACACTCATCTTTCCATTTGTTTCTTCAGCTTGTGGCCCAGGTCCTTGAACATAAAGCTATAGGCTTTGTGATGGTGGATGCCAAGAAAGAAGCCAAGCTTGCCAAGAAACTGGGTAAGTGTGATTTTTGAGATACTGTATGTGGGAAAGAAACGAATGTGTCTTGCAAAAGGAAAAGTACAGTTGCAATTATTCTTGCATAAGCGGACTATCTTTTAAAATATATAAAATGATCCTGCATACCTTCATCTTTGGTTGGAGAAGAGTTTCATAAAAGTAAATATAGGCCTGAATTGAATGGTTTCACATTAATCATGTAAGAGATTGTTGTATCAGTACGATGAAGAGGGTTTCTTCCTGGAGAAATTGATGCTAAAGAGTCAAGCTTTTATTTTCAGCTTCTAAAGCAAGCTAAAAGTCCAGCTTCTCTTATCTCACCACTGTGGTGATCTCTCTGAGAGAGTTAAAAATTCTCTTCTTTCATCATGTATTATTTCGTTGCCTTGCGGCTGAAGCAGCCAACAAAAGACAGCATTAATAGTAATAATTCCAGGGTAACAGTGCTTTTTAAATTTAAGGTTAAACCCCAGTTGGGCATTATCACCAAGGATGAGAGGGGAGGACATAGGTGAGGTATGGTTAAGTGACCGCACATGGAAGTTGTACTCTCTAGTGTCGATATGTCATGCTTAAGTGCAGTGCACTTTAGGATTCACAACCCTGTAATCCCAAAGAGAGAGAATGGAGGTAGTTCCTCTGGTTTTCTTTTTCTTTTCTTTTTTTCTTTTTTTTTTTTTTTTGAGACAGGTTCTCACTGTCACCCAGGCTGGAGTGCCGTGATGTGATTTCAGCTCACTGCAACCTCTGCCTCCTGGATTCAAGCGATTCTTGTGCCTCAGCCTCTTGAGTAGCTGAGATTACAGTCACACGCCACCACGCTCAGTTCATTTTTTTTTTTTGTATTTTTATGAGAGACAGGGTTTCACCATGTTGGCCAGGCTGGTGTTGAACTCTTGATCTTGAATGATCTGCCTGCCTCAGCCTCCCAAAATGGTGGGATTACAGGCGTGAGCCATAGCTCCCGGCCCGCTCCTCTGATTTTCAAACACTGACACACATGTACTGCCCATTTGGCTTTTTCTGCATGACCAGTGAAGAATGGCTATTAAAAAAAATAGCGGGTTATAAAACAGGATCTTTGAAGAAAGGTTAATTGGATTTGGAGTAGTAAGTACAGAAAAAAAAAAAAAAAGATTAGTGGTGGCTCAGTGAATACTTTCAGGTACATAAAAGTCCGTTATCCTGGAAAATTACAGACAACTGTTTTCTATTTTATTTTCAAGAAGACCAGTCTTTTTTTAAAAAAAAGATTTAAATTATAGGAAACTATTTAGGACTATACAATGATAATGAGTTATTAAGAATGTCTGGGCACTTTGGGAGGCCAAGGGCAGAGGATTGCTTGAGCCCAGGAGTTTGAGACCAGCTTGGGCAACATAGAAAAACCTCATCTCTACAAAAAATTTAAAAATTAGCTGGGCATGGTGGCATGTGCCTGTAGTGCCAGCTACTTGGGAGGCTGGGATGAGAGAATGGCTTGAGCCAGGGAGATCAAGATTGCCGTGACTTCTGCCTGCATGATTGTGCCACTGCACTACAGCCTGGGCAACAAAGTGAGATTCTGTCTCAAAATAAATGAATGAATGAATAAATAAATAAATAAATAAATAAATAAATAAATAAACAAAAATAAAGAATGCTTGGGATGTCTCTTTCCCTGGAGACACATTGAGGGATATTTTTCTCCCTTGAGTATGGGAGCAAAATATGTTAAACTCTTTCCCTAGAGTCAAAAACAGTTTAATGGCTGGGCACAGTGTAATCCCAGCACTTTGGGAGGCCAAGGCAGGCGGATCACAAGGTCAGGAGATCGAGACCATCCTGGCTAACACGGTGAAACCCCGTCTCTACTAAAAATACAAACAAATTAGCCGGGCATGGTGGCGGGTGCCTGTAGTCCCACTACTCGGGAGGCTGAGGCAGGAGAATGGCGTGAACCTGGGAGGCAGAGCTTGCAGTGAGCCGAGATCGCACCACTGCACTCCAGCCTGGGAGACAGAGCGAGACTCCATCTCAAAACAAACAAACAAACAAACAAACAAACAAACAAACAGTTTAATGAGTTCTGTCTCCTCCCCCAGCAGTCTCTTGATTCTTCTTCTGCCTTCCCATTGGTTTAATGAGAAGTTGCATTTGGGAGAATTTCCAGCAAATTTAGTTAGAGAAAAATACTAGTGTCCCAGTGATCTAAAAATTTTGGGTGGACAAGCTGGGCAAGTATACATAAAAATAGACTAGCAAAGAATATGATGGCGCTTGATACACTGAAACAAGCTCAGTTTGGAGGAGTTGGGGTAGGTTCCTTCCGGTTATTTGATCCCTGGGGGTTTATAGGAGAGTGGAGGTATTTTGTGAACCTGCTCCTTCATCTTCATTTCTTTTCCATTTGCCTTATTTTGGCCTCTATCAAGTTGTGCCTCAACAATTGCAGTAGTCTTCTTACTGCGGTTTTGCTCAAGACAAAATCCAACAGCAGGACACTGGCCAATGTTCCCTAGGGCACCTTTTGAGATTGGCCATCATTGATATCAAGAAAATCTGGCAGGGCCAGACACGGTGTCTCATGCTTGTAATATACATATATAGTATAATTTTTCATATATAAAAAATATATAATTTTTCATATATACTTATATATGAAAAATTAGCCAGCATCATAGCACATGCCTGTAGTCTCAGCTATTCAGGAGGCTGAGGCAGGAGCCATGATCATGGCCCTGCACTCCAGCCTGGGTGACAAAGGAAAACCTTGTCTCAAAAAACAAACAAACAAAAAGAATACCTGGCACATTGCTCCTTTTGATTTACAAATGGTGCCTCTACCATTTCCCGCCCATGTGCCAGAGGCTGCTTATACCTCATGCATGCCTTGGGACACAGCAGGCTGCAGTCCAGCTTTCCTGTCCCTGGACGTTCTGCAGAAGAGTTCATTTGGAGAAAACTTTCTCCAGCTAACAGACTTTTACAACAATCTAAGGAATTAAGGATGCCAGGCAATTGGACTAAATGCCAGCTTTGTTTATTTAACATTCCTAAGGAGGAAAATGCATTTTTCCAACAAGCATTTGTTAAGGTACACAACATCAGACCAAGGGTGCTAAAGGGCAGCAAAATAAGAAGACGCTGAGCCTGTCCTTGCAGCATCTACCAGCCAACTGGATAAAGAAGATGTGTGGGATTCAGCTGGAACAGGAAAGCAAGCTGTCCATCCTGGCCACATACATTAATGGGTTGCTGATGTACACAGCCTCTGTACAAGGCTCTGGGATACCAAGAAGACAATGATCCTACCCTCAGAGAACTCACTTTGATAGTGAAGACCTGTAAATTGAGCTGAACAAAGATCAATAATGGCATGAGTTCAGTGAGATTGAAGTGACCTTTCTTAAGAAAAATGAATCCTAAGCTGAGACCTGAAGAAGCTAAGCAAGATGGAGGTCATTCCAGGCTGGGAGAACAAGAAAAACTAAGTCTAGAGAATAATGCTCAGTGACTTTTCCTTTACTCACCTTTTCATATAAACATGTGGACAGGAAGCAAAGGGAGTCCCACAGGGGACAAGAGAGCAGTTCTCAAAGGAGTACAAGTCTACCTAAGGGAGAATGAAAGGGATAGATTTGGAAACAGATTTTGGAGGGACTTTAAAGCAAGGTTAAGGAGTCAGGTGGGCAGTGGCCATTACAATTCTTTGATAAAGAGAATGACATGGGATCAGCTGTATTTTTGGAAAACTAAAGCAGTGGTGGAGTGGAGAATAGACTTTTCTTTTAAGTCAAAATCCAGCTGGAATTGTTCTGGACTATTTCCAATTAAATGTTCACTTCAGGAGCTCTTCAAAAGTGTTATTTCAAGGCAACTGCTTCTTTGGTTAATGCTAGTTCCACTAATCCTGACCCCACTGTCACCCAGAAACCCTCAGCCAGACCTCAGCCAATACAATCACTCTTCCTACGTCAGGATGACCTTCTCTGTGGGCCTCTTTGTTTCTTACAGGTTTTGATGAAGAAGGAAGCCTGTATATTCTTAAGGGTGATCGCACAATAGAGTTTGATGGCGAGTTTGCAGCTGATGTCTTGGTGGAGTTCCTCTTGGATGTAAGTATTTATACACAGTGACCCTGCATGGAGCTGCCTCTCCTCAAATATAGGGAGAGATAGAACCCCAAAGAAAGGACAAGCTGGAGAACCTGGCCTCATCTGTGACAGGTTTTTCAGGATTCACAAAAAACTAAGGAGCACCTATATTATTGCACTGTCTACTCTACTGGGAAAGTGATCTTTAAGCCACCCTAGAAACTGTTGGGGGCCATGTAGTAGTAATATGCTAATTCTGTTACCAGTTATACATAGACGTCTATTGAAATCTCCTTGGTTTTGCTCCACTGCTACTGAAGAGGAGCTGGGGAATGTGGGGAGTGAGGGGGCTAACCAGCCACCTGAAGAGAGAGGAGGGATGGGAGTACCAATCAGCCAGGTCACCCTGAGTTAGCCACCCTCAGAGCAACATAGAGAAGTGACAGAGCTAAACAGCCCCCCAGTATCACACTTTTTCAGCCATGGACATAGCACAGCCTCATATCCATATGCTTAGACAAACATAGGAACAAACATTATAAAAATATTTCATCCATAGATAAACTCACACTTGCAGTAACCGCTGTGAAGTTCAATGCTTTGAACACATATTCTTGCACAGATAAAGAACCTAGTGTTGAGCATCCATGCCGATGATTCTTTATCTACCAGCCAGTACCCAGTGGTCTATCATTCTTTCTCTACAGTGTCAAAAACCAGAGGGAAGGTCAGAAGTGAGTTGGAAGCTACATTTACCAAAAAAAGTGCCATCTCATGACGCACTGTGCTTGGCCATCTCATTGACTCACACCCACATGCCCTAAAAAAGTTGAGAGGGGTGACAGAACAACTCTGGGACAGCATGGTGCTGCCCCAGCTTTATCAGCTAGGGGGAGGCTTTTGGAAATAAGACTAACTGCTTCAAACAATAAACAATGTGATTGACTTACCTAAGTAGAAGGCTCTAGTTAGAGGAGACTTTAGACTTGATCGAATCCAGACACTGCCTCCATTTTTCTCTGTAAATCACAGATAACTGTGTTTTCAGTATGTTGCTTGTGTCCTCAAGCTGACTATTCTCAAGTTAGCTATAAGATGGCCAGCAGTAGGAACAAATACATTGCATTTCCTCATTCATATTTCATGACAGAAAAACAAATTTGGCTTCCCATTGCCCTTTTAAGAGTAAAGAACTTTTCCCAAAGCCTTCAGCAAATCTGTCCTTATTGGGCCAGTTACTTGCCCATTCCTGAATCAATAACTGGCAGGGGAAGTTATGAAATCCACCTAAATGTCCATCAGCAGATGACTGGATTAAAAAAAATGTGGTACATGGCGGAGCGTGGTGGCTCATGCCTGTAATCCCAGCACTTTGGGAGGCCAAGGTGGGCTGATCACAAGGTCAGGAGATCGAGACCATCCTGGCTAATACGGTGAAACCCCATCTCTACTAAAAATACAAAAATAAAAAAACTTAGCTGGGCATGGTGGTGGGCGTAGTCCCAGCTACTCGGGAGGCTAAGGCAGGAGAATGGCGTGAACCTGGGAGGCGGAGCTTGCAGTGAGCCTAGATCGTGCCACTGCACTCCAGCCTGGGCAACACAGCATGACTCCATCTCAAAAAGAAAGAAAAGAAAATGTGCTATACATACACAAGGGAATACTATTCAGCTTTTTTTTTTTTTAAAAAAAGAAAACTATCATTTGCAACTATACAGATGGAATTGGAGAACATTATGTTAAGTGAAATAAGCTAGGCACAGAAAGACTAATACAACATGTTCTCACTTATTATATGTGGAATCTAGAACACGAGAACTCAGAGAAGCAGAGAGTAGTTGCCAAAAGCAGGATGGGGTGGGGGTGGTGGGAATGGAGAGATAATGATCAAAGGGTGCAAAGCCTCAATTAGACAGGAGAAATAAGATTTTGTTCTTTGAGATATATTGTACAGCATGGTGAATATAGTGAATAATATGTATTACATATTTCAAAATCACTAAAAGAGTAAATTTCAAATGTTCTCACCACAAAAAATGATGAATATTTGAGGTGATGGATAGGTTAATTAGCTTGATTTAATTATTTCACATATTTATAGATCATAGCAACACTTTACATCCAATAAATACATACAACTATAATTTGTCAATCTACAATTAAAAATAAATGTTTTCTAAAACTGGCAAAAGGAATAGGTTGCCCCCACCAATCATTTAACTCTTTAAGTTAAGTTCTATTCCTCAGAAGGTACTGCTGGTATGCTCACTGGGGGATTGTGGGGAGAATGGAATAGATATTTGAGGCACCAACCACAAAGTCCGCTACAACTTCCCTCCAATGCACTCTGTTTCCCCAGTGAAGAAGGAAATCTCTTGTTTGAACATGTGTGTATGTGCGTGTGGCATTTCAGCTAATTGAAGACCCAGTGGAGATCATCAGCAGCAAACTGGAAGTCCAAGCCTTCGAACGCATTGAAGACTACATCAAACTCATTGGCTTTTTCAAGAGTGAGGACTCAGAATGTAAGTTGTCTGCCAACCCCAGCCGATCAGTCTAAAAGCTAGATTCCAAACAAGGTATGTCAGGTTACCCCAAAAGAGGATGGGTCTTCAGCACCTCTTTTGCTGGGTAGAATAGAAGTTAGAATTCTTCCTGAGCCTAACACAGTGGAGTACATGTGCAAAAATTGTACAAAACAGTCAGGAAAGCTGCAAGAATATTAAGGAGGGGCCAGGTTCTCCAGCTTTAAAGCAGGCTGAGTGTTCTACAAAAAAGAGAAAAGCTCTTCTCCACTTTTCCTGCCTACCCACCTCCCAGTCGGATTCTCCCCTACAATGGGACAAGCAATGGGCTGTCTCCCTGGCATTGGTAGCTCCTATGGTCACCAGCTGGAGAGCTTTGCAGTCAATTGGAAAGCATGAGTGGAAAATTGGGGTAGGGATGGGCTTAGCAGTGGCTACAGAATGTGAAAAATCGCTGGCCAAGCCCACAGCTGACCACCAAGGCTACCTGTCATAGTGCAGCCACACCCTTGGACATATTCCCTTTGAAAGCTTTGTGACCAGGTTTTGGGTGGACACAGAACCTATGATAACATCACTACAGCCCATATAGGGATGAGCGGGTGGTGGGGGTGAGTCAGGAAGAGCAGGCAGAAGGGACCAGGAGGAGTAAGCACTTGAGTACTGTACATATTTAAAACTGCTTTGGCAGCATGGCCCCCGTGAGGTAGGCTTTTTTCTGGTATCTCAGCCTTGGAGAGAGGAACAGCATTAGAGCGGGTGAGCATAACTCTGGTAGCATTCATACACGTAGGAAGTACAAATGTGGGCTGCTTATGACTATTTCTGAGAACCCCAAAATATTCTGAAATTGTTTGCAAACCCATTTCTTTAACCAGTCTTCCCACTAGCATCCTTAGTCACCTCATCAACAACCCATTCATTTTCTGTCTCCCATGCCCCAACTTAACCCTCTTTTCATTTGCTTCATTAAAACCTCCATTTACAGTGCTTAAAATGAATGTGCTAGAGGGAGGTGGCTAACCAGGGAGATTTGCCCCAGTTCTTCTTTAGGCAATTTTATTTTAGTTTGTACATTTCCGTATCAGTGCTGACTACTCTGGGGTGCTTCTCCTTCCCCTTCCTTTTCAGTTCGTCTGTCTCAATTTGTTTCCATCTTTATGTTCCTCTATCCTCTTCATCCATGTAGCTCAGGATGGCAGATAAGAGGGAAGCAAAACAAGGTTAGGATAAAGAGCACACCTTTCAGTACCCTTGGCGTCTTCCCCCGCCTAGACGAATCATCATGATAATAGTATTTAATTAACACATTTCATATGCTAGGGCCTATGCTAGGAGCTTATATGGATGCCTTAATTTCATTCTCACAACAAGCCTGTGAGGTGATTATCATTATTACCTGCATGTTAATGATGATGAAAGGATGGAACAGAAAGGTGCAATTAACTTGCCCATTATCACATGGCTAGTATGGTGTACAAAAGTAATATGAAATATATTACATATTGCATTGTAAAAAACCTCCAATTTTTAAAAAAAATTTTGAATGAGAATCTTATGCTTGCCTCAAGAATATAGCTTTTTTTTGAGACCTAGTTTTGCTCTGTTGCCTAGGCTGGAGTGCAGTGGCATGATCTTGGCTCACTGCAACCTCTGCCTCCTGGGTTCAAGTGATTCTCCTGCCTCAGCCTCCTGAGTAGCTGGGATTACAGGTGCCCGCCACCACGCCTGGCTAATTTTAGTGTTTTTAGTAGAGACGGGGTTTCACCATGTTGGTCAGGCTGGTCTTGAACTCCTGACCTCAAGTGATCCACCCGCCTCAGCCTCCCAAAGTGCTTGGATTACAGGCATGAGCCACTGTGCCCAACCCAGGATATAGCTTTTTGATATTAGGTTTTATGCTTAAAATAGCAACATGAAATTCCTTATCAAGATTTTAAATGATGATCTCTTCAAATTCTTGATGGTCACCTTGGACAAGAGACTTCACTTGTATATGTGGATAGTGACAAATGGGAGGACAATATCCATTGCTTTTTCTATTTTTTTTTTTTTTTTTCGGGATGGAGTTTCACTCGTGTTGCCCAGGCTGGAGTGCAATGGTGCAATCTCGGCTCACTGCAACCTCTGCCTCCCGGGTTCAAGCAACTCTCCTGCCTCAGCCTCCTGAGTAGCTGGGATTACAGGCGCCTGCCACCATGCCTGGCTAATTTTTTGTATTTTTAGTAAGGATGGAGTTTCACCATGTTGGCCAGGCTGGTCTGGAACTCCTGACCTCAGATGATCCACCCGCCTCGGCCTCCCAAAATGCTGGGATTACAGGCGTGAGCCACTACGTCCGGCCTGCTCTTTCTTTGACTGATGAGCTTTCTTTTTTTGCCATTGGACATAATTCAGATAATTCCATCTCTAAAGTGTCCTTCAAGGGCACTTAGTTCAATCTGACAGCTATCACTTTTCTTTTCATTGACAAATGTAATGTTCATATTCCTTATAATAATTTGAATGAATTTGAAAGGATTACAGATCTTAATTAAATTTTGTATATCATCAATATTTCAAAATAATAATGAAGCTTTTCCTTAGGAATACACAGATATTGCTCTACTGATCTTAATAATCATTCTTAAAATTTAATAAAATTGCTAGTGAATCATTTTAACCTCTTTTTAAGGTTGAATTTTTGTTTTTAAATGTATAAACTTTGTTAGTACATTATATATTTCACGTAGCCCTTGCAATTTTCAATTAAGTACATTCAAGTAGGTGTTTAGCAAGATCTAGCCTTTTTTGAAGCCAATAATGATCCCTCAAAATATTTTCAAAGTAAGCATAATTCATAGCATAGTTTTAAATCTAGTTTTTAGCTAATAAACTCTGTAAAATTCTTGCGCAGTTAACCCACTTTAGGATGAAAGAGCAGGGAGAGGTCTCCTGAACCCATTTCTTCACCAAAAGCTATAAAGAGAAGGAGTTATACAGGTTTGAATGTTATTGGAGTCACTTTTTAAAAATAACAACCTTTTTGTGGAATGCAGATTCACAGGCAAACCTTTATATGATGAACTTTTTCTCTGAATAAATATTATTTGAATCTCAAGATTTTCAGAAAGAGCTTGATGTAAAGCCTTTACACTTTCTTGTCATTGTAGCTGTACTATCAGTACATGAACTTGGACATTCAAAATCTGACTTCAGAGTTTAACTGTGTATAGAATTCATACACTATAAAGTTTATACATTTAATTGTGTACACTTATTTTGTGCAGTGCTTTCAGAATCTATTTTGACATGTTTATTTACTTCTTTGAATGTTTCATCCCCAACAAATTGGTTTGGTTCTTCTTTGTAAGACAGATGATATTATTCCAAGCATTTCTGGTCAGGGTTTCTAACTGGTGCCATCAACCACACCCAGTTACTAACGTCTGTGATACTAATATCCAGTACGCACAACCCTGAGAGAGGGGGAAGAAAGGAGAGAAAATGCTAAGATAAGTTTTTAGTAAGCTGGAGGCTGGGAACTCAATGTTCAGGAGCCTATTCCAGAAGCCAAAAGAGTCATCAAAGAAAGTGGGAAAGGGGTCTGACTGGAAGGGACCAGGAACAGGCTGGTCAGGAGGCAGGGAAAGCCTAGAGATGACCTGAGCTCCAACAGAGCAGAAGACAAGAGGAGGCTTCTTGGAAAACAACTGCTGTTTGGCTGAGGCTAAAGGTCAAGCCACATTTTGAATCACCCATCTGGAGGTCACCTTGCTCCATTCTTCATCTTAAAGTGATGTAGACCAGCTCTCCAAGAGAGGAAGGGAAGCTCCTGACACAGGCCTAAGCCATTCTTTCCAACAGGGTGGGAGTTCATGGAGGGGAAGAGAAATTCATCAGGGACATGGGGATTGGAAAAGAGGGGGATAGAGGATTCTGATAGAGCCCACTGCTGCTTTAGACACAGATGGCTTAGGTGTTGCTTTAGCCATTCTACTTCCTTACTTTCACTCCATTCATTCTTCAAATGCTCTCAGCCAACTTCTCCCCTCCACCCAATTCTCGACCCCAGCTATGATGTTACAGGATATCTTTTCTGACTACCTGCTTACTTTTATGAGGACAAGTTAGTGTGAGTGTGTATCAGTATGTGCAAGTATTCTCATGACTTTCCAACCCCTCTCTCACCTGTGCTTGCGGCACTCACCTCTGTTGTAACAACTATCATGCTGCATTTTGATTCTTTAAGGATCAATAGCTCTCTCTAGGCTGAGAGCTTTTGAAGATCAGTATCTTTGTCTTATTCATTTTGGTATCCTCTGGATTAACATTGTTCTAAAAAAATTTTGATAGAATCTTAGTAAATTCTGCATGGTCCCAGAATTCTAACAAAGGCTTATACTTCACACGGTTAAGGGAAATGGAATTCCATGAAATGGAAAGAAGCTAATCTTGTTAAGAATAAATCACAGGCTCATTGACTCTCAGGCTTATAGCATTTATTCATAACCACCACCACCACCACCACAATTACCATCACCCTCACAACTAAGGTTTGAGGACAAATCTCTTTCCCAAGTAACTCCCCAGGTGTACCAAGGTACAGCACTCCCACACTCACCTGATCTCATACTGCCTCGGCCAGTATGGACTCAAGTTTGAGACCATAGTCAATCAAGAGCTTGATTAAGTTTAAGAAATCCTCTTGAGGCATCAGAATAAAAAAGAAAACTTTAAAATGAAAAAAAGGGAAAGAAAACTAGAATTCAGCAACAGGAGTACTTCCATGAAGAAGTTTAAAATACTTCTGTGATGTCAATTGTGATTGAGGTTACTTTACACTGTGAGACGAATTTCCTTCTTACTTAGGGCTCATTTATTCTGGCAAACTGCACTCTCTCTAGAGGGCATGATTATAAGTAGCAGTGAGTTAGAATGAAAGGTCTTTTTATTTTGGTTTGGAGTTTTACGCGTCTTTTTCTCTCTCTTTTCCTCCCGGTTCCCTCTGTTTCGTGCTTTCTACCTGCAGTTCATAAAAGTGTGGTGAATGGGTCTTCTCTTGGGCGTTTGAATGCCAGTCAATTCCAACTCCTTGGGGGGAACTATGGGCTTAAATAATATTAAATAACATCTATGTAAACAATACCTACTAAATTATTATCCAATCAGGATTAATTGGCTTTCTACTCTCTACACCATTTAAAAAGAAGATTCTTCTGTGTTCATCTTGAAAATGTCTCTCCCTTCATCTTTATTTTTCCCCTTAGACTACAAGGCTTTTGAAGAAGCAGCTGAACACTTCCAGCCTTACATCAAATTCTTTGCCACCTTTGACAAAGGGGTAAGTACCTATGAAACCCCAATTTGAACAGTTTTGTAGGCATGAAGAATTAAAGTTTGAACTCTCACCACTCTTTCTTTTCTTTTAGCAACATTAACCATCCTCCCTTGCCTCTTTCTCTAGAAGGGTTAAGAATTATATCACTAAATCACTATTGGATTTAAGATGAGTACAAAGATGACTAAGTCAGAGGATGTAAGGATATTTATGAAAACATCCAAGGAAAAGTGATGACCCACCATTATCTTCTTATACACTGAGATGGGAAACGTGTGGGCCCAGAGTGTGCCAGCCCACTGAGCCACTGCTTCCTTTTTCCTTAGGGGGTATCCTCTCCCTTCCTGGGGTTGCATACTTCCCCTTCTACTGCGTCAGGATGGGAAGTAGAATGGGAACTCCTCTGTGATTAGTTCAAGCAAGTGTTCTGCGAAAAACAAGAGGAAGTCAGTGAGCTGAAGCAGGGAAGGGACGTGGTGGGATGAGATTGCATTCAGTTCATGTATATGATGAACCACTTCTGTAGACATGGCCCAGTCTTCAAGCCTATGATCCAGAAGAGTGCTCTATAATCCAAGTAACATAATCTAAACTTGAAGAATGTTTATCCTAATTAGTTGTATTACAGTTGGGAGGGATCTTGAGCAAGAATAATCAAAAAAGCTATCATGTATTAAGTGTCTATTATGGGCCAGGTGCTGTGGCTCACACCTGTAATCCCAACACTTTGGGAGGCTGACGGGGGTGGATTGCATGAGCCTTGGAGTTGGAGACCAGCCTGGGCAACATGGTGAGACCCCATCTCTACAAAAAATACAAAAATTAGCTGGGTGTGGTGGCACACACTTGTAGTCCGAACTACTTGGGAGGCTTGAGGTGGGAGGATCACTTGAGCCCAGGAGGTTGAAGCTGCAGTGAGCTGTGATCATACCATTGTACTCCAACCTGGGCAATGGAGTGAGATCCTCTCTCAAAAAATAAAAATATAAAAAATAATAAATTCAAAAAAATTTTTATGTGCCAGAGTCTGTGCTAAGAAGTCTCTTTGTGCCAGAGTGTGTGCTAAGAAGTTAACATGGATTTTCTCACTTCATCCTTTCAACACTCCCATAAGGGAGGAATTAGTATCCTCATTCTACAGAGGATGAAACTGAGGTGCTGAAAGATTAAGTGATTTTTTCATGATCATGTAGTTACTGAATTGAGAAGCTTGCTATAATCTCAGACCAGCCTGACTTCAAAGTCAATGCTCTGTCCTACTTTACTCCAGAGAAAGAAGCAATATATGCAAACTGCCTAGCTGGTTTTTGGCACACAGGAAGCATTCAGTAATAGTTAGCCAGCTATGAGCACCATTGTTCATAAGAAAGCAATCATCTAGGCCCAGGAAGTGGGAGGATTGGATAGGATATTAGTAGAGAAAGGGAGGAACAGAGAAGCCGAAACTGAATCCATTACTGACATATGGTTCTGATGGACCATTTGGTTCTAATGGACTAGGTGTGGCTAAAGAGGCTCCTGGGTAAGAATCCAGCTGAAAGGAATAGAGAGGCAGGCCAATTAATTTGTCCAGCAACAAAGCCTTAGTTTTTAGAGGGGTGGTTCAACGTTGAGCTCAGGGTAGTATTTGTTTGTAGAAGTGCCTCCTAGTGCAACTGTATAGCTTCATGCCTGTGGTCCATGAAAAAGGTGAGGTCAGGCTATGATTAAAAATTCAGAGAGATGCTTTATTCAAATTCTGTAGGACACTGAGTCATAAGTGCCAGTGTTCATGTAGCCTTGTTGGATTTCAGAATATTTAAAGAGACAAAGGTACACAGAGGGGAGAGCACTGAGAGGACTCTGATGCCATTTGGTGCTTAAGAACTTGCATCCATCAGTTGGGGTGGAGGGGGTGTCCAAGGGGAGATGGTGGAGTCCAGAAGGCATGACTGCACCTGGTAGAGCCTCAGTGGTTTCCAGCAGGGAGTGCTAGGACAGAAGAGGAGAAAAGTAATAAATGTGAAGTGGCTGAAAGGACCTGTTTGTACAACACATCCTAGGGAATCTCAGAGGGACCTGGAGGTGCTTTGTTGAGGTCTGAAACCAGGAGAGGCAAGGGACAAGAAAGCACTAATGCGGTCACAAAAATGCAAAAAACAACTGGCACTAGTAAAAGTGGATATAACAAGAAGATCTGGCCATTGATGAGATGATGAGAGAAGGCCTCAAAATAACTTAAGATAGCAAGTCTTGGCGTTAAGACAGCAAAAATTATGAAGCTACTGAAAACATTAGGAAATCCAGGAAGAAGAATCTATTGAGGAACAAGAGATGGGGTTATGAGTTCTATTTTCTAAAAGTTGGGGAAACATTCAACTGGAAATGTCCTTAATTAATTAATTAATTAATTCAGTCATTCACTCAACAAGTATTTATTGAGTGCCCTTTATGTGCCAGGCACTCTTCTTAGTGCCAGGGACACAACATTGAGCAAAGCAGATTCCTGCCCTTTAGAATTTAAAGTTTATTGTGGGAAAGAGAAGATGGAAAGACAGAAAGTTCAAAAGTAAACAAACCAATAAATACATCATATGAGTTGCAAGACTGTAAAGAGGGTGAGATGTCATGGCTGCTGATGTAAATTTGTCAGTCAGTAGTTCCCAACCACTATCCATATTAGTATCCTCCAACAAGCTTTTAAAACCATTGGTCTCTGGGCCCCAGCCCTGGAAATTTTAATTTTTTAGGGTTGTGGCAGTGTCTGGGAATCTGCATTTTCAAAAGCCACCCAAGGAATTTTAAAGGGTGTGGAGGTTTAGGACCAGTACTGATCTATTAATACTAATCCTAAATCAAGCCACACGAAGGCCCAACCTCTCTGAAGAAGCAGTTAGAACAAGAAAGTGTCAGAGGGCCAAGGATGGTTCCACTCTGCTGCACCTCACAGCCTGAAAAATATCAGTTCTTAAAATCCCATGTCCCCGCCCACTGACCTGTTCCTCTCTCTGTCTGAGTGAACAATGAGACGAAAAATCACTTTCTTTTTTAAATCACACTGGAGCCAAAGGGTGCTGTGACTAAACAAAGTTAGTGGAGAAGATAGATGTTGGGAAGACCTAAATTTAGTAATGGCAAAAACCATTACTTTTGGCAAAAACTGCGATTACTTTTGCACCAACCTAATACTTGAGTTGGTTTCATTGGCAACAACTAAAATGACTTGCTAACTGGAGGAAAAATGATTTGTATCAAAATTCATATACATGCACATGTCAGAAAATTGGCATTGTACTTTGTAGTTTTCTTATCTTTGTTGAAATCTATTCCAACTAGTTAACAGATAAAAGCATGAAAGAATTCATTTTTATGGACCCATTTGGTTCTTAATAATATAATTCATTCTTATATAATGCTAATACCCATGAACCAGATCTCCTCCTGGAATAATGCCTTGGGTTCAGTAGGCCCCACTAAATACTTACTGAATAAATGAATGAATAAAAGCTTCAACCAATCAAATCCCTTCAGTCCTTACCATCCAAGATAGGAATAATAAGAATGAAAGAGGGGGTCGGGCGCAGTGGCTCACGCCTGTAATCCCAGCACTTTGGGAGGCCGAGGGGGGAGGTGGATCACCTGAGGTCAGTAGTTCAAGACCAGCCTGGCCAACATGGCGAAACCCCATCTCTACTAAAAATACAAAAATTAGCTGGGTGTGGTGGCCTGTGCCCATAATCCCAGCTACTCGGGAGGCTGAGGCAGGAGAATCGCTCGAACCTGGGAAGCGGAGATTGCAGTGAGCCGAGACTGTGCCATTGAACCCCAGCCTGGGCAACAAGAGCAAAACTCTGTCTCACCAAAAAAAAAAAAAAAAAAAAAAAAAAAAGAATGAAAGAGAGGGATTCTCTGAGATACAAGATGAGAGCACTCCATGATGGTGGTAGGTAGACAGTGAAGAGATCCCTGGGAAATTTTTACTTAGCATTTCCAAGACTTAAATTAAGGACACGACAATCCAATTTTTACATTCTTAGACAGCACTGTGGACCCAGACATTGGCATTCAGAGACGAGACTATCACCACCACCAGGCGGGTTTGACTTCTGGCTCTGCTCCCTCCAGATATATGATCCTGACAAATTTCTTACCCAAATTGTGCCTCAGGTTCATCATTTGTAAAATAACTATGATAATCATTCTTACCACATACAATCAAAGTGAGAATTAAACAAAGAATCAACCTAAAACACCTGGCAGCAGTGCCTGGCACGTGATAAGCACTCCATATGTTTGTTATTATTACTGTTTTCATTCTGATCACTTCTCCTTTCATGGAAACAGTCTTCTGGTTCCTAGAATACATAGTAAGTGAACTCAGAAAACCAGAATTCAATGTCATTTTCTTGCCCACTCTGGCTCCCTGCCTCATCACCTCATCATCTACATCACCCCCCTACCCCTGAGAAGAGGGAAAAACAGTTAGAAAAAACTCCACATCTCCCTCTCTTAAAATTAACCTGACAATAAAATCTCCCTTGACTGACTATAGCTGTCAACATGGCCTGTTTTCTTGATCTCTGAGTAGGATGCTGGAATTTCTCTCCCTTAAGTACTATATGAAATGCCTTTCAGAATATAGTGACCTGGAATTCATAGCAATTGATGACAAAAACCATATGGATATCAATGTTTCCTCAGAATGGATCTCCTTGTGTAAGAGCTTATGCAATACCCAGCTCCTCCCCTTCCCCAGTTAGTTGCAGCCGCCCTGGGTCACGGCACCACGGGTTACCACCACAGTGCATCAGCTCTTAGGCAATTCCTCTTCAGCTTAAAGGGAACCACTGTTCATCCCTGCGCTTTCTTGAACCACAGCTCTGAACTAGAAAAGAGTGGCATTTGGTTTTCTATAGAGCGTTGCACATTCCAGGCCTCTGAAATCATTTCACAAACAGAGGTCCTGAGTTCAGCAGCTGTGCAGGCAAACAGCAACCATTCTGCCTTGACAACACACTGAACATGTGGCTGCTTTAATCCAGAGAGAAAATGTCTTCCTGGCTATCGGCTGGCTCTCCGAGCTCTTTATCTGTTGTAAGATGAGCAAATCATCCTGGCTTACTGGGGTCTGTCCAAGTTTCAGTACTGAAAGTCCTGCATCCCAGGGAGCCCTTCCACCCAGAACAAAGCAAGATGGTCAGTCACCTCATAACTGCTGACAAACTGGGCAGCTCCCAAAGCCTGACAAACCATGAAGCAAGTTGGGTACTGAGAGATTTAACTGTAGGGCCAGCACTTCAACCTAAAAAGCAATTAGGGCTATGAGCAGATCAAAGACAGGCTAATGGGTTGGGTTCTGATTCTGAGTACCTATATGCCTTAAGGATCTCCATCAATTGCCTGTTTTATCAACATTGGTTCCATTAAATCCATACAACACAGGATAGTAAATATGCTCCATTGGCATTTGCTTCCCATCCAGCCCTGGCAAATGCAGTAGAGTGATGGTGATTGTAGAATTAAATTTCCCACTTCGCATCTCAACTGCTCCCTGCCCCTGCCCGACCCTCATTTGCTAGATAAGTCTTTTTCCTTCCTATCTTTCCTTCTTTGATCACAAAAGAAGATTAGTCTAGCCAGGCCTTGGGTGATAAGTTCCTGTCACTTCAACATTGAAGTTAAAACTGTACATCTGTTTTTATGTCTTTGCCGGAAAACATACACACTTATCTTAGATGGACAACACACTGCTATTCTAGACTAGTATTCAAATAAACTTTGTCTTATTTCTAATGGTTACAGGTTGCAAAGAAATTATCTTTGAAGATGAATGAGGTTGACTTCTATGAGCCATTTATGGATGAGCCCATTGCCATCCCCAACAAACCTTACACAGAAGAGGAGCTGGTGGAGTTTGTGAAGGAACACCAAAGGTGCCTGAGATGGCATGTGGGGGCTGGGGGCCTGGGGTCTGGGGAATGGAGAGGAGCCTCTCTGTGCTAACATTTCAGACCTGCCAAGAGCAACAACCTAGTTAGTACCCCAGCAGTACAGAACTCAGTAGTATGGCTTTGTTGATCAGTAATGACTAGCAGGGATGTTATTACTTCTGAATCTAAGTCTGCACCTGCAAGCAGAGTTTGATAAATCCCTCAGTCAGCAAATCCCCTCAAAGCCAGGGCAAGATATAAATAAAATTCTATACTAGGAATGAGAGCAATTTAGTGAAAGTTCCCATATACCAATAACCATGCCCAGTGCTTTAGGGAAACTATTTTATCTAATCTCCAACCTTAGGGAGTAATTATTATTATCCCAATTTTACAGATCAAGGAATTGGACTCAATAGTTAAGTAACTTAGCCAAGGATGAACACTCTATGCATAGAACTTCTGGGAGAGAAATGCTTGATACCACTTAGTGTAGCTCCAGCATGGATCAGCAAACTTTTTCTGTAAAGAACAAAATGGTAAATATTTCAGGTTCTGTGGGCCAGATGGCGTCTGTAGCAACTACTTAACTGCGGCTGTGGCATGAAAGCAGCCATGGATCATGTATAAACAAATGGGTGTGGCTGTGTACCAGTAAAAGTTTATTTAGGAAAACAGGAGGCCCTGGCTGGATTTGTCCCACCAGCTGTAGTTTTTTGACCCCTGCTCTTGAGGGAGGGAAGATATGGGAATATGGAACATGGTAGTGGACTCACTGGCTTGTCCCTCCACCCTACCTGGCATGTACACGAGTGTGTTCATTGGACCTGCAGTACTGTGATCCCCCTCACCTGGACAGTCCTAGTTCCTTCAGGAAGGCAGTACTTGGAGGAGCAAATATTAATATGTCCAGCACTATTTGCCAATATTCAGAAAGAAATGAAACTATGAGCAAAATATAGATCCTGTCTGCTCCCCTAAATATCCCTAAAGGACTTTCAATGTATACACCAGATGATAAAACAAAGGCAGTTTTAACCTACAAAATCCGAGATTTCCTGTTTTCCCCCTCAGGTTTCTCATTCCAGGCCTGCTGTGGGCTCTCTGGAGTGGTGGCTATCTGTGAGGAAGGAAATGGCATCTTGCCCTGGGAATGAGCTGACCCTGTGCCCTCTGACCCATTGTTTGTAAAAGACTTTATAATTCTTGGATCAGTGGGTCTATGAAAAGGCTGAGTGCCTTGGCCCAGCTCGCTGTCTGACACAGCAGAGTAGAGCAGGTCTGTTTCCTTAGAAGATAAGTGGGTTTTTAGGGCTCTCCCTGCCTTGCAAAGGAAGCATCATCTCATTTTACATTTCATAATGCTGTGGCTGCTGTGTCTGCCACAGTGATCCCTACTCAAGGAAGCTCTTTCTTTTTTTTTTTTTTTTTTTTTTTCCAGACCCACTCTACGTCGCCTGCGCCCAGAAGAAATGTTTGAAACATGGGTAAGAAAGAGGCAAACTCTCTTTGCCTTGTAGAGATGAGTATAGTCCCAAAGAGGAGTGCTTCTTAGATTAAGTCCCCAAACTCAAACCAAGTTTATTTGGCTGAGGTGGATGTCTAGATGAGTATTTGAAACATGGACAGATTGGGTACGACGGCTCAGAACTGTAATCCCAGCACTCTGGGAGGCCGGGGCCAGGGATCACTTGAGTTCAGGTGTCTGAGAGCAGCCTGGGCAACATAGCAAAACCCTGTCTCTACAAAAAAATGCAAAAAGTAACCGAGCATGGTCGCATGTGCCTGGAGTTCCAGCTACTTGGGAGGCTGAGGCAGGAGGATTACTTGAGCCTGGGAGGTCAAGTCTGCAATGAGCTGTGATCCTGGCACTGCGCTCCAGCCTGGGCAACAGAGTGAGACACTGTTTCAAAAAAATGAAACAAAACAAAACAAAAACATGGACAACTTCATGCTCAATTAAAACACAGTTCTCCATGGATCAATCCAAGCCTCTTTGGTACTACTCACTAGGCAAAATTGCTCTTAGTTAATTTCCTGCAGTGACTATAGCTTCTGTTCATTGATCATCAGAGCCACACAGTAACACAGTGGAAGGAACTCAGGCTATAAAGTAATAGAGACTAGGGTTCAAGTCCAGAATCTGCCACCTAGTAGCTTTGTGTACTATGTCAAGTCCTGTGGCCTTTCTGAGCTGTCTAAATTTCCTCATCTAAAATTGGGACTTTTTATAAGGATGAATATGAAGAGTTCACTATATGGTAGCTGTTTTTTAAAAATATCAACTGAAGGCACTGGCAAGCAGCTGAGCCAACTTGTCTTCTAGGTTTGTGTCATGGATAATATGTCAGGCAGCTCAAACAGTGTTAGATAGAGGGCCTTGGAGATAAACCCCCAACCCACACCTTATGTACAGAAGTTCATAAATAACAAAGGCTGTGGAGCATTTTTCAAAGCATTTCATGCATCTTTTTATTTGGATCTTCCAATAGCTCTAGAAAGTGATGTAGAACAAGTATTATTAATTAGTCGGGCATAGTGGGGCACGCCTGTAGTCCCAGCTCCTTGGGAAGTTGAGGTGGGAGGATTGTTTGAGCACAGCAGCTTGAGACTTCAGTGAGACATGATAATGCCACTGCACTCCAGCCTGGGCAACACAGCAAGACTCTGTCTCCCCAAACAAACAAACAAAAACCAAATACTATTTTAGCCCCGTTTGACATAGTCAGAAACTGACGCTCATACAGATTAATCACTAAAAGACACATAACTAAAAACCATTAGTTCTTGGAACTTAAATATAAGCCATCTGGAGCCAAACCTGGTGTTCTCTGCAGAATGCCTCCCCAGAGTGACTATGTCCCCACAAGGGGCCATTTGGTGTGAGGGCTGGGAAGGAGGAGAAAGGAATTAACACGGAAGTATTTATCTGTTTAATTCTTTGAAGTGATGGATGAACAGAACCAGGGAGCAACTTGACACTGTTTTACTGGTCTGTAACTTACTTGGATGTTTGAAGGTAGAGCAAACATTTCACAAGATACCAAAGGGTAAATAATCCAGTCCAGAGGAGCGGACTATTTAATAACAACTCAGCACAATAGAAACAAACTTTCCTAACATTTAAACCTTTCAAAGATATTAAAAGGGTCTTATCGCTAGGCATAGTGACTCATGCCTGTAATCTCAGCACTTTGGGAGGCCAAGGTGGGCAGATCACTTGACGTCAGGAGTTCGAGACCAGCCTGGCCAACATGGTGAAACCCCATTCCTACCAAAAAATACAAAAATTAGCCGAGTATGGTGGCAGGCGCCTGTAGTCCCACCTACTCTGGAGGCTGATATAAGAGAATCACTTTCATCTGGGAGGCAGAAGTTGCAGTTAGCTGTGATTGCACCACTGCACTCCAGCCTGGGCAACAGAGTGAGACCCTGTCTCAAAAAAAAAAGAGTCTTATTAATGTATTTTAAAATAGTAATAGCAAAAAGATATAATAGTGCTTTAAAATAGTATTTTTTAAATTGTTTTTGCTTTTTACCCTAAAATAATTTCAGATGTACCAAAATAGTGCAAAGAACTTCAATATCTCTTCACCTAGATCTCCCAAATGTTAACATTTTACCATCCCTTCTAGCTACATAGATACATAGATAGATGATAGATAGATAGATAGATAGATAGATAGATAAATAGATAGATATAGAGAGATATAGATAGATGATAGATAGATAGATAGATATAGAGAGATAGAATTTTCAAAATCAGGAAATTAACACTGATATAATACGTCTACTACCATTATTCAAATTGGCCAGTTGTCCCATCAATGTCCTTTACTGCAAAAGAAAAACGTCTCTTTTTCCTGGCCCAGAATCCAATCCAGGATTCCACACTTACATTTGCCTATGTTTCTCTTTCTTTTTCTTTTATTATTATTATTTTTTTTGAGACGGATTCTCCCTCTGTCACCCAGGCTGGAGTACAGTGGCACCATCTTGGCTCACTGCAGCCTCTGCCTCCCAGGTTCATGTGATTCTCCTCCCTCAGCCTCCCAAGTAGCTGGGATTACAGGTGCATACCACCACACCTGGCTAGTTTTTGTGTTTTTAGTAGAGACAGGGTTTCACCATGTTGGCCAGGCTGGTCTTGACCTGCTGACCTCAGGTGATCCTCCCTCCTCGGCCTCCCAAAGTGCTGGGATTACAGGCATGAACTACCACGCCCGGCCTGCTTATGCTTCCTTAGTCACCTTTAATTTGGAACAGGGTCTTGGTCTTCGTCTTTCATGGCACAAAATATCACTTTAAATTGAGAGTCATTATTGATGTTCTCTTCTGCTGTGGCTTTATCTTCAGTTTTTTTCTTTTTATTGTCTTTATTCCTAAGAGGCAAGTCTCAATTATCTAGGTTCTAGGAAGGGAGGGAATATACCACTATGGACCCCTTCTCCCAGGTCTTTCCTTCCTGTCATAGCAGTATCACTCAAGACCATGGTGTTCTGTAGATGGGGAGCCTGTGTCCTCACATATCCCACACTGCTACAGAAATACTCCCTGTTGACACATTAGAGGCAGATGTTCAGAAAGGAAGTTCAGTGTCTGGTTTCATTGGAACTCATTCTCTCCTTTCTTTTCATTTAATGAATAAGATAAAATACAGCCTTTTGCTATAATATAAAATAATGGTGATGGCTCATATTTTCCACATTATTGCATATTGAATTGTTCTTAACTTGGGGAAGAGAGCAGCGTATTGAATTTAACCAGGCAGAGAAAAGGGCAACTGAAATGGTTTATTCCTTCCCTCCCCGTTCTGGAACAGCCTCATGTCTTACCCAGGAACCCTAACCAGACCTAGTCAGCCCCTCATTCAAGTCTCCAACTAGGGGGAAGGCAGGACAGGCCTCTCCAGTGTCATCTTTGTTTCCTTGAAAGGGAGAAACAGAAATCAGTCCATCCAAAGGACCTCTGAGGAGCCACTTTCCATACCCCCTCCTCTACCTGGGCCCCCTAGCAGGTCACTGCTCTAAAGAGTGCCATCCCTGTGGGCCACGTGGCCACAGCAACTTAAACCACAGATGTGGTTGTGGAAAGTGACCAGTTAATGAACTTCAAAGTCTTTTTGGCCAGGCAAGGTGGCTCATGTCTATAGTCCCAGCACTTTGGGAGGCTGAGGTGGGCAGATCGTTTGAGTCAAGGAATTCGAGAGCAGCCTGGGCAACATAGCGAAACTCCATCTCTGCAAAAAATACAAAAATTAGCTGGGTGTGGTGGTGTGTGCCAATAGTCCCAGCTGCTTGAGAGGCTGAGGCAGGAGCATCCTTTGAGCCTGGGAGGCAGAGGCTGCAGTGAGCTGAGATGTGCCACTGCACTCCAACCTGGGCAACAGAGTGAAACCCTGTTTCGAAAGAAAAAGAAAGGTCTTTATCTTCAACATCCACTTCCCCAGACATCTACTTCCCGAGACATTGAGAAATATTTAAATAAGATGGGAAAGCCAGCTAGGACTAAAACAACTATTGATCTTTCTCTCACTCTAATTGTGCAGGTTTTTAAGATGCAGGCCATAGAAAACACATCACATATGATTACTAAAGAAACTGGTGCCTGGTAATATTTGCTGTGTGTACATTGGAAAGCTATTTATTTATTTTAAATACTCAAAGAATGTCAAGCTGAGGCAGGGCAAAAGGAGACCCAGTGCTGATCTGTCATTCCCCCTGGAGACCTCACCCTCCATCTAGCCAAGTGGCCCGCTGGAGTCCTGGGGAACTGCCCACAGGGAAGGAGAGTCAGCAATTTCTTCTAAAAGAAGCCTCCCTATATTGCAACAACAAAATACTTTCAAGATGGGGTCAGAGACCCCCAGACAAGCATCTAGGTCACTCCATTGCACCTTAAATAGGAAGCCTGCTTATTTTAACCGCATTTTTCTTTGCATCTCTTCATTCAACATGAGAACAAACATTCAACAGAGACTGGAAGGAAACTGAGTAAAATATTAAGTGGTAATATATGTTGTTGGTAGGTAATTGATAAGCATAGTTTCTTCTTGGTATACCTAATATTTTCTAATTTTCTTCAGTGAGTAAGGTTTTTATTGCCATACTCCTTTTTTGAGTCTATAGGCGTTAAAAAGAACCTCTGTGCTAAACAATGAGGTTATAAAAGCTAACATTGCTGTCCTGTCCTTAAGAGCTCAGATTAAGTAGACGAAACAGTCTCAAGACATATAACGCCAGCCCAGCATGCTCACTGCTGCGACAGGGGGGCGTACAAAGTGCTGGGGTATCCAAAGGAAGGGATTCACTGACGTTATTCCCAAATCTCCGGTTCTTTGGGAAATCTTGCACTCAGTTACTTTATATACAGGTCTCTTTCCAGCCTCTTTCAACTTAAGAGCCATTGATCCAAGTTTACAACATTTTCTGCAAACCCTGCAGGGGAATAAATTCATGGAGCCTGTTCTGCTGGTGGTGGTGAGAAAGAAAGAGTACAGGTTCTGTGGTCTGAATGTTTGTGTACCCATGCAAATTCATACATTGGAATCATAGCCCCCAAGGTAATGGTGTGAGGAGATGGGGCCGTTGGGAAGTGATTAGGTCTTGAGGGCTGAACTCTCATGTTGGGATTAATGCCCTAAAAGATGCCCCAGAGAGCTAGCTGGTCCCTTCCACCGTGAGGACACAGCAGGAAGGCACTGCTTCTGAGCCAGAAAGCAGGCCTCGCGAGACACCAAATCTGCCGGCGCCTTGACTTCCCAGCCTCCATAACAGTGAGAAATAAATTTCTGTTGTTTATAAGCTACCCAGGTTTTGATATGTTGTTATAGCAGCCCGAATAAACCAAGACAGTGGGCTTTGGGGCCAGACAGAACTGGCTTGAATCCCCCTTCTGTCACTACTAGTTCTGTGGCCTTAGGTAAGACACTTTGATTCTTCAAGCATTCAATAAGAATAAGACTTTCTTATGAGATTTTGAGATAATGTACTTACAAAGTAAGTACAGAAAAAGTGGCAAATAGCAGATATTGTTGCCACTTTAATAACTGTTGTTATCTTAAGGCATAATCCCTTCTTTTAGTGAGCTTTCCATCTAGTTGAGGAGGGAAGATTCATGCAATTAAAAACAGAATTTCCAAGACAACCTAAAGACCAAATGAGAGATCTGGGTAGCAAAGGCTGTGGGATTCAGAGAAGCCCCGGGGGTTCTCAGCCCTGAAGTCAGCACAGCTATTCCTCCCCTGTGCAAGCTGGGTTCTCACTGAGTAACCCCAACTTGCCAGCTTGCCCATGGGTTCTGGCTCTGTGAGTTTATTACTTGAAAATGCCTGGCACCTAGCGCTGGCCTGCTTCCTTGTGGATGTGGAATACAGGTCTGCATGCTGAATCTTTGTGACGCACACAGTGACAGGCTCTTTCCCTTGGTGACAGTGCTCCCTCCAGGGACCATCTTGGGTCTGGGGAGTGACAGCCGTATTATGAGCAGCCTTCTAGAAAACAAATATGGATTCTTAATTCTAAAGCCAATTCCAAATGCGTTCTAGCAGGGCACACAGAAATGAAGCCTGCTTCACAGAATTAACAGCGCTCACTCCCATCTGATGGCAGGAGACAGAGACACAGGCTAGCCTAATGAGAACTGATCGGGATATTCTGTCTGGCGATAATAGCAAATGTAAAACAGTGAAACCTCAGACTCCCCTTCTGGTTGCTGTCGATTTGTGTAATAAGCCGGCACACACAGGCACACACATGCGTATCTGTAAAATTAAATTCTCCAGAGAATCTGACCAAGGCAGTGCCCACTGTCTTGTTTTTAATAATAATATTTTCCATTTAATCTTTCTTAGAATTTGTGGAGGCTTTGTCCATTCCAAACTCAAAGGAAAAAAATTAGCATTTAGATAGGATTGCGCCAGCATTAAAATCAATTGAAATGGAAACAGAGATCATGGGAAGGTTGAGACGCCTGGAGGTTTTTCCATAGGATGATTCTGATATGATGTTCAGGGTGCCCAAAGCATACCTCTCCCCATGTCTCATCATCACTATGCACTCGGCCTTGTCCCCAGGTGCCTCTTTCTCACACATATTCCTCCCCAAGTCTCCTGAGAATCACATTTGTGATAGCAGAGCCCCTTCCAAGCTCTAGCTCCTCTTTCTCCAGGAATAATCATTGCAAAGGAGACACAAGGCATAGGGTCCTTGCTGCCCAGGGTGTAGAGACATGAAATGCGCCTTGTTTGCCCCATAGACTTAAAATACTCTCTCTAGGTTCTTCTTCCTGCCCCTGCCCCCACAGCCATACACCACTTTTCTCAATCGCACACCCTCAACCTTCCTTACGCTCAAATTCCAGACAATTCCTGCAGCCTCAGAAATGCACTGGAGGCCTATACTGACTGGGCAAGGACTTCAAGGAAGTCACCTAGAGGCCACTTCTAGCAGTGTCCCCTACACACTACATGGGTTCTGTAGGCAGGGTCCTAACAGGGAAGCACAACCCTTGTCTGTGATTCTTGTGTGAACAACACCAGCCCACATCCTAATTGACCTCAATGATTCCTGTCTGCCATCCATTTGGATATAGTTTCAGGATCTGTCCACAGCATTCAGAAGCCTCCATAATCTGGTGTATCACTGACTCTATCTGCCAGTGGTAAATTCTTGAAACAGAGACTGACAGCTGCTTTTACTGAGCTGCCTCCAGAGCCATTGTTGCTCTCAGATCTCCTGATAAACCAGACTCATGTTCTTTCTCATTTTGCCTTTTACTGCTGCACTCCTGGAACCACCAGACCACAGGAGTGAGGCTCATTTAGTGCTAATGTCTTGCGTGTGGTTGGTATTTTCCTGTCTTGCAAACTCATTTATCTGAGTCCCTGATCCAAACCCTATGCATTCCTGGCAGTTGCTCCTCAGCATTCCTTCCTTAATGTGAGCCCCGCTGTACTCCTCTGTGCTTCTGTGTTCATCCCCGCTTCCACACCTCTCCCTACCTCTCCTATTCCCATTCCAGCTTCTGAGTCCCTGTCCCTGGCTCAGTCCTTTGCATCCCTCCAGCTGGAAGTGTAACTTTTGTTACTTTTCTCATACAGGAAGATGATTTGAATGGGATCCACATTGTGGCCTTTGCAGAGAAGAGTGATCCAGGTAGGAAACCTTCAACCTGCTCTTTTACAGCTCTAGCAAGAACTGATTTCTCACCTTTGCCAGCCCTCACCTTTCTCTTCTCTCACATCCCATCCACAATGCAACTGCAAGATATTGGGCACCCCCTGGTGGTCGCCCATTAAGTATGAGTTCGTTTTCAATTGTGCACACGGCTAAGAGAAGAAAAGGTGTGAACAAATCAGAATGTTATAGACTACCAGGTTCCTACAGCGCTGCACAGCAATGGACCAACACACTGAGTCAGTGGGATTTGCAGCAGAGAAAGAGTTTAATAATCGCAAGGCTGCCAAATGGGTAAGAGGAGGGATTCTCAGGCCACAAATCCAATTCTTCAAGGGGTTCTGGGCAAGGGTTTTTAAGAGGATCATGGAAGGTGAGGGCCTGGAAAATTGGGGTCATTGATTGATCTGGGTAAGGGGATGAAATCGTGAGGATGTGGAAACTGCATTCTTCCATAAGTCAGCTCCTTGCTCAGCCTTTTAGACCAGCTGATGTCAGTAGTTTTATTGGTATGCAGAACCTAAAAGAGAAACTCAAATGGAAATCTTATTGTATTAGTCCATTCTCACATTGCTATGAAGAAATACCAGAGACAGGGTAATTTATAAAGAAAAGAGCTTCTATTGGCTCAAAGTTCTTCAGGTTGTACAGGAAACAGGGCAGTATCTGCTTCTGGGGAGGCTTCAGGGAGCTTTTACTCATGGCAGAAGGCAAAGCGGGAGCAGACATCTCACATGGCAGGAGCAGGACCAAGGTGGTGGGGAGGTGCCACACACTTTTATATAACCAGATCTTGTGAGAACTCATACCAAGTGGGGAATGGTGTTAAATCATAAGAAACCACCCCCACGATCCAATCATCTCCCACCAGGCCCCACCTCCAGCATTGGGGATTACATTTCAACAGGAGATTTGGGTAGGGGACACAGATCCAAACCATATCACTTTTAATCTCACCATGTCTTAAATTTTGTCTATAGAACAGAGAAGGGACAACAAGTCTTGTGACAAGGGCTACATTATCCTGGGGTAGTACACAGTGAAGAGAAGTGGGCCAGAGGGCAAGCCAGCTTCACGATTGCTGCCGATGGTGTGGGAAGCCTAGCGGGATTTTATTTTTTTCTCCAGTTGATTTTATAAAGTGTTTTTGGAGATGCTTTCAAGAACCTCAAACATTCTGCTTTGCTGCCCAAACATAGAAAGGTACACTGGGCACTGGGGGAGATATTAAAACATACCAGCTTTACAGGGTGTGTGTGTGCTTGTGTGTGTGTGCACGTGTGAACTTCTGTTCACATTAAAAGTTTATTTACCTATTTTGCCATCTAGCCTATATCAACCACAATTCTACCTGAAAATAGGATAAATGTATACTTTAATCCATAAAATATTGTCTGTGCTTAGGAAATGAAGTAGGAAACATTCCCCTAAATAATGAGACCTGGGGAAAATGAGCAGCTTATTTTGAAAGTGCAAGATGACCCTGTAAATGGATGGGTAACTTTGTTTTTGGAACTTGGACAACTTTTCTCTGGTTTCACTCTTTTCAACACCAGTGGAGAGTGAAGTGCAGGAAAATTGATTTTGCAGGTAGCAATTCCCTATGGCAGTGCTCTGTGAGACAGAGAGTCCCCAAGAGAAAGTGGAAGCACAGATTCTGAAGTGCATTTTGGAAACCCTGGGACAACCCAGAATGTAACCAGAGAAGTCAAGGGAATGTAGACTTTCATGGTATTTGCTGGGGACCTCAGTCTCTTGTATACTCATAGGGAGAGATCTAGAGATGGTTCCACTAGACAGATCAGGAAACAGCGGTTTGGAGAAGTTAAACAAACTGCCCAAGAGAACACAGTTAGTGGCAGATCATGAAGGGTGAACAGATCGCCTTTTTCATCAATATATAGCTGATTCTTGCACAATGTCTTGACTCGTGGTAGGCGCCCAATAAATATTTGTCTGGCAGATGATTAGAGAGTTAGATGACCAACCAAGACAGAGCCCCAAAATCTTCACTGGCAGACCAGCTTTTCCTTCCCTTTTTTGGCAATACACTAATAGCCTCCATAGTTTCTTACAGAGTGAAACCCACATTTTTTATCATATAATTTATAAAATCAAGATATAATCCATATACCATAATAGTAACCCTTTTAAAGTGAAGATTCCAGTGGTTTTTAGGACATTCACAAAGTTGTGCAAACATAATCAGTATCTAATTCTAGAACATTTTGATAAATAGCCATTAGCAGTCACTCCCATTTCTCTCTCACCCACCTCTGCAAGCAGGAATTACCTACTATCTCTAAAATTTGCCTATTCTGGACATTTCATATAAATGGAATCATTTAATATGTAGCCTTTTGTGTGTGGCATCTTTCACTTAGCATGATGTTTTCAAGGTGTCCCAATGACATTGCACATATCATTCCTTTTAAGGGCCGAATAATATTCCATTGTATCAAAACCAAATTTATGTTCTGAATTATCTGAGCACTCTCTTGTCTTTTTCACTTTTCAACATGATCTAGCCCTTGTCTCCACCTCTCAAGAAAAAGCTAGTGTGGTTTCAGTGGGTTTTCCACAGGTTCCGGCCACCACTCTTCCCTGGAGGAGCAAATAGCAAAGGAAGCCAATTGCCTAAGGTTTACAAGCTATAATCAAACAGAATCGGATCCCTGGTGTTATGTGAACAGAGATGCAGTTGCCATAGGCAGCAGCCTGCTGGCCAGACTCCAGAGGGCTCCTTCCCCACCTCACCTGCCACCTTCCAGGATTGTGGGGAAGCCTGTCTGGCTCTTTGGAACAATAGAACAAAGAGGCCTCCCTGAAGTTGTAAGAACCTGTTTGACCGAGATTGCTGCTGTAATGAATCAAGCTCCAGAAACTACTTCCACCTCCTCCCTGCACAAATATCCCTGGGCCTGAAGCTGTGCCTTTCCCCAAAAGAGCCCAAGCTGGGGCTTGTACTGGGAAGCTGTAAGCATGCACTGAGGTGAGGGCAGGGGGATAGGGAGGAGCTCTAGAAGCATCTTCTGTGAGCAAGGGCCTTGCCACTCAGGGTTGGGAAAGGGAAAGACTTGTCTGTGAAAGTCCCTGACTCTGAATTTGTGGTTAATCAGTGATTTACCTGCAGAGCACTGATGTGTAACCTGGGGCAATGGGCCTGACTGCAGGACTAGGAATGTCATTCCTGCAAAACAGTCCCTCTGCATTCCTTTGCTCTTGCTAACAAGTTAGACATGGCCTTTCACCCCAACCAAACACCTAACCCCACCACCCCAAGGAAGAAGATCATACCTCCAGGAAAATAATACAGTTCTTCTTAAAGAACTAACAGTATTGAGGAACTGTGCTAGGAGCTTTATGTAGATGACCTTATTTAGCACCTAAAGCCACTCTGTAATACGTGCATGATGATTATTATTCTAGTGTCAGATGAGGAACGTGAGTTTTAGAGGTTAAATAAGTTGCCCAAATCACTCACTATACCTAAGCCAAGATTCAAATTCAAGCAGGCTATCTTGACCTCTAAATACATCATGACTATGAGGAAGATGATGATGATTGTCACTTACTGTGTACTTATATGTACACAAGAACCCCATGAGGAAGGCATTATTTTTATTACAACTGAGGAAGCTGAGGCTGAGAGAGCTTACCTCACTGGGAAGCATGAAGTTGGAATGACGCTGAGGATGTCTGGCTTCCCAGCCCACACCCTTAACCACAAGGCCCTGCCATAGAGTTATATGAAGTCGTCAGGTTAGCAACTCTGAGTGGCATATACGTCTGTAGCAGGGCCTTATGCTAAGTGATCATTCGATCCTCCTTCCTGCCTCTCTATTGCCCTTCACCATCTCCTCCACCTCCAACATTTGAAAGACAAGAAAGCGGAGACCCAGGGCAATGCAGTGGCATGTTCGGGATCACAGGGTTATAGGAATAGTGGGAAATCGAGCTTAGATTTCCCAAGGGCCCCTCCTGTGCACAGTCCACCCTATCACACCAACTCCAAACAATGCCCCAGCCAGTGCAGGCTCTGAGCATGTGCAGTGCTGCCGCATGTACTGGGGAAGGGGACACGAGCAGGCAGAGCAGGCGGAGGTGAGAAGAGCACAAAACCACCTGGAAGCTTGAGAGCCTAGTTAGGGAAGAAAAGTCAGGCTTCCTCCCACTGTCTGTCCAGGTTTGGGATCTAAGATTACACAGCAGCAACAACCACATGTCCCAGTGATCCAGCTGCCCCAACCACTTTCTTCCCCCAGCAGTTCTGACATGATCCTCATGGCCAAGAGCTTGAGTTCACCCAGGGTAGGAAGCTGAGGGAAGGCAGCAACCCTGTACTCCCACCTCCACCTGCCAGGAGGCAGAGTCTGCTCTCCTGGCCCTCGAGCCTAATCGCCAGATCTCTCCTGCTGTACTCATCCCATGCCCTTAGGCAGGCCTGGCTGGGAAGGACATTTCCTAGCCCTGTGCTCTTGCCCATTGCCTGGTGGTGCTGCCAGTCTTCCTCCAGCTCCTGCGCTCAAAGTGCCCGCCAGAGCCGCTCGTCTGACAGGTTTGAAAATGAATGACTGTCTTCCTCACCACCCCTAGATGTGTCTGTGTCAGGCTGACATCTTCTTTATAACATGTGATGAAAGGTTTGCAAAGCAGCGTTTCTACATGAGTGCATGCTAGATGGATATCCTCAAAGGGCACTGGGAATATTAGCGCTAACAAGCTGGAAATGCAAGGAAAGGCTGCTGTCTGCACACGTGGAACAGAATTAGTGACAGGCCCTGGAAGGAACGTCTCCAAGCTCTGTTCCATCCAAGCTTCCACTGCTTCAGGTTCTTGTAAAAATCTTTTTGAGACCAATTGTCTCAAGTAGGACCACTAACTGCCTCCTTGAGCTTTTGATTTTAAGTTTGGTTTACCAAATTTAACATTTGGTTCTTTCTTTCTTTCTTTTTTTTTTTTTTTGAGGCAGTCTCCCTCTATTGCTCAGGCTGGAGTGCAGTGGCACCATCTCTGCTCACTGCAACCTCCACCTCCCGGGTTCAAGCGATTCTCCTGCCTCAGCCTCCCGAGTAGCTGGGATTAGAGGCATGGGCCACCACACCTGGCTAAGTTTTGTATTTTCAATAGCCTCCCAAAGTGCTGGGATTATGGGTGTGAGCCACTGTGCCTGGCCTGGTTCTTACTATGTGTTGAATGTTATTCCAAGCACTTAACAAGTATCAACATATTTAACCTTTGCAACAACCCGACGTGTTAGGTGCTGTTTTTATCATCTTCCCCGGTGTACAGATGATAAAGTACAGGGACGAAGAAGTTAAATAATGTCCCCAGCTCACATGGCTAATCAGTGATAGAACTGGGATTCAAACCCAGCAGTCCAGCCCCGAGTCTGGGCTCTGTAACCATCAGCTTAAGCTTCTCTTCATCACAACACCATATCATTTGACTTTTTCACCAATTCTGGGATCTTAGCGCCAGGAGAAGACAGGCAGAGAAAGAGGGTGTGGTAAGGAGTGGTAGCGTATTCACATGTCTCAAGTGCCGTCTCATAGCTGTGGGGCCCAGACAATGTCCCCTGTCCTACGCGGATGTCTGACTCTCACGGGTGACTTCTTGGCAATTCCATCTTGTGAGAGGAGAGCTCCCAGCCTTGTCTGTCCCTCTGAGGTTTCCCAAAGGATCCAGTTCAGATGCTGGGCTGCTTTTTGAGAATTCCATATTTACTGAGTGAGCTCTGGTCTAGAGACCAACAAGGTCTTTCTGAGAGAGGACCTGTCCTATTCACCCTTGTGTCTCAGCCTCAGGCTCTGGGCTTAAGATGTTGTGGGAACTCAAATTATACCTGCCTGCTGAAAACAAACAAACAAACAAACAAAACCCTTACGCCTGTAATCCCAGCACTTTGGGATTACAGGCGGGTGAATCACAAGGTCAGGAGTTCGAGACCAGTCTGGCCAACATAGTGAAACCCCGTCTCTACTAAAAATACAAAAATTAGCTGGGCATGGTAGCATGCACCTGTAGTCCCAGCTACTCAGGAGGCTGATGCAGGAGAATCACTTGAACCCGGGAGGCAGAGGTTGCAGTGAGCCGAGACCACACCATTGCACTCCAGCCTCGGTGACAGAGTGAGACTCCATCTCAAAAACAAAAACAAAGCAAAACAAACAAACAAAAACCCTTCCCATCAACGAAGGATCAAAGTAGTGAAAAAAAAAAAAATCTTAAAATGAGTAAGAGTTTGATGGGGGTGGAGGAGAGAAAGGAAGAAGACAGACAAAGTCTTTATGAGGACCTTCTGCATGTGTCTCCCTACACACTTTGCCCAACCCACATGCTGATAGCATCTCGTTATATCAACATGCCTGAGAAGTCATGTGGCAGCTGTTCTCTCCACTTTCAGAGGAGGAGATGAAAGGGGAGCGGTTAAGCAACCTGTGCAAGGTCTTTAAACTCCAGACCCAGTGCCCTCTTTAGACACAACCTCTAAGCTGTGTGGTTCCAGCCCCGGCCGTTTATCTGTCCACCTGCCACACAAGCAAGGGCAGGACCCCACTTTAAGAGCTTGGCCCTCCCAAGCTCAGGCCTCTCCTCACAGGAGCAGAGACCCTGAGGCCCAGAACTTCCCATGGCATGGAGTCAGGAAGGGTCCCTTTCCGTGCCTTTGTGGAGTGAGCACAGCCAGCTCCCCCAGGAGTGGGGCCATGAGGACAGATAGCAGGGCAGGGCAGGCTGCATGCTGTGGACCTGTTCACTCCTGGACCACTGCTTGGTCTGAGACACATGAGCCTCTGCCGAATGTGGCCTTGGCTCCTGACTTGGCTGTGCCTGGCCTGGGACCGGTCCCCTAGGGCTTGGTGAAGGCTCATTCCCACCAGTCCCTGCCAGGGAAACAGAAGAGGATAATCACCAGTTTCTCCTCCCACAAAGATGTGATTCCCAGAGGCCAGTCGCTTGCCGTGGGAAACCTCCTGGTTCAACGTGCATCCCTTGGCTGTGGGTCATGGTCTCTCAGGACTCCAAGCCTGAGTGGCAGGAGAGGAGTTGCAGTTCTCACAGCTCCAGGTCTCTTTATTTACATCCATCTCTGAGACGCCAGTCCCACTCAGAGCCATCCCTGAGTTAGCCAACCCATCATACTACAGCTGCTGGGAGGCGAGGGCTTGGCAGCGTGGTTTGAAGGAGGGGAAGGGACCCCTCCATGGGAAGGTAGAGGCCAGCCCGCCAGCCCTGGGACTGACCCCATGGACAGTTTCCTCAGTGTCCCAGCCCCTGCTTCCCTGATGTTGAAGCTTTCACACTGGGCTTAAAAATCTCAAGCACTCGAGGAAGGAAGATGGCAGCAACATTGGTAGGAGTGCAGAGACCTCAGAGGGTAGGAGACAGTGGAAGTGGCTCCAGACGTGCAGACTTAAGACCTGAGTTCAACTCCCAGCTCTACCATTTGCTCCCGTGTGATGCTGGGCAAGTCATTTGCTCTCCTTGGGTCTTAATTCCATCCTCTTTAAAATGGAGATGATAAAATCTTCCTAACCTCCATCAAGACTAGTTGTAAAAATCAAATGTAAAAGTACTCAGTACCCAGTAAGTGTTCAATAGACACTCAGAAAATAAAGGTTGGAGCAGCGTGATTATAGACTTTCTGCATATGGAGAACAATGTTCTGTGTCCTGGCTGGGCATGGTGGCTTTCGCCTATAATCCCAGTACTCTGGGAGGCTGAGGTGGGAGGATCGCTTGAGCCCAGGAGTTCAAGATGAGCCTGGACAACACAGAGAGACTTCATCTTTACAAATAGTAATAAAAAAATTAACTGCATGGTGGTGTGTGCCTCTGGTCCCAGCTACTTAGGAGGCTGAAATAGGAGAATCACTTGAGCCTGGGAAGTCAAGACTGCAGTGAGCCGTGATTGCACCACTGCATTTCAGCCTGGGGAACAGAGCAAGACTCCATCTCAAAACAAAACAAAAAAGAACAATGTCCAGTGTCCATAAAGGAAGAAATTGGGGAGTAAACGTCATGTGAAAAAAAGGAGATTTCAATTGGATGCAAGGATAAGATTCTTGGCTGTTAGAATGATCAACTCTGTAGTCAGCCTTTTAGCAAGGTCAAACGGTCTCAGTCCTGGAAATATTCAACAGAGACAAATGTTCTGAGTGAGGGCTATTCATCTACCTGGAGTTTGGAATGTCTGGGTTGCGGGGGTCTCTTCTGATTTTGAGAACTGATGCTTTTCTGATAACTGCAGAGAATAGTCCTCTACTTGCTTTGTCTAGATAACTATTAGCCTACACATCTCTGAATAGTACTTCCCCCTTTTCTCTATACAGTTTTTTGAAGTATAGGCTATATTACTTCTGAAACATACATGACCATAGTCTTGAAAGGGCTCCAAGCCATGTCTACCACTGATAAAGGAAACATTTACTCATTTTAAACTCAGTCATTCATCCATGTAATTTTAACAGTGGACTAGTCCTTGCTTAACATTGAATTACTAAAGTGAAATGCGGCTTCCTACACCTGCCTTCCTGGTCAAAAAGGGAGGATCCACAGAGAACGTTTCTCTTTTCCAGGGGACTTGCCAGTTTTACAAAGAAACAGAGGCTCTCTTTGGAAAAAAATTGAACTTGTAACTTACAATTTTAGCAACTGAATACATGTGAGACCAGGTTAGCTGCCTTAACTCACTTTCACAGATTGACAATCCATTTTAACAGGTCTGCACTCAAGGCTGGTGTCTGAAGAGGGGAGAGCCTTGGAGGCTTTTAAGCCTTTGATCAGGAATATCCACACAAGCTAATGCCTTAAAAGCAAAGGAATTAAACCTTTCCCTGACCCAGTTATCAAGGCACGGTTCTCGTGGTCTCACCAGCTGGCACAGCCATCCCTGAAGCCTTTGGTCACAGAATCGGCAACAGGAGCTGGAAGGAGCTGCCCCACGCTGTACACTTTTGTGATATAGTTTTCTGTCAGCATGTACCACGTGGATCCAAGACTGCCTCTACCCCACTCCCAGTGCCCAGATCACTGAACGTAATACCGATGTGGTAAATGAGCAGAGGAATGGCCAGGCTTAGGGAGTTCCAGCCAGCTTCCTTGCCTTTGAATATAGAATGTCAGGTAATTTAAGTAAAATAATGGCTAAACCTTACTATATGCCAGGCACTGTCCAAGTGCTTCAGAGATACTGATTCATTTAACTCACAACTACCCGACGAAGTAGATGCTATCATTTTCATCATCTCTGTTTTAAAGATGAGGAGAGAAACATTAAATAACTTGCTCTAAGTCACACTCTAAGGGTACATCCACGACCTTGGCCAAGGTCATTTGGCCCCAGAGTCTGTGTGTTTAAGGGCCATTCTGGGCTGACTCCCTGAAGAATGGGCTCTGTTCTGTCATTGAAAGTATTTGGGGTCAGAGACATTGTCCATTACAGAATTCATCACCCTGAACATCAGAAACCTGCCCTTGGATCTAGAGGAAACTTTTTCAGCTTTAATGTCAACCTTATTTATTAATTTATTCTGGGAATGGTTTTTGGGATTTCTTTGCTTCTCCATAGACACAAAGAATATTCTCTTTACAAAAACCTTTTATTTTCTTGAAAATGGGCATTAAGCCACACTTTTGACTTCACTCGTTTACAAAAAAACTACAACCCATTTGATTTTTCTTGCACAGTTCAGTTTTTCTTTTCATCTCTTAACCTGCTCTAGAATGTCAAATAGGAACGTAGTAGGTAAGTTCTTGTATACCACATTCCTTTTGATGAATCTCAATGTTAAGAGAGTTTTTCCCATAAGAAAACAACAGTGCTCCGTTGTGTATTCAGCTTATAGTTCTGGGTCACAGATCCTGTCCCTCCACAACACTTGTGCCTGCCTAGACTCTCCTTTCCTTTATGTGAATCAGTCTCTTGCACCACAAGTTTACTTTCTACTTTCATTTGAGTCTGTGTTTTTGCATTTCATCCTCTCTGTGAATTTCAGTTTTGTCATGTCCCTTTTACATTTGACTCTCTCTCATCTTCCAAAGTACTGGCAGTGTCACCTCATTGATTATCATTTCTTTATTTTCTGCAGCTAAAAACAGTAACTGAAGTTGTTTTGGAGGAATTCCTCCTTGTGGTCTTTGTACTATGATTTCTATCTCTACAGATAACCAAGGTGGCACCATATTTCCCTCTCCTGTGACAGACACATGGCCAAAGGACGACCCATAGTGTCCACACGTCAGTCAGTGATACACTGGAGGGGCAGGACCTTCTCAGTTCCACCTACAGGCAGCAGGAGTAATGCCCCTACCCCACCTCACCCCCAGCCCTGCAATGACAGATAAATGAAGTCTAATGCTTAGGGCCCTGTCAGTCTCCGGTGTTTGTCATAATCTCATTTGCAATATGGTTATGAGCACGGATTAAAAGATCACCGAGGTCCACTCTGTATTTCTGCAAGAAGTGGCCACCGGCCATAAAGACCCCTTCTAGGCCTGACACAGTGACTCACATCTGTAATCCTGCACTTTGGAAAGCTGAGGCAGGATCACTTGAGCCCAGGAGTTCAAAACCAACCTGGGCAACAATGTGAGACCCCTGTCTGCACAAAATAAAACAATAAAATTTAAAAGACTAGCTGGGCATAGTGGCACACACCTGTAGTTTTAGCTACTTGTGAGGCTGACACAGGAGGATCACTGGAGCCTGGGAGGTCGAGGCTGCTGTGAGCTATGATCCCACCACGCACTCCAGCCTGGGCAACAGACAAAAAAAAAAAAAGGAACTATTTCTCCACTAGAGGTCGCTGTGCTTCCCAGGTAATAAGGCCTAAGGGGGCTCAGCCTGAATCTTCAGTGTGAGCTAGCAACAGTGACTACACCAACTCAAAAACTCAAAGTAGAGTTGCTAAGAATAGTATGCGTTTTGCCTGGAATGCATTAGAGATAAAGAAGTGTAGAAAAAAACTTTTACCAAGAGTCCAAAAGAGCCAAACAAAAGCTAGCATTCCTGGAGAGAGGAGAGGTTTGCTAAACAGAGGCCATAGGGAGGAGCTCAAGTTTGCTGAGACTCCAGACAAAAGAAGAAAAACTGTGCAAAGAAAGCACAGTTAATTGAATTCCCAAGTAGCTGGTGAGTTACTTGTATTCAACGTATAAATTTCAAGCCACAAATTCAGCTATGCAAGAAATGTAACTTTATTATTTAGAACTGAACCTAAATTTCAATTTTGAGTGTATACCACTGAGTGGTGGAAGCTGGGGCTGATAATTAAGGTCCTCCACCCCAACCCCACTATCCCAAGGGATCCAGGGTCTCTCTGGTTCCCAGGCATATCTGAGTGGGGTGCACATCTGGTATGGGTCATCGTTACCTGTTCAAGTTCCTCAGAATGACAAGACAACTCCATGGGGCCTTCTGACAGGCTTTTCTGCCCTAGTGCTCCTATACTAGGGGGTTCTCTAAGGGATTCTGGGATCTTTTCATTTGCCTGAGTTTAATTCTGAAACAAATCATGGGTCTTCTATACTCTGGGATTCCCTGAAACAATGGAGATTCTGTACGTGGACACACATGCACACATGGCTTGTGTTTCTGCACATGCACGCGTGCACACACACACGCACACACACATACACACACGCACGCACACACATACACACACGCACGCACACACACACAGGCACAGTTTATTATTCTCAGGGACCTTCCAGAATCTAAACTATTTTTTCTGTTTCTAGCTGGGGGCTGGGGAGTGGTGCTGAGGGTTGAGAGTATGCTATCTCTTACTAAACGTTCTCCTAAAATTTTTGTTTATGGCAAAAATTGTATGCTCCTAGTCCTTCAAGGTTTAGGCTTTTAAAGCTAACAAGTTTGTGTTCTTGAAGCTTATAAAGCTCCTCTCTGCTTTTCTTAGGAATCATCCCACCCCTGGGGCAATGACTGCTGCTGACTGAACAGAGGGAGGGCCCAGTATACAAGGAAATAGGGAGGGAGGGAGGGAGGGAAGCCCCATTTACTATCTCAGAGCTGTGAAACCAACTGTAAATCAGAAGCTCGTTTGGTTTGAAGGTTTTAGCAATTCCTGGTTGTAGAAAACTAAGGGTCCAGGCTTAGACATTCTTGGTCCTTAGAGCAAATGTTATTGGGGACTCTAGGGGACAGCAAAGCATCTGTTTCAAGAGATCGCACAGGATCAGTAAGGACAGGCAGGAATTTCTCTGTTCCGTGACTGACTTTCTGACCCAAGGCTGGGCAGTTTTCACAAATGAAGTTTGGCTTCCAGTGAAAAACCAGCCAGTTCTCTGTGAACTTTTAATCCTTTGTTCAAATTTTTTATTGTTTCCTTTGTATAATCTGCTCTGTGCCTGGAGCTCTCATCTGACTCATTCTATAGAATAATCCTATAATTGAGGGTGAGCACCAAATGTCCTAAGAAGTCCTCGTGGAAAAATCACACTCTGCTCTCCACATTAGAAGCTGTGTATGTGCAGGGGTTACTCAACTCTCTTGAATCCTGTTTCAGATGGCTACGAATTCCTGGAGATCCTGAAACAGGTTGCCCGGGACAATACTGACAACCCCGATCTGAGCATCCTGTGGATCGACCCGGACGACTTTCCTCTGGTGAGTGGCTCCAGCCAGCGCCCCACCCTCAGTTGCTGTCACAACCTCATGATTGCGTTCAGCATCTGAGGAGGTGAAATAGGCAGGGGCACTTGAAGAAACCCAGTGGCGGTCCTCACCCAGTGTGGGAGGTCTTGGCCCTTGGGGCAGTATTGAACTTGGGGCCTGGTGCTGACCCTGAAAGGATTCGGCTTACTCCCTGGAGTCCAGGAGTTGAAAACCCTTGACCCTCGGGGTCCCACCCAAGTGAGCAGGGTAAACTCCTTCGGCAGCAGCTCCAGAGCTGCCCCTCATCACTCCATTCCCAGTCCCCAGAACTACTTTTATTTTCTGGGTGGGGACCATCGTTCTGAGGCCACCTGAATTACTAAGTAATAAAAATCAGAGATGAACATTTTTCAGCGAGTTCAGAACTTTGTGGAGAGAAAGCGAGCGTGCCTGTCATGTTCATCGTGTTCTCCCCAGGACCTAGCATAGTGTCTAGCCTACGATGAATGTGAAAGAAACTTCAAGTCCACACTTTTGCTAGTGTGCATGATCAATGGCCCGAAACTTTTGATTATACTTAGTTTTTAAAAAAGAATAAACAGCATTTGTACACTACATGTATTGAACCCTGGTACTGGTTCTGGTGCTGATAATAAGTACTGGTACTGATAATAAGCATAGCTGATATATTCTACTGTATGCCTGGAACTAGAGTAATACTTTACATGCCTCATCACAGCGAATCCTCTCAACAACCCTGTGAAGTAGGTACTATTATAATCCCTGTCACAAGGTGGAGAGAATGATAGCTGGGGAGGTTAAAGCTAGTGAGTGATAGATGTGATATTCCAATCTAGGTCTACATGATGCTAAAGCCTGGTCTACCGACTGCTTTAGGTAAATGCTTATTGAAGTAATCAGTACAAGTTTAGTTATCATTAGGTTATGAATGATGACTTTATCTTCCAGGAATTATCATTAGTTGCATAGGTCATGACTGATGATACTGTGATTAAATAGAGAAAATTGAGAGGGATCTCAAGGGTCCTGAAAATCAGCCCTATGTAGAGGAGGGGGTGAATCAAAGGCAGAGGCTTCCATGACACTTGAGACCAATGTCATAGCACTGGGTAATTATAACAAAGTCATGGCCATATAAGACTGCATACAGTACAGCTTTGTTGATATAGCTTCTGCCTGGTTGTGTTTCTAGTTTATCTGACTATTTTGTTATACAAGCTTGCAGATGGTTTGCAGTTTTCCTGGCCAGTTTTTTTTTGTTTTTTTTTTTTGAGACAGGGTCTCACTGTGTCACCCAGGCTGGAGTGCAGTGGCATAATCTCAATTTACTGCAGCCTTAAGCTCCCAGGCTCAAGCAATCCTCCTGCCTCAGCCTCCTGAGCAGTTGGGACTATAGAAATGTGCCACCACGCCCAGCTAATTTTTAAAATTTCTTGTAGAGACAAGGTCTTACTATGTTGCTCAGGCTGGTTTCAAACTCCTGGACTCCAGTCCCAAAGTGCTGGGACTACAAGCATGAGCCACCATGCCCAGACTCTCTTCTGGCCAGTTCTATGTGTTTGCCTTGGTTTTTGCAAAGAAGAAATCTTCAGACTATTCTGATTTCCAGATTCCTGAATATCCCTAGTCCCCACTAGGCCATATATTTGCGTGGGAGATTTCCTACCACTGGACATCTCCATTAAAAAAAAAAATCCTGTGGCCCCTTGCTCCTTTATTTTTGCCCCAGTCAGAGATTTGTCCACATGGAGTCCAAGCCTGGTTGAATGAAGAAGCCTTCTTCTTACTTGGCAACTTATGACCCATCATGGCTTTCCCAGCTATCTCATGTAGCACAAGATAAGGTATTTTTAAAACTGGGACATTAAAAAGAGGTGGAGGGAAATGGCTCTATAAACTATAAAACAGCCACAAGTAATTTGGAAAGCAACATTAGACCACCTCTATAATTTTCTCTCTTACAGCTGCAGACACATGTTTCCATAATTTATGCTGTGTCATCTTTTATTTAATGCTTATTTGAAGTGCTTGAAGGCTGGGGCCAAGTCTTCAATTTGCTAAGTGCTCACAGCTGTTTTGAAGACCTTTAACCAATGGTGACCTAGTTACTGTGATGGGACGGCGGGTGGGTCCTTAACAGAGAATGCCCTCTGCCTGCTGTCTAATCTTATTTTTTTGTTGCTGCAGCTCGTTGCCTACTGGGAGAAGACTTTCAAGATTGACCTATTCAGGCCACAGATTGGGGTGGTGAATGTCACAGATGTGAGTATCCCCTGTGAAGGCTTGCTCAGGCACCCTTGGCCTGCCCTGTCTTCTGCTACACAGCTTAGATTGTGAGAGCATCTATAGTAGCCCAGCCTTTTCAGAAGAGGGCAGGGGTCCTGCTCAAGGAAACTTGCCAGTGTGTTCCACGCCTGGTCTCCGAGCCAGTCCCAATCTGTGGTTCCATGGCTCTCTTCCATGGGCACATTTTCTTGCCTATGGGGCCAGCCTTTCCTGAATCACTGATTTGGAACTTTCCCTTCAAGTAAACTCTCCTGTATTTACCCCCAAAGTCAAACAGCAAACAAAAAGGTCTCTTTACAAAAGGGAACCCACACCAGGAGCCATCACTGCACAATGGGTGATGGGGCCGTTGTGGCCTAGAATCCCAGGCAGGCAACTACTCTACAGGCAGGAGACCAGGCCTGCAGAAGGGAAGGAAGAAAATCATATGCGAGTAAGGGGCTTCTCCTCAGAGTTCAGGCATTGTTGAACCGAGGGTGGGACAGGCTAGTGAGGTACACTGGCAGAATGCGAGGAAATCTTAGATCTCAGTCCATACATCTCATACAACTCCACCATCATAAAACTCAAGTGGGGACAGATACAATCAGGCAAACAGTGGACAGAAAGGGATGATCACAGAGGATTATTAGAGCCATACTTAATTAAGATAGAATCTCTTAAGAATGGGGGCCAAGCCAGGCGTGGTGGCTCATGCCTGTAATCCCAGCACTTTGGGAGGCTGAGATGGGTGGATCACCTGAGGTCAGGAGTTCAAGACCAGCTGGCCAACATGGTGAAACCCCATCTCTACTAAAAATACAAAAATTAGCCAGGCATGGTCATGGGTGCCTGTAACACCAGTTACTTGGGAGGCTGAGGCAAGAGAATCGCTTGAACCCAGGAGGCGGAGGTTGCAGTGAGCCAAGACCATGCCATTGCACTCCAGCCTGGGCAACAAGAGCAAAACTCCATCTCAAAAAAAAAATAAAAAAGAATGGGGGCCAGTTAGCAATGTCTTTCTCCCCTGTTGATAGGTGTTCAATCACCTAGGGAACTCTACATTCATTTATTTTGTAAGCTACTTTAAAATTAATAATAATACATTACTTTTAAAACATGCTCAAGTGAAAACATTTTAAAACAGAACAGTAGATTAGAAGGTCAAAGTAAAAAGTATTTCCTACTCCCCTGACCCAACCCCTAGTCTCATTCCTGGAGGGAACCACTGGTGGTTGTTGCATGGGTATATTACCAGAAATGTCATATATATTCCACTGGGCAATGGAATACACATTTCCTTTTATGCAACACAAACAGTATACTACACATACCGTTTTGCCGTTTGGCATTTCCATTTAACAATGTGCACGTTCCTAATAAGTGTAAGAGAGTCGGGGGGCACTCAGCATAGCTATTCAGCACGGCTATCCCTGGTCTGGTTCAGCCCTCATGCATTTACCCACTCATTCATTTTGTCCCTCACTGCAGGCTGACAGTGTCTGGATGGAGATTCCAGATGATGACGATCTTCCAACTGCTGAGGAGCTGGAGGACTGGATTGAGGATGTGCTTTCTGGAAAGATAAACACTGAAGATGATGATGAAGATGATGATGATGATGATAATTCTGATGAAGAGGATAATGATGACAGTGATGACGATGATGATGAATAGCCCAACTCCAAACAATTCTGATGAAAACAAAATCACAGCACCCACTACCATACAGACAGCACAAGGTGGCAGCAAGCAATTCTGCCCCACACCCAGCCAGCTCCTTTCCCTTTTCCATCATCTCTTTTCCCACTCCCTTTGCGTCAGGAGCAGCATCATTCAGCAAATGCCTTTTCAAATGCAGCAATCCCACTTAGCAGGGACAGGAGAAAAATTATTCCCATGTTGACTGTCTTGACTGTCACGGAACAGATCTTGTTCTTTGCTGGACCATCAAGGGTCATGGCAGTGCCTGAACATGGCAGTCTAGGGTGAACAATCCCCTAACACAAGTTTACTTGTCTTTGATTATGACAGTAACAAAATTGACAGCTTTCTAACTCACAGGCATAGAGTGACCTTTTAATCAGAGCCCAGGGAAGACACATGATTAATGATTTAGCTCCCTCCATACCTCGAACATCAGTTGGGATCCCTCCTCCAGCCAAGATGATCCTTCTTAGAGAAGGCTCAGCCTTGGAAGCAAACTTATAAATCATATTCTCATGGCTTTGTTAAACTTATTTCAAGTGATGGTCATTCATATCACTATGAACTTGGATATTCAAGCCTTTGGATGGCTATGGAGAGGGCTTGAAATGTGTACAGGTGTCACCATCATTTCTAGTATATTAGGAAACTGGGATGGGAGGTTGATTTGCTCTCTAAACTTCCCTCTAGTTGGCAAGTCTCACATATTCATCAGCAGGAGTGGAGGGTGGGGGAAAACTAGAAAGATGAAAACTTTTACATTTTTCTGATGGGTTCATGTCTCTGATTGGGTCAGCTGGCTTCCTAGCCTAAGCTGGGATCTGAATACCCCTTCTCTGTAGCTGCTAGTGAGCCTTCCCATTTAGATTAAAGATTGCTTTATCCAGCAGTCAATTAACTCTCCAGTTATCAGTACTCCCACAATTGGCCAGGGCAACAATAATTGGAGTTCATACTGATGCCCTGAGGCACTGAAAAAAAAAAAAATCCCAAAGTGCCTTCTGAGCTGTCTAAAAGTTACATTGTGCTTGGTAGATTTAGTGTTAAGTGTGCAGTATAATTTTCTAATTTATTTTCTCAATCTTTTAGCACATGTGTAAGACACTGTGCAAATTTTTTGAAAATAGAGCAATACTTTTTGTGGAATACTAGCTAACTAATTCTGTCATTAAACTCATATTTTGAAAATATTCAGACAATGTTGAAAATCCTATCTTGATTTTTCTGACTCTGCTCATTCTCATCTGGCTCCAGTCCTACCTCCTTATTTCTTCTCTATTTTCCTTTCTAGCCCCTCTTCCTCTGCCTGCTCTTTGAATGATGGTGTTTCACAGCATCTCAACTCTACATACTCTTCCAAAATGATGTCATCGTGCCCATCAATACTATCCATGTGCTAATTACCTCCAAATATGAGTCTCTAACCTTGACTCCTTGCCTTATTTTTAGACACATTCATTCAACTGCCTCTGGATATCTTGACTTGTTGTTGTACAAGCACTTCAGACTCAACACAACAAAACCTGAACTCATTGCCTTCTCCCCTAAACATCTTCTCCTCTTCATGGAGTCCTAGTTTGGGTGGGTGATAGCACCATTTATCCAATTGTCTAGGTGACCTGAAGGTGCCCCTTCCCCCCTGTGATTTGTGCATCCCTGGATCATGTCACTTATCATTTAAGGTATAACATATATTTGCATGTCTGTCCTTTCACTAAATTGCAGGCTCCTTAGAGGCAAGGAATTTATCTTAGAATCCCTAGCACTTAGCGCTTTGCCCATCACAAAGTAGATACTCATTTATTGAGTTGGTGGATGAATAATTGATTAACTAGAATACCTATAATTCCCCAGCACTATTGGGTAACAGAGCTTACAAGGTGTCTTAGTCTGTTTTTATTGATATAAAGGAATAACTAAGAGTGGGTTATTTATGAAGAAAAAATATTTATTTCGCTCACAATTCTGCTGGCTGCAATACTGGGCATCAGGTGAAAGCCTTGGCTGCTTCCATTCATGGCAGAAGGTAAAGGAAAACCAGTGTGTGCAGAGATCACATGGTGAGAGAGGAAGCATGAGAGAGAGGAGGTGCCAGCCTCTAACAACCAGCTCTCCAGGGAACTAACAGAGCGAGTACCCACTCACACCCCACTTCCTCCAGAGAGGGCATTCATCTATTCATGAAAGATCCATCCCATGACCCAAGTTCTCAAGTTCTTAAATCACTCCCTTTAGACCCTACCTCTCAATACTGCCGCACTGGGGATTAAATTTCAACAGGGGATTTGGTGGGAACAAATATCCAAATGATAGCACAAAGTGTATTAGCAGGGTTTACTTATGTAGATATAAATTGTGTACATTTTGCTTAATGGCCCAAAGAAACAGCTTATCAATAATCTAACCAATGAATATCTTTGAGTCAATTGCTTTCTCTAATTTCTGTCCATGCAATAGCTAAGAATTTGATTGTGTGCTGTCAAAATTCTACCACTGAGGTTAGCGGAAAACAGGCTTCATATTTCTTTGCAAATAATCAAATTTCCTTTAAATAGACCTATCTAAAATCAGTTGATAATTTAACTTGAATTCCCAAGCCACTCAGGAAAATAATCCAATATTCACCTCCCACATCAACCCAAAGTCTGTTACTTTTCTGTCTTCTTATTTGACTCAAATACCTTTCCACTTGCTGGTTTACTCAAAAGATCTGTTTCATCTCCATGTTTTAGAGCCTGAGGATTTCATTTTTAGTTATCTATTCAAAACATTTTCTTCACTGTAAAATGATTGACAACTAGTAGTTTTTGTTACAATGGTAATTCTACTTTCCCAATCCATCACAATTGTCTTGGTTTTTATAGAAATATGACAGGTTGTCTTGAAATTCTGAAGGTCTCAAAATTATGCGAGAGTGAAAAATGTCCCTGAAAAAGTAAGCAACTTTTTAGATTGAAATAATCACATGAAGAAAAGAAACAAGACACAATTTGATATTTCAGTTTATTTTCCAAGTTTACAGTATAAAAAATGTGATGTGTAAAACATTTTACAGTTAATTGGGATGAGGGGGGGATTATACTGGAGGACCCAAAAAGGAACAAAATAACTTGGGTGACAGGTACACTATTCCATCAGAGACACTAACTCTGTTACTGACATCACAATGAGAAGAAGTTTCATAGCATAAACCTTATGAATGTAAGTAAATGGACCTGTACAGATGGTTGCTGGTAGTGTCATTCATTCATTTACATGCTTGCAAATGTGTCAAAAGAGCCCACTACCCAGTTTATGCAGGAACTCACTCAGGCCTTGTCATACACATATGGTGACCATGAGCAGAGGCTGGTTGGCAAAACTGCCCCTCCTGGTTACAATGTACAGTATTAACTAATCAGAAAGAACAAAAAAGGTCCCTGACCACATTTTTACACAAACCGTTATGACTCTGTCAGGTAAAGACAGGTGGTTTCATCTCTGAACTTTCTAAATTGGTGCTGGACTTGAAATCAGGAAATGTAAAGTCCTTCTAACCAAAGCAATTATCAAATAATCTCCTCTCAAATAAGACCTGCCTGGCCCAGGCCTCTCTGGTTCTCTCAGTAGCATTTCTGTTGAGGAAGGGGTCATCTATAATGTGAGTTAAATCACTGAGCCAGTATCTGCCCCCACCCTCATCTTTGCTGGCATCCTGCACTCTATGCAATAGTTATGGCCATAAATGACTGTTGGAAATCAAATTTGGCTAATCACGCCATAACTTAGGGGTCCCAGAGGAGTTTGCCATTTAATTAAAGCCTACCGTAAACTATTATAAAAATAAATTATTGCCATAGTTTAGATTTTTGTATGTTCCCTTTTTAAAGAATGATGATGAAAAGTAAGCGAATGTTCCATTACCTCTATAACTGAGAGGTGCTGGTAAATGAAAAACAACTGTTTCATCTTTCTACAAGGCCCCTAGAACGGCAATGATGTGCAACTGTCTAAATTCCCTACAACTTCAGTTGAACTAAACTTGTCACCTGCAGATCAGATGCCCAAGTCCCATCACTAACTCCCTGAGCAACAAGTCTCTGGTCCCCACAGATGAAGCTTTCTTAGGCTGAAGGCTTTTTAGAATTAAACACTCCTAAATGATGAGCAACTTCACAACAAAAGGCCATGTCTACAAGTGAAAGCTCAGATAAAGATAAGCACATACAAAACCAAACAACTGTACATTCAAATAATGCTTCCCAAATACCATTTCAGTGCCAAAAGAAGTGCCAAAGACACTTTTAAGATAAAAGCCTGGGGTTTGTCACCTTTGTCCCCAAAGCTTAAAGTAAGTGTCTTTCTTCCACTATGACAAGGACAAAACGCTGATGTTTGTAAGCTGAGAGAGACATAAATGGTAGAGTCTTGGTGCCATATTGAAAGAAACTTTTCACAGTGCTGCACCTGGCTTTAGGAATCTGCTCTTTTGTTGGAGAGACTAAAACAACCCACTAAAGAGGCTTATTTCATAGACAAAACAAATTGGGTTATCTACGTAGAAACGGAACAGGACCTGGGAAAACGGGACTTATAGAGCCCTGAAATTTAATTTTATTCTGAAGTTTTACATTTCTAATCCATCGCATCTTAATTCCTAATGAGATGTCACATGGAGAGATGTGAGCACCATCTTCCCTTTACTGTCTTCCATTGAAAGCAAACAGCAGGGCAGAAAACTATGGTTTATGCACAACTGAATCAAAACTTACTACATATGGGAACAGAGAAAAATGGTTTTCTGAGTCCTGTTTTACGTCTGCTCTGTCAAAAGTCTTGGGGGCAAGTGTGAGAAAGACGGTGGGATGCAAACTGCTTGCTGAGAACACCTACGTCAAGGAGGCCAGGCCAGGGACTCCGGCTTGAGATCCCCACAGGATGGGGCTGTGGACAGCCCCTCTCACTCCAACCAGGGAAGAAGTTTGGGGCATAATGTTGCCATGGCACCAGAGAGAGGCCAGGTCAAGCCCCTGCCTGCCTCCCTGCACCCAAGGCCCAAGGCACGCATCTTGCCCAAGCCAGCAGAGTGGGAGCAGAAGGTGGGGCCAGGCAAAAGCAAAGGGGGGCTGCCAGAACAACAGCATCCCTGTCTTGCAGCAGGTGTTAACACTGAAAGGCTGGGTTTTCCAGAAGGGATTCTCAAGTTCTTTCCATCAAATATCCTAAGATATTTGCTAGCATAGTGGAGAAGCTTTCCAAGGGACAAGGTGTAAATCCAAAGTGAAAGAAGAGATCCTGCCTCCCAATGAACTCTCACCCCAGGTTCTAGTTCAAGGATGTGTCTCTAGGTCCTTCCTCAACATCCAGAAGTGCCGAATCATTTAGACCATACTTCAAGGTACAGTGGACTGAGGGGTTAGAATCAAACATCTAGTTTGAAATTCTGTTAACCAGACATGAGACCTTGGACAAGCCCCTTCCTCTCTGACCTTCCGTTTTTCACCCGAAAAACCAAGATGACTCCTATCTTGAAAGAATGTGGGGATAACAAGGCTGGGTGGAACACGGACTGTGACATACATTACCTGATAAATGTGTTAGTAGCCTTTCCTTTCTTTGACCAAAACATGTTTTGTCAAAATGTGATCCAAAACTGAATTTTCTGAGCATACACTTGGTTAAAGCTCAATGCAGTTATTTCAACAGTGTCTAAACTATCTCATTTCGCTACTGCACTGAATACCAATCAAGAACGGTGGGCAGAAGAGCAATTCTTATTTTATTTATAATGAAATACGACCACAAGGTTACATAGTAGTAAATTCACAGTAGTGATTTTTTTGTTTTTCAGTAACAAATCCGTAAATCACAAACACTACCCAGAAATACTTAAATCACTTTACAATCGCAGGGTCTCTGCTGCAGGACTATTTAAATAAATATGCTAACATTTCTGTGCTACTGTAAGTAACCTATCACTTTTTAAAAATAAAGCCCAATTTTTAAGTTACCTTAAGAAATATCTAGTAAGGCTTCCAGGGTAGTGAAGTTTGAGCAGTAATTTTCTTAGAGCTTGACCTTTGTTTGTTTGTTTCTTGCTGTTTTCAGAGTCCTAAAGCAAGAAAGAGTTTAATGGACTTGCCTGCAGGACAGCAGGCTCCCCAGAAGACAGTGCTGTGCTAAAGCCATTTACTCTAGCGGGAGAAGCCAGTGTCAGTGAGGGAAAGGAATAAAGCAGGGGAGGGAAAAGTCACTGGTTTAGAGCGACCTCTCAAAACACAGGGTTATTAAGTCATCTCTCAAACACAGGGGACTGCAGAAACACAGACACCCTCACACACTCAGCTATATACACAATGACACGTATCTGCTGAGCTACACACCTGCTACAGATAACACAGATGTTAAGATGTCTGACATATAAATGTGCTATCCGTCTGGTAATACACTCAGAGAAATGCTCACATATATGGAAATAAAAACGCACAAACAAATATGCATCCCCACTTAGGGATACTTACACAGCAGGACCCAGATTGGAAGGTAAACCAAGGACTCACTTTTGTTGGTTTCACTGAGTGGCTGGAGCACTCACTCAGTACGTAGGTTGGAGTGGCAAGGTAATCAATTTCTGTCAGTCCAATATGCTGGTAGCATCCCACAGAGCTACAGCCCTTAGGTAAATACATGCACTCGAAAGTGATTATGAGGCAAAATGAGAGAGAAATCTACCACCAACTACTGTAGAGAGGGCAGGGGTGAGCACTTTATCCCTATCCAACACACACCTGCACAGCTAGTCTCTCCATTAAAAAAGGAGTCCCAAGCCCCAGGCAATGAACTACAACACAGCAAACACACCAGGTCACCTGCCTCTTACCATTTGCTGTAAAGAACTTGTCTTCCATGTAGATGTCAAAAGGCAAGAACAGAGGCGGGGGAAGGGAGGTGATGATAGTTGGGCAAAAATTTGGTGGTCAAGTATTTTCTCTAGGGCTTACTTTATGAATTTTAGCCAAAGTATTACAGATTTGACTTAACATTTTGATAATGCAAAGGATGGATGAACTATATAGCTTTAAAATCCTCTCTGAGAATGCATACAGAACTTTTTAACATTCAGTTCATGGACTATAAAAACTGTCCTATCTTCAAAAGTACATATTTAAGAACAAATTATCTACCAGTTAAAACATCACCAGGGAAGAGAGCAATCTCAGATATAGACTCCTCATTAAGTTCTTTAACACTCAATGCTCTAATTTTAATAACGTAGGATGAAAATTATAAAAAATCTATAAACATATAAGGCAAATGAAATCCTGTCTACTATAATGTGAACATACATTCTACCAGCCTTAGGGCGAAGTTTACCCCCTTTTAAAAAGAATAGCCTACCAGTTCCAAGAATTGAAATAAAAATGCATTGTGTTCAATTGTGGGATGCAGCTTTCTGAAACCTTAAATCTTTTAAATGTCATTTACATTGTTCCCACTGCAAAAGTAACTCAAGCTATAAAGAGGTTGAAAGTGCAAAGGCTTTACAAAGATCCTGCATTTTATTTTGTTATTCTTTCAAAAAGAACTCAATACAAAGTCAATATAAAAAAATCAATACTCAATTTAAAACAGAAACAGTAATTTCTGAATGTCTAACATTCTCCTATGCAAAGACTGGGAGAAAGAGGAAGGGGGAGAGAGAAAATAAATTCTTTAATTTAAACCTTTCTTCACCCTGCTGGGAATGCACATGCCAGAGCAAATGAATCCAGCTTAACCCCTTCTGGACTGGTCATTGAAGATAGGGTTGGAAGAACAGTATTTTAGAATGGTGATGAACAGTGTCATTATTAACTATATGTACATACACTTATGGCACTTGGAACTGCACTGTATCCATGACGTAGCAACCTCTGACACAGCCCGTCTCACACTTGCCATCTCTTACCCCATTTCCCAAAATATTTCCTGAGAAAGATATTGTAAGGAACTTCCAGTTTGAAGGGATCTAACGGCAAAAACTAAGAACAAAAGCACCATGGTTCCATGGTATGTGTTTTTTATAAACAGAAACACATAGTTGAATAGTACATCTTGGCTCCACGCCACACCTATGGGTTCCCCCTTCCTTCTTCTCCAGCATGTCTTTTCAAGCTGAAGGCTAGTAATTGAAGAATGTTGTTTACTTTTTCAGGTACAGGTGTATTACAAAGATCCAAAGCCAATTTTGATTTTTACAATGACACAAAATACTGTACCACTTGTGGAGTGTATGAAGCAGTAAGGGAGTAAGGGGGTGTGCACACATACAAAGAGCATTCGACAATGTCATCCTGTACTACAGCAAGATGGCTGATTACCGAAATACTGGAAAAAGCAAGAGTGAACACTTTTAAAAGGTTTGTTGCAGATACAGGAAGGCAAATGGAGGCAAAGGCAGCCCAGTGCAAGAGGTCCGGATGGGGCTCCTGAAGGAGCTCCCCTGCAGCAGGGCTCCGCCAGGATGGCTCCTCTGCCCACAACCCAGTCAGTGTCTGCTCCCCCAGGGCCAGGGGAAAGCCCACTGAAATCAGCTGTGTTTAACAGACAGACCACAGATGAATCTTTCTGGACAAGATGGGCTCCCTACTCTCCCTTCCCCAAACTCTGTAGAGTGTCCATTTTCCTTCTCCCCACTTTATCAGCAACTAAGAGTGGGAGCAAAACCAGCCTCTTTCCTGGTCCTAAGTGGCAGAGGCGATGAGTTGCACAGTGACGGTGGTCAGAAAACACAGGGACTGGACAGCAGCAGTTGCCAGCGTGGTTGGCATGGTTTGGTCTCCTTTGGCAGGGCAGCTTGCTCTAAGCTTGGGAAGAACTTACGTCCCCAGGAAATTAAGTGGCTCCAAGTTGCACCTGCCAATCCCAGAGTCACAGTGTTAGTCTCCCCTGGTTGGTGTAGAACAGTGGGGAGGAAAACTGGGCAGTGTGGGGCTCCTGCTGCAGCCTAAAGGTGGCATTCCCACTGCCCTCTCTCCCTGTGCTTTACCTGCTGGGCACCCCACACTTCCCTATGGAAACAATGCTGGGACTGACTTGAGGCTTCACACAGAGCCGGAGGGCACACATGGAGAGCCAGGGCTGCCAGCCAGGTGGGGGCAGGATGGCATGGAGGCCAGGTGGGCAGCTGCAGGGCTGGGAAAGGGTTACCTGCTTCAAGCCAGCAGAGGGGTGGGATCAGAAACAGGGCAGGTAGGTTTTCTCTTTGGGAAAAAAACAAAATCAAATCACTTAATAGCTGTAAACGACAGTGTACATTTTTTGTTGTGATCTTTCTCTGAAGAACCTAAGGCAACAAAGAACAAAGATGAAGGCAGGTATCTCCTGAACTGCCCACGACTTTCATGGGTGATGTGATACTGGACATTAACATACACAAATACATATGTGGACGTGTCGTGACTGGTTTCCTGAAACAGAATAAAGATGTGTCCCCTGGAAGTCTACAAGTGGGCTGACCAGAAGCAACGGGGGACTTGGTACTGGACGAAAGGCAGGAATTAGTTGTAAGGCGAGGCTCCCAAGAAGCACCAGCTCCACTTTGGTTTACAGCTGTAACAGAAGCTCCAAGGAATGGCTTCTTGAGAAGTCCCATCGACAAAAGTCAGATGTCATCAGTCACTCTTTTTCAGGGTGGACAGCCCCTGCTTCCTTCCAAATAAAGTGCAGATGGTCAAAGGATACTGGTCAATCATCTGCCAGTTTCAGTCAGCAATGAAGAAGAATTTTTAAAAAAGACACCCCTCTGGCATAGATATATATCTCTCTATATATTTTTCTTTTTTTTTTAATAAAGCCACAAATATAGAACTTTTAAACGGATGTCTCAGACTGTAAGCGAAGGACAAATTTGTGAGATTTGGGGTCTATGAACTCTTCAGAGAGTATGATGAATGGAATTTTCTTCACATTGACTACGAGGCTGAAGTCCAAGCACTTAAGGACGAACACAATTCCATCCCGTAATCCATTAGTCACAGCCTCATCACTGACAAGCCTCCACTGTGTAGAGAGCCAGCGGTCCTTGTCATATTGCAGGGTGGGGCCCGCACTGAGGTACCGTTCTAGGAAGGCCTGGAAGCAGAGGAGAAAGGCCATTAGGGAAGAAACAGCCTGTTTTAAGGGCAGTACTGCCAGGCGGCTATCCACTCTCACATCTATAAAGAACTTTTTCCAAATAAACCAGCTTAGACCAGAGCCCAGCTCATCACACTCAATTCCCATCAGACCCTCACAACTGAGTCATTACTGGGGAGGGAAGACTTCTTGGACTTCCTCACTCCCCTTTACCTACTATCCACCAAGCGCAAGAATAGTGGTACCCACAGAGGGGAGGGAAAATGGGGTGGCTGGTGTCAGTGTCTGGCTGGAAGCCGTCATGGCTGCATCACTCCATTCTTAGGGTATGGTCCTACTTGATGTGTTTCTCCATGTCTTCCTCCTCCTGAACCAAAAGTTTCTCAGGGCCAGGGCTGTGTCGGGCCCAAAGGAGCAGTCAGGAAATACAAGCTGCATATACTTGCATGAATAAGAACGCATGCGCTACCATTTACTGGCAGTGATTCTGCACAAGTCATTTACACTCTCTATTAGTGGACGCAATGACACTACCTAAGTCACAGGGCTGCCGTAAGGATGAAAGTGTTAGCTCTCAAAAAGCACTCACAGCAATGCCCGACATGGTAAGCAAGCAATGGTTATTCCATGTTGGGCTAAGTGTGCACATGGCCAGTCCAGGGGATGCCCAGGCCTGATGCCCCCTTCCCTCTCCTGAGTTCTCTGCTCCAGTGGCACCTGGCTCGATGGAGTTCTGATACATGTGCTGTTCCTCCAGCTAAACACTGTCATTCAGCTCATTCTTCCCTGCCCTTCAAATCTTCTTAAGGCTCTTCTCTTGAACCTCTCAGGCAGATTAACATGTCCTCCTTCAGGCTCCTGTAATCACTGACTCTCGTGTGACCCTTTACTTTCAAAGTGATTGCTGACTTGCATGTCTGCTCCCCACACTACACTTCACTCTCTTGAAGGGCAGGAAGTATGTTTTGTTTCTTTAATTTGAATTTCCAACGTGCCTAGCACATACTAGGAGTTTGACAGCATGCGAATTAAATCAAATAAATACACTGATTTAGCCATGAGGGGAAGGAAGAATGAAATGAGCCAGTAATACAGATAGAAACATACTGGGATATATCAATCAGGTCCCAGACAGAGTCAAGAACAGATTTTGTTTTGTTGAGATAGAGTCTCACTCTGTTGCCCAGGCTGGAGTGCCGTGGCAGAATCTCGGCTCACTGCAAGCTCCGCCTCCCGGGTTCAAGTGATTCTCTTGCCTCAGCCTCCTAAGTAGCTGGGATTAGAGGCATGTGTCACCACACCTGGCTAATTTTTGTGTTTTTAGTAGAGATGGGGTTTCACCATGTTGGCCAGGCTGGTCTTGAACTCCTGGCCATTAGTGATCTGCCTGCCTGGCCTCCCAAAGTGTTGAGATTACAGGCGTGAGCCACTGCACCTGGCGAAGAACAGTTTTTAACTAGTATCCTCTTTTTTTTTTTTGAGGCAGAGTTTCACTCTTGTTACCCAGGCTGGAGTGCAATGGCACGATCTCAGCTCACTGCAACCTCCGCCTCCCGTTTCAAGCAATTCTCCTGCCTCAGTCTCCTGAGTAGCTGGGATTACAGGCATGCGCCACCACGCCTGGCTAATTTTTTTTTTGTATTTTTAGTAGAGACGGAGTTTCACCATGTGGGCCAAGCTGGTCTCGAACTCCTGACCTCAGGTGATTGACCTGCCTCAGCCTCTCAAAGTGCTGGGATTACAGGTGTGAGCCACCGCGCCCGGCCCGGTATCCTCTTTTATTCACACCCTGCTGCTACTGCCAGGTATATATTTTTTTCATCTGTGGAGCATCTATTGTAAGGCAGAAAAGTAAGGCCTTGCATACTCCCACACTTCTAATATAAATACAGCTCCTATGAATCATAAGAAAAAGAAAATAACAATTAGAGAAATGAAACTAAAACAATAATTTTATAGAATAAACATTATTGGAAAATTAACATATAAAAATTTTTCTATCACATTATTAACTAAAGAAATATAGGCTGGGCGCAGTGGCTCATGCCTGTAATCCCAGAACTTTGGGAGGTTGAAGCAGGCAGATCACGAGGTCAGGAGATTGAGACCATCCTGGCTAACACGGTGAAACCCCGTCTCTACTAAAAATACAAAAAAAATTAGCTGGGCGTGGTGGTGGGCGCCTGTAGTCCCAGTTACTCGGGAGGCTGAGGCAGGAGAATGGTGTGAACCCGGGAGGTGGAGTTTGCAGTGAGCCGAGATCGTGCCACTGCACTCCATCCTGGGTGACAGAGTGAGACTCCGTCTCAAAGAAAAAAAAAAAAAAGAAGAAATATAAATTAGAAGAATTAAAAACTAACTTCCTCCTATTAGATAGGCAATGATTTTAAAAAATAACATCCAATGCTCCCGAGTATGTGGGAAATAAAAAATCTCAGATGTTAGAGGCAAAGCATGCAAAAGTACACCCCCTAGGAGGGCAATTTGGTAGGATCTACAACTCTGACCTGGCTTTTCCTCTACTTGAAACTTAGGCTTCAGAAATACTTGTACAAATACATATGTAAAAAAGTATTCACCACAATGCTGTTTAAACCAGGGGTTGGCAAACTTTTCCATAGATGTAAATATTTTCAGCGTTTCAAGCCATATTCTGTCACAACTACTCAGCTCTGTTGGTGCAAAGTGAAAGCAGCCATAGGTGATACATAAATAACAGGGCATGGCTCTGTGCCAATAAAATCTGATTAACAAATACAACAAGCCCCTGGCTTTCACTAATGAAAACTCTTAATCCAAATGTGCATCAACAGACAATCAGTTGAATAAATCATGGTATTTGGTAGAATAAGACGTAGCTATTACCAGAAATGAGTTATATCTGTAGTTATATCTGTATGAGTAAGATCTGTATGTATTGACTTGGAAAGACAGCCAACGGATGACTTTAAGAAAAAAAAGCAAAGTTTTATATATCTATATCTCTCTACATATATATAGAGAAAGATAATATACATTGTATAGAGAGATGTAGTATGTAAATCTCTATCTATGAATGATAATATATAGGCTATCTATCTATCTATGTATATATCTATGTATCTATCTATGTATCTATCTATGTGTCTATCTATCTATCTATCTATCTATCTATCTATCTATCTATCTATCTATCTACCTAATGAATGATATATATAGGCCGGGGTGGTGGCCTGTAATACTAGCACTTTGCAAGGCTGAGGCAGGTAGATTACTTGAGCTGAGGAGTTCTAGACCAGCCTGGCCAACATGGCGAAACCCTGTCTCTACCAAAAAAATACAAAAATACAAAAATTGCCAGGCATGGTGGCGTGTGCCTGTGGTTTACACACACACACACACACACACACACACACACACACACACACACAGAGAAAGAGAGAGCAATGACCCAATTTCTGTTTTGTTTTCCCATTTCAGCTTAAAAAACATCTACATATATTTGAAAGAATATATACCAACTCCTTATCGGTAAAAACTGTTTTGGGGCAGGGGCTGAAAACTTCATTTTCCGCATGATACTTTTCTTTAATGTTTGGATTTCTATACCAAAAACAGCTATTATTTTTAATTCAGAAAAGTATAAAATTTTTAAATGAAACAAAAAGCAACCAGGAAACTTTCTAAAATCTTGTAAAAAGAAAAACAACTGTTTTGGTTCTACATGGTACAAGCCATCATTTTATACCTGCAGACATATTTTCCTCATTTGCAACCACAGTATTCACATGTTTCTGCATTCTATTTCTTGTAACTTACTATTCTAACAGATTCTTTCATGATTCAACAGGTGATACACCATAATTTATAAGCCACTGTTATGTTTTAAATTATTTCCATTGTGGAGGATTACAGATTGTTTTGCAAAACACCACCTTTGTGTATATTCATGTGTATATATGATTGTAGGAAATAGTTTTCCTAGGAGAGAGATTAGTGAATCAATACAGAAAACTTTTTGGTTTCTTACTATTTCTACATTGCTTTCCTAAGGGTAGTTATTGGTTGACAATGTAACCAGCAGGATACACATATAGTGCAACATATAAACAGAAGTCCTTATAAAAAAACAGCTACCAAATGTTACACATGTACCACATGCCAAGCTCATCTACTCTCTACCATGCGATTTACATGCCTTGTTGCCATATTCAATGTAATTCTTACACAACAACCCTGTCAGAGAGATATTATTATTATCCTCATTGATACAACAGTAAACAAGTGTAGAGGAACTGAAAGAGTTAATTCACGTGATGTGCTTAAAACAGTACCTGTCATATGAAGAGGCCAGACTAAATTGCTATTATTATTATTGGTAAAAATAATGCTATGGCTTTGTCAGGCATTTTGGGTGTTACAGAGTCAGTTTTACCAAACGGTCTTTTAGATTACAGTATTTAGCACACTTTTAGGGATATTACAAGAAACAGCCATATATCTAATAGAGGGTAGAGTAATTTGTGCACAGTCACAAAACAATTAAGTGGTGGAGCCAGGATTTGAACCCACTTCTCTGTAGAGAAGTCATTTGCTGTATCTTTACTCTAGTTTGCCTCCTTGGCCACAACTCTCTATTAGATACATGGCTGTTTCTTGTAACACTTCTTAAAGTGTCCTAAATATCATAATCTAAAAGACCACTCAGTAAAACTAATTCTGTAACACCCAAAATGCCTGATGGCATTTTTTTTTTTTTTTTTTTTGGACGGAGTCTCGCTCTGTCGCCCAGGCTGGAGTGCAGTGGTGCGATCTTGGCTCACTGCAAGCTCTGCCTCCTGGGTTCACGCCATTCTATTTTTTACCAATAAATAGAGCTATTTAGTCCATCCTCATCATATGACAGGTACTGTTTCAAGCACTTCACATGAATTAACTGTTTCAGTTCCTCTACACTTGTTTGCTGTTGTATCAATGAGGATAATAATAATATCTCTCTGACAGGGTTGTTGTGTAAGAATTACATTGAATATGGCAACAAGGCATGTAAATCGCATGGTAGAGAGTAGATGAGCTTGGCATGTGGTACACGTGTAACATTTGGTAGCTGTTTTTTATAAGGACCTCTGTTTATATGTTGCACTATATGTGTATCCTGCTCTTTCAGTTCCCAAAACATACAAATGAGATAGTTATTAGTATTATCCTAACCAATTAACAGGTTAGGAAACTGAGGCACAGAGCTATTGCCATCTGCCCAAGGTTATGCATCTAGTTGGTGGAGGAGCCAGGTTAGAATGAATCAGTTCAGCTCCAGAGTCCACAATGCACCCCTAATCACTATTCCATACTGTCTCCAATCACTATTCCATACTGTCCTCCAAGCGAAATTCTCTCCTCTGTTAGAATCCAGAGGCCTTCGAAAGGCACATTTAAAAAAACAATTGTACTAACATAACATAAAATAAGTGAGAATCACTAATTCTTATTACTTGAGTTTTAGAGATGCCTTTCGATTTTATCACTTCTAGTAACACGCTATAATTCAACTGGCCAAGCTCAGTGACAAGCCAGGATGACGGTGGCAGAGCCCGCCCGGAGCAGCGCACCTTGGGGGTCATGCCGTTGGTGATGCAGAAGGCCAGGTGCTGCAGGATGCTCTCCATGCTGTGGTAGTTCTGCTGCCGGGTGATGCGCAGGTACTTCTGGAGAGCCCTGGCCATGGAGGGGAAAATGGCCTGGGCGGCCTCCCTAGGGTCCATCACCTCCCCTGGGGCTTTCTGCTGCTCCTCAGCCTGGAGACGCTGAATGTGGATGAAGGCCTCTTCCACTGCAACCACCAGCCTAGAAGGTGATGCAACACTAAGTAATCAGGATGGTGCCTGCCACAGGGTGTGAGAACAGAATGACGCTTGTCTACCCTGCTGCGGCCCAACCTGCCAACATACCCAAGGCCCAATCACGCTGCTTGCATCCTTAGCTGTCCCTCAGAGAGTGGAGAGGGAGGAAGGGAGAAAGAAAGGCAACAGCAAAAATAACATGTGGAACAGGGGCCCCAGGGGTTGGGGGAAAGGAGCCCCAGGACTGGGAGATGAACTCTGTTCTGAATTCTGCCACCAATGAGCTTGGGAAATGCACTAGTCCTTTTTTCATCTCTGCAATGGTTAGATGAAAAGAGTTCTGAGGCCCCTCCGACTGGCTATAAAAGGCTCTGTACAGAGAGAGGTGGCTGGTGGTGCAGAAGCAGCCCTACAAAGAAGCAGAGCTGCGTGCTCCCTGGTCCAGCCACCCACACCAGCAGCCCCTGGGAAACAGGAAGAGGCACAGCACACATGATGGAATGCACCTCTGTCCCCTTCAGTGAATATGACCTGACGGTGAACACCAGCAAGGGTCCAGGGGTGCAGAACAGACCCACTCAAGTATGGGCTGGGGGCCAGGAGCATCAGCATCACGCAGGAATCTGTTAGAAATGCCATTTCTTGGGCCCAACTCCACACCTATTGGGTAGGGTCTCTGCAAGCAGGGCCCAGAACCTGCTGCCTGTATTTGAACAGCCCTCCCAGTGATATTCATACAGGCTTCAGTTTGAGAAACACTGGAGCAAGGTGCACTCCAAAGGTGTCCCAGCAGGTCATGTTTTTAAACAGAAACCTCATTCTAGTGGTAAGAAAGGAAAGATTGAAAGTCTACAAGAGGCCGGGCATGGTGGCTCATGCCTGTAATCACAGTACTTTGGGAGGCTGAGACAGGCACATCACTCGAGGTCAGGAGTTTGAGACCAGTCTGGCCAACATAGCGAAACCCCATCTCTACTAAAAATACCAAATATTAGCCGGGCGTGGTGGTGGGCGCCTGTGATCGCAGCTATTTGGGAGGCTGAGGCATGAGAATCACTGGAACCTGGGAGGCAGAGGTGACAGTGAGCCAAGATCTTGCCACTGCACTCCAGCCTGGGCAACAGAGTGAGATTCTGTCTCTAAATAAATAAATAAATAAATAAATAAAATAAAAATTTAAAAGTCTGTAAGAGGGTACTGGCATCAGGAGGGCAGTATACCTTGCTTTCCGCTTCTTTACTCGCCGTTCATGTTCGGCCTCTTCATAATACAACTCGTTGTGGCTTGAGTCCCTGCGCCGAGCAGCTGCAGCAATCATGGCCCGGGACTGGCCAGTGGCATTGTTACTGGGGCCTTTGGGGAAAGGACAGTGAAAGAATAGTGTTAATACCACGAGGGTGGGAAACAGAGCAGAAAACTAGTACCCAATCTGTCAGTGTTGTCTACCCACCCCCTATGGAACACACACACACAAATCCTAAAGGTCACTTCCCAGGAGGGTGAACTGTGCCCCGGCTCCACATTCACTATGTCCAAAGCAAGGGAGCAGAGGAATCTCCCTAAACCCCAATCTGGTCAGTGGAAATGGAAAAAGAACTCAGAAGGGCATGAAGAACGGTGGCAATTAAAATGTTGGCCAAAAACAACACATAGAGTGTGCTGAAGATGTTACCATCTGTTACATAAAGTTTCAGTTTGGCCATAAGGGCGGCTGGGACATCAAATTTCAGCAAGACAATGAGACAGAATGAGAGGGATGGGGAGACCAAGGACAGACAGACAGACAGACAAAAAAGAAAGTCAAAGGACATGAGACACTGAGTCTACAATGGAAAGCAAGCTATGCTAGAATGTCATGGCAGCCACAACTTTTCTAGGAAATACCAATGCTTGAGGGTGTGCAACGTGACCCGTTAATGAATACAGACTCAGAAGTCCTGTCCTGTCCCCTGACCACTGACCACCTTAACTTTTCAGAAACATAGGCAGATTTCAGGCTTTCTTACGGATGATCTACTTGGCTGGTGACTTGGTTTCACTAGTGGGAATCTTTCCTAAGTTTTTAGATCACAGGTGAAATTTATCAATCCTTCAGGCTTCGTGAGGGAGCTCACACCTCATATAGCCAAAAAAAAATGAACAAACAAATAACTGAAAGGATATTGCCAACAAAAACTGACACTGTATATAAATCACTTGACTTGTTGAAAATATAATCCTCTCCTAGGGTTTGCAAAGTTCTTGCCCTCACCCAACATACCCAGGAAGAAATGACACCGCATCCTGTTTCTTGCACTTAACCATGTGATACCCTGAAACATAGCTTGGACTTACCCAGCCTGGCCTCCAGCCTCCTGCCACCCACTCAACTCCGGCTCCTAGCCACGAGTAAGAAGTGCCCGCAGGTATCTCACCAGATGCCTGGACTACTGAGATTTCTAGTCTTAATGATTTAGGTAGCTTTCTGAGTTTGTGGGTAATGTGCACCAATTTTGAAAAGCAACCCTTTCCTAACAGCTTCCAATATAAGATGATCCTGGCAGAAGGCAGGAAACACACACCGCTGCTGTTTTCAATCATAAAATCCCAAAATGAACAGGCTTCCAACACAGGTAGATGGTAAATCAACATTCCTCTAAACATGTGTCTGCCTACATAAAAAAGAGAAATTGTTCTGAAACAAGAATGTACCATAAAGGTAGGCCCAGAGAAGAAGTCGAACCAAACGTACCATGAATCTTAAATAGTCACCCAACTGTGCCCCTGTGAGCACCACGGACACCCTTTCAAGGCACATACCATCTACATTGTAGACTTTCAGCCCGGCCATATGCTTGGCTGCTCGGAATTTGGAGGCTGTTAGGAGGTTTGGGTTATAGATGGTGAAATCTTTGTAGTAATTTTCTAGGACCACCAATGCTGCTCGCTGGATACTGAGAAAAAAAGAACAAAATTAATGCAAAGCTTTTTCACTGAAGAAGCAGGTCCTAAACGAAAAATCCTCTTTTGGAGTCAGGTAAAGGAACACAACATCAAAGATAATCTCATACAGAAGTCCACTGGGTTCCACCACACTTCTGGTCTCCAGGATGAGAACTTAAAGCTGAAACTAAGCCCCATGGCCAGGTGACTTCTGTGCCCTCTCCTGGACCTGTGATTAGCCACATCCCATCTAGCCCTTTGTTGAAAGAGGAAGAAGTTGTAACTCATAACTTACATTTAGCTTTAGGCACACAAGAACTTTTTCTATTTTTCCTCGGTTTACAAAAGAAGAAACTGAGGATGCCCCCAAAAGGGCAAGAGACTTACTAATGGTTGCAGAGCTAATGAGTGAAAGAACAAAGTATAGATTCAGGTTTCTCAGGTCCTCATTCAGGGTTTTGTCCCCTAGGCCTTGGTATCCCTGGGTATAAGGAATCCTGGAACTTAGGTTTTATACAGACCAGAACAACTGCAGCCATCCAGGGCAGAGCGTACTTAAGAGGGCCTTGGCCACGCGCGGTGGCTCACGCCTGTAATCCCAGCACTTTGGGAGGCTGAGGTGGGCAGATCACCTGAGGTCAGGAGTTTGAGACCAGCCTAACCAATATGATGAAACCCCGTCTCTACTAAAAATACAAAAATTACCGGGGTGTAGTGGCATGCACCTGTAATCCCAGCTACTCGGGAGGCTGAAACGGGAGAATCACTTGAACCCAGGAGGCGGAGGTTGCAGTGAGCCGAGACTGCACCACTGCACTCCAGCCTGGGCAACAAGAGTGAAATTCAGTCTCAAAAAAAAAAACAAAAAAAACAACAAAAAAAAGAGAGCCTCCGCTGAGACCACTTGATCTTTCTGGGTCCCCCTGCCCCTTGGAGTGCTATCTCTGGCCTTTGGCAGAGGGGTATGAAGGTGACTATCTATGTTCCGATATTCTAGGTCTCCAACTATCCCCTGCTTGGTCCTCAGAGAGCAGCAGGGGAACAAAGAACAGGTACCATCAACAAGTGGGAGAGAGGATGTGGGAGGGTACTTATAATTGGAAATGAGTATAGACAGCAAAAGAATATGCCCTTGGTCTATGGTGCAGAACACTTGCCACTTTGAAGAACACCTTGCAATGATACAGCAAGGGTTTGCACATACCTGATTCTCATTTAACCCTCACAATCATTCGAGGTAAGAAAACTGAGGCTCAAAAATCTATGACCTGCACAACAGTATGCATTTAATAAACAGGAGAGCTGGAACTCTGATATGATTTACAAACCTCCAAGTTGGGCTTCCCGGTAACATGCGGACTCTGTGTAACAGCGTACGTGCTGACATCTCCAACCACCACCATGTTAAATACCACAGATATATTTTTATCTTGCCCTTTGGATTTTCCTTTCTAGTACTCTGCTAAGCAGATCGGCTTACAAGGATTATTTGCAGTAGCCAGAGCACCAGGATGGGGCTCCCTTTGATTCCTGGATGACCACACTGTGTTCCAACACTCTCCAGGTGGCTCAGGGATCCTCACTTCACACCAAGACAAGGGAGCTCCTAAACTATCCACTGGAAATTCTGTCTACCCACCCATTTGGCTCCCCTTGGAGCTCTGCTTCAAGACTTGAACAGAATTGAATATGGAAGTCAGTCAGCTAACCTGCTTAAGAGCAGAATCATGGTAAAACTTTCTGAGTTATATCCCCAACAGTGCCCGCATTCAGTTGGTACTTAATATCGTCCTAGATAATGTACAGTCATGTGAGGCTGGGGAACACTATCAGGGGAAATCCGGTGAGACCAACTTTGCATAATGGAAGTAAACCTAAGACTCCTAACAGCAAATCTGCATTTTGAAAATTCTGACCATTCAGTTACTCAGTTGTTCACTCGTCATTCCATATTTGAGTGCCTGTGTCTGCTAAGCCCTGGGAATATGAAGATAGACCTTAGCTGGTACCTGGAGCATGAACCCCATGACAGTGAGTATGTTCTCATGCTGGAACACGTGGGGCTGAGTAACCACGGAGAAGAGCTTCTGGCTGCCTGGGACAGGGTGCAGCCTTCCTGAGGAGGCGGACTTCCGTGGAGGTTTGTGTGTCACGAGAGCTCTTCCTGCAGAAGTCTAGTCTGCTTGCCCTGAAGGTCTCACCTGGCAATCTCCAAGTCAATGTGGCTCCAACTCCGTCCTTGCCCCCTGTCCATGGCATTCTCCAGAGAGGGGCAAGTGTTTCTTTATTCCTACCCCATCCAGAGATTCATTGCAACCCTCTCCCTGATCTCTCTCTCTCTCTCTCTCACATACACACACACACACACACACACACACACACACACACACTCCCTGGTGTGTGCCTAGCTCAGCTCCCACCCCTGTGCATGCCTTTTCTGGAGTGCCTGGGCTTTCTGAGGCTCCCTCCACATGGCTGTAAGACTCAGTTTATACACACAGACCCACTGGGGTTCAAACTCACTTCATCCCCCCTCCTCCACTGATAAAGAAACATCTCTAGGCCCCTGGATTCCAACAGAAAAGCATTACCCTGATCTAAATTTAAAAATTAAAAAGCAATCATCAGAAGTTCTCAGAACCATTTTCAACTCAAAACTATCTTGTGGTTGCTGGGTTTTGCTTTTCTGTTCAGCGAGGCTGCAAGGAGGGGTCAAGGGAATCCCATTAATTCAGCTGGGGCCTGTGAGGGGATGGGTGGGTCGGAGCCTCCTGGCTGTGTCTCTCACCCTCCACCCTGTGAGTGTGATGCACTGCCCAGAGCAGTGGCTTCTGTCTCCAGCAGGGCTCCCGGCCCACCGCCTTCCAGCACGGGGCCTCAGCAGATGCTCTCCAAATGGGCCAGCTCTCCAAATAAGCCAAGTCCACAGCCCACCTGACAGCCCCTCAGAGCAAAGTCCTGGCGTCCCAGGAAGTGCCCAGGGTGGGGGCGGGTACTGTGGGATGCCAGCCCTGGGTGTCACAGGCATGGCTCTCACAGTCCTCCCAAAGAGTGAGAGTCTTTGCTCAAAAATACCAAACAAGGGGAAAGTGCAGGCGTCCTGCACTCCCTCTGGCTCTGCCCTCTCAGAGAAGCAACAGGATGACTCAGAGCCTGCCGTGGGCTTGGCCAGCCCCACAGGCTGAGAAGCCAATGCTGGAGCTGAAGAGATCTCAGGGTGAAGTTGATAAACGCCTCCAAGAGTGTGCATGCTCTCACCTACAGAGGATGGTCTGTTTGATGCCCAGCATACCTGGCAGTATTAGGGAATGAGAATTTCCAAGTAACTAAATAAACACAAAACTCAAGTGCACAACTTAAATAAAATGGTTGTGACATTTTGGGATAAAATCCAATATGCCTTTCTTCTTTTTTTTTTTTTTTGAGACAGTCTCCCGCTGTCACCCAGGCTGGAGTGCAGTGGCGCAATCTCGGCTCACTGCAACCTCCACCTCCAGGTTCAAGGGATTCTCCTGCCTCAGGCTCCCAAATAGCTGGGACTACAGCACGTGCCACCACGCCCAGCTAAATTTTGTATTTTTAGTAAGGACGGGGTCTCACCATGTTGCCCAGGCTGGTCTTGAACTCCTGAGCTCAAGTGATCCGCCTACCTTGGCCTCCCAAAGTTCTGGAACTACAGGTGTGAGCCACTGTGCCTGGCCTTTCTTCATCGTTTTGAAGAGAGTAAGCTATGTGATATATGATTTAAGTCTTCTTGATTACTCCAGATGATGATTACGCATCTTAACAGTGAGCTGTGCCACGTACATAAGGCAGTGAAGACACTGGGTTCCATCAGGAGGTGGAGGCCATCTATCCCCACTCTGTCCCAAGCTGCAGCAAGTGTGAATAGGTGAGGCTGTTTTGTTTACATTTTTTCCACATTCTCCCTCACTACTGCTATCAGTCATTCCTAATTACTATGCCATGGCCTCAGTCATAGCCCCGGGAGGCCAGGATGCAGGGAGCAGCCATTCCCTCCGCCACTGTCCGTGCCCAGCATTCCTCTTGCCTTGATTCCTCTCCACCCTCCAAATATGGAAGGAACCACAAAGCCAACACAGGACTGGCTTCTTTCAGGAAGGCTTTTCGAATCCTCCAGTCCCCACTGATCTGTCCCTAAACTTGCAGCATCAACAGTGATGACACATGACTTGTGATATCTTCGAGGGAGTCAAGGAAGCTGGTCTTGCCCCTTCAACAAGCTTGCCCATGCAAATCCCTGACACACAGGGGACACGTCCTTTGGTTCCTCCATGGGTATATAATACTTGCAGGCTTAACTTCTCTGTTCATGCAATCTTAGAATTCCCACAGGCCTAAGATCAGTCTTGAATATGTATTTCATAAAATCATGGAATTTCAGAGGCAAAAAGGGCCCCAGAGATGAACAAAAGCAAATCCTTCTACAAACCCCAATCTCTAGACCAGACAATCTTGGGGAAATGTGGGAGGCAAGAAAAATCAAGTTGGTTAGAAACTTGCCCCCTCTGTTATCACCATTAAATTCAGAGAGAAAAGGCAGTAGCCTGACTGAACAGGACCCCTGTATTACCATCAGGGGGAGCCTGAAGTATAGACTGTGGACTCAGCCCCCTCAGAAACCTATGACAAGGAGCATTTTCCCAAGATAGAGGACTCTGTGCTCAACTGGTGCCACATGCCAACATACCTGCCTAGTCACAACCCAGGGAAAGAAATACTCTCTCCCAGACCACATAGATTTGTGGAAAACAGCACATGAAGGTACGCCTAGTTGTGACAGAAATTCGCTTGAGACCTATGCATAAAAACCTCCTCAATAGGCTTCAGTCTAGGCTGGTCCAAACTTGAACTCCTGGGAAGGACGGGCCAGCAATGGGTCTACACAAAGGTCTAAGGGAATCTGATGGCTACATTTTAATTTAAAACCCACTGCTGACCACATTGCCTACTGGCCTATTTTCTTTGCAGGACAAAGAGGGTGGAATGAGAAATGCTGTGGTCTTTTGTGTCTAATCAACCACGAAAGCACTTCCAGTGTTGTTGACAACTGTTACATGACTGCCATGGCAACAGAGAAGAGGGGCTTGCCCTTGGGCTACATTTCTTAAACAGACCTGGAAAGAAGCACCTCAAAACGTAGTTCAAATGTTAATGCACAAAAATCTGAAAGACATATTTTTTAAAGATAAATTCTGAAGAAAAAAATACAAACCAAATTAATGCCCTGCATATCTAGACCATCCACTGCCTCCCCATGCTCTGTGCATGTCTGAGTCTGCACAGAGGCTGTGGGAGGAGGCACGCACAGTGCAACTGGTGCAGACTCTGGCCCCAGACAACATGACTCCAGGCTCTCTCACTCATTCATTCACCTTGAACAAATTAGTCACTTCTCCAAACCTCATACTCTTCATCTGCAGGATGGGAAGAGCAGCACAGAAAACCCTGATTACCATGATAAGTGGGCTCCAAAATACTCAGTGGCATAAAACGTCTTACTGAAAGGCTAATGAATTGACTGGGGCAGGCCTGGTACAGGCAGCTACTCGGAACCTCCAGCAGCAGCCTGCGAGATCCAAGTATACCAGGTGCTGGCTGAGGTCGGCATCGCCCTAAGGCAGGTTAAGTCTCATGAGCTTAAATATCCATTGGGATGATTCCAAGTTCTATGACATTATGAGACTTCAAAGCTAGTTGGCATTTATACCAGGAAAAATACTGGAGACTTGGGAGTTCACCCACCACTTTCCTGCTTCCTAAAGAGGAGTAGCCTGCCTGGTTTAGGTCTGTGCTGAAGATGAAATAACACATTTTAAAGTGGTTATTCAAAGTAAATAATTCATAAACGATAGCCACCACGAGCTTATATGGCCATATATGTTGAAGCGGCCAACTTGATCCCAGGTGCGCCTGTACCAACCTCCTCCAGAGGCCCACCATGAGGGTACTGCCATGGGAAATGAGCCAAGATGGGTCCACTCTGCACAGTTTTCCTTAGGGACTGGGGCCACAAAGTTATGCTACTCTTTGTTTTTATGCAGTACTTCCTGCCAACTCTCAGCCTCCTGAAAATCAAACCTACCTATAGGGAGGCATCCATTGTAGGAGTACTAGATTCCAGAAGGTCTAGATTCCTGCTACCTACCCTGTAATCCTGTATAAGTCATTTCCCCCTTCTTGGCCTTTTTCTTGGCTTTTGATAAAGAGATAACACCAACCACTGCATGTGGTTGTTGAGAAGAGCAAATGAAATAATGACAGTGAAGGCATTTATAAACTATAATGCATTGTACAAACACAAAAAATTATCGCATTACTAATAATAAGCATGAACATTTTGCAGCGGTGATGGGGTTGGTTGGTGGCTAGAATATACACACAGCTCCTAGCCACAAAAGCATGACCCCATTTCTATTTATACTGAACCTCAAAATTTTAGAAATGGAAGGAATCTTAGTGTTCACCCAAGCAGAGATTCAAGAATCAGAGAAATCAAGAGTCCATCAGTCCAATCTCCCAATCCATATACCAATTGTTTTTTTTAATTATTTTATTTATTTAGGGATGGAGTCTCGCTCTGTCGCCCAAGCTGGAGTGCAGTGGCGTATCTCAGCTCACTGCAACCTCTGTCTCCCAGGTCCGAGCAATTCTCCTGCCTCAAATCCCAAGTAGCTGGGATTACAGGCGCACGCCACCATGCCTGGCTGATTTTTAGTGGAGATGGGGTTTCGCCATGTTGGCCAGGCTGGTCTTGCACTCCTGACCTCAGATGATCCACCTGCCTTGGCCTCCCAAAGTGCTGGGATTACAGGTGTGAGTCACCAAACCTGGCCAATTTTTATTTTTATTTTTGAGACAGTCTCCTTTGTCGTCCAGGATGGAGTGCAGCGGTGCAATCTCAGCTAACTGCAACCTCTGCTTCCCAGGTTCAAGCAATTCTCGTGCCTCGGCCTACCGGAGTAGCTGGGACTACAGGCACATGCCACCACGCCTGGCTCATTTTTTGTATTTTAGTAGAGACGGGGTTTCACCATGTTGCTCAGGCTGGCTCAAACTTCTGGCCTTAAGGGATCCATCCATTTCAGCCTACCAAAGTGCTAGGATTACAGGTGTGAGCCATTGCGCCTGGCAGCCATATAACAATTCTTTTTACAAGCTCCCAAATGACATCCAGCCTTTGCTTGAAAAGAAAGTTCACTTTCACACTGAAACGACCTTTCAGTTCTACCACTGGTTCACCCAATGCCTTGTTCTGAACCCAAGTCCCCCTTGCTGGTGAAAGCCTTTTAGATACTTGAAGGAAACAATCGTGACCATAAACCACCCCCATTTTAACTCCCTTATTTTATAGCTAAAGGAACCAAAGCCTAAAAAAATGTGTGCATACATGCACACACACACACAGACGTACACATGGTCCCTTCTACTTCCCATTCATTCACCCTCCCTTGAACTTGATTGTGGCTTCTGCAATCAAACTTGTATTCTTACATGTTATTAAAATCCGAAATTAACATTGAGCTTTAGAGCTCATCCAGGCTGATGCCCTCACACTTTATGGCCTGCAACTTCTCCCTGAGCAGGGAGAAGGGATGAAGACATCCCCCATGGACAAGTCCTTTTCAAGTTTTAGCCACATCTTTTCAAATATGAATTTGATCCCTTCAGCTAGGTCAATAAAAACAGCTTTCTTCACACGTGGAAAATGTCAAAGTACTTCTTGTATGCTAATTCCCCAAATACATGTCACGTCATTCTTCTTATTACCTAGGTACATGCTGACAGAAAAAGTACTAAAAAGTTTTCTCATCATAGAGTAAAATCTGCAAAGATCTCCTTTTAGAGCATGCAGTCACTATCCTGAAAGCCAGCTAAGGATGCTACATTCAGAAAAATCTTAATAACTAGCCTCTCCAACTCCATCAAAAGCAGTTACGAATTATGAGCACCTGCTAAGTCCCTAGTACTGAGACCCGGATGTAAATGAAACCTTCAAGGGGCTTATGCTCCAATTAGTGGTGAGTACCACTCAAACAATAAGTACAGTCAAGTGATCCAGAGACCGTGACAGAACATGTACACCAGGAGAAGAGGGACGGTGTTTCCGCCAGGAATCCACAGTGGGGGCAAAGCTGGGCTGTTAAGTCTTACAAGATGAATGATGGTCACACCAGGGACAACAGGCTGTAAAGCAAATTCCAGGCAGAGAAAGCAGTGTGAGCAGAAACAGGCTGGTGTTAATCCTCCCAAACATCCACAATAGAGCAACAGGGTCAGTGTTCAGTCACAGGACAGCACAACTTGGAGAAACCCGTAGTGGCAAATAGTGTCTCCCAAAATTTGCATCTACCCAGAACTTCAGAATGTGACCTTATTTGGACACAGGGTCTTTGCAGATGTTATGTTTAGTTAAGGTAGAGTCATTCTGGTATCCGTATAAGAAAAGAGGTGGCCAGGCCTCTTTGGCTCATGCCTGTAATCCCAGCACTTTGGGAGGCCGACACAGGCAGATCATTTGAGGTCAGGAGTTCAAGACCAGCCTGACCAACAAAGTGAAACCCCATCTCTACTAAAAATACAAAAAGCAGCTGGGTGTGGTGGCATGCATCTGTAATCCCAGCTACTAGGGAGGCTGAGGCAGGAGAATTGCTTGAACCTGGGAGACAGAGGTTGCAGAGAGCTGAGATCGCACTAAGGCACTCCAGCCTGGGCGAAAGAGTAAGACTCTGTCTCAAAAAAAAAAAAAAAAAAAAAAAGAGGACATACAGAGACCCACAGAGAGGAGGTCATGTAATGATGGGGGCAGAAACTGGAGTGACACAGCCATAAAGGAACACGAAGGGTTGCCAGCAGCCACCAGAAACTAGGAAGAGGCAAGGAAGGATTCTTCCCTAGAGGCTTTGCGGGGAGCACAGCTGTGCCAACACCTAGATTTTGTACTTTCTGAGAAGGAGAACTTTTAAGCCATCCAGTTTGTGCTATACTCTATTACTTCAGCCTTAGGAAACTAAGGGGAAGCTACTTAGGAAACTACTCGAACTTAGGGAAGGAAGGGTGGAGGCAGGTAAGCGGCAAAGCTGGTCAATGGTAATGGAGGCTGCAGATGAATGCAAACGTGAGAGAACGGGAGGAAGGAGGGTCAGTGGACAGGGACAACCAAAGGAGGCCAGTACTGACGGCTGCCCAGGCACTAAGGCCACTCATTACCTACTTTTTAAGGTGTGCCTGCTCTGGTGGCTGCATTTTAGGGCCCAAACCTAGGTCTTTGAGAGAACTCTAAAATGCAGAATCCCCAATACAAGTTGATTCAGCTTTCTGTGAAAACCTGCAGCTAGGGTGCAATAGCTGATGCTTTCAGTTTTACCCACCTGCTGCTTCCCAGAAGAGTCCGTAAGAGCTAAATCTACCTGGACGTGTGGGCTTCACTGCTCCCCACACTTGGAGATAAATGACTTCAGTCTGACAGTCAGGTACATTTGTGGCAATATTTGTGTGAGTCCCAGAGAAGAGAATATAATTAGCCCCTGGACGCTGAACGCCACCGCCTTCACTGACAACCAGGCACATGAGTGTTTATATCTCCTGGCCCTTCTGCCTTTTAATTAAAATGTTTGTCTCACAGCTGCATTTGGGAAGTTAGCTTACACAAGTCCCATAGATAACAGGCAATGATCACCTTGGAACTTGAGAAGGACAAAGAGGGACAAAAACTGGAATTAGCTCATGTTTACTGACAGGTCTGGTTTAAACTGCACAACAAAGGCCTGGACTTGGTTGGACTTTCAAGATAGAGGGGGAGATCCACAGGTTTCTGCTTGAGGTCTTGAGACACAGGAGACTGACCATCCCGCAAAGGGAAACAGATCAGAGGCTCTGTGTGGCTGCTGAGGCCCATGGGAAGGCTCTTCCTCGGGCCACCTGGATTCACTCGTGCCTCGGGCCTGCTGGTGCCTCAGCTACACAAAAGCTTCGGCAGCCAAATTCTTTGAACCAATATCGGAAGGCTGGAAAGCGTACCTGGCTTTTGGTTTGAAATTCAAGCTGTGGACAAGCCCTGCAGGGTATCCCCACTGAAAGATGAACATGCAGATTGGCAGCCTAGGATATCTAATCCCAGAGCGCCAAGGAAGTGGAATCAGCAGGACTTGGGAATCACAGAATGATCTCCAAAGTGCAGTGTGCAGGACACCCAGAGCACTTCTCCATGAGTCCCTAATAATACAAATAAAACTATACCCAGAGCATGCCCGGAGGACACCATTCTCTATCAACACTGGGAGGAGTTTGTGAGAACCAGAAGTAGCTAATAGCTCATGCAATTACCTGGATCTTCTGGTCTCAGCAACTAAGCAATACAAGGTTGTCAACATATGCACCCCTCCTGGGCTTAACACCACGACCCAGTGGCAGTTCTGAGTGCAGAGACACACTGCTGGTCTCCTCCTGAGGAGCTGAGCCAGTTATGGATGAAGCCCTCTGGCTGCCTTCCCCACAGCACAGCGATGCTGGCAGACCTCCCCTACTGGGGCACCTAGGAGACACGCTTCCCTACAAGTGAGGGGCTTGGCTCTGCCACAGTCTGCCTGGGGAGCATGCAGCCCTGCTTGTAGGCCGCGGCACAAACCTCGCCATGCTGCCATTTCCTTACACAGTCCAACCTGCACTGCGCCTCCCCTGCCTGGGATGGGAACTTTGCTCTCTCCACGTCTTAAATTACAGTGATGAATCACACCAAGATAAACAGCAGAGGCATGGGGATCAAAGACAGCAGCCTGCTTAGGGTGCTCTAAGAAAAAGATTTAGATATGGACTCGAAACACCTCCACTCCACCCAGGATGCTGGACTGCCTCGCCTTCCTCCTGAGTAAGCAGGAAGGAGCGCACCATGAAAAGTCTGGAGTCTGAGGCTCCCGGCCTGCCCAAGTGGATCCCGGCTCCCCGAAACCTGGGCTGGAGCAGAGTTGAGTGGCGGCTTTGCAGCCAGGGAAAGGAGGCCGCAGGCTGTTCACCCACCTGAGTGCTCGCGCCCCTCCACTTTCACACCGTGTCAAGTCACACCCAGCCACTTGTGGTGAGTGTGGAGAATACGGGACCTGGCCTGCAGCAAGAATCCTCCAGGGAAACCAACAGCACAGCATTCAGGGAGTGTGACCCATCTCCCAGGGGCCAGGGGCCCTCAGGAGACCATGAAAACCAGCTTCACCTTTGCCAGCTCCTTTTCCTGTGAGTCCTCTGGGCTCCGGGCGCAAGGCTGTGGGCAGACGCCGTGCGAGGGAAGCCATCCCAGCTGTAGCCGCTGGCAGGAGGCAGCTGAATAAACACAGGGCTTCAGTGTGCAGCACCTTACACTCTCATTAAAGCCACTTTTAACAGGCACCACAGCACCAAACCACAAACGGCAGCTCCACTCCCGCCTTCAAAATTCTCCCACAGCAAAGCATGGCCTGAGCAAAACCCTCCACGCTCTATGTTTCAGCCCTTACTTGTTCTTGTCCTTTGCTTTGCTATGGAGTGGAGCTAAGGACTGGCAAAATATCTTTATTAAAAAGTAATTACAGGAGTACAAAAACACACATTTCTAAAAATGAGATGGTATATGAACCCACAATCGTAGGAACATGAGCCAAAACCACTGATGGTCATTTAAGAATTTTCCCAACGTTGCAGCCACTGGCTCTGGGCTCTCAGAGACCGTTGGTGCTCATCGTGAACATGGGATGGAGGGCGTGGCCCAGCATGAGAGACATGCCTACCAGTAATGTAATCACTGGCTTGGACATTACTTGACCCAGAATTACAAACATAAGATTTCAAAAGGAGCTGGAAATATCCTGGAATTACTGGAGTAACTTTAACATCCCTAGAAGACTCTCCCTTTGTCACTTAAAACTAGAAAATCAAAGTGCAATCCAGAGAAGCAAGGCCCCCTTGCAAGCTGGGAGGATGCATGCATGAGCTGGAGAGAGGACAAGATGAGCTCTATTCAACAGGTCAAAAGTCTTTGGGGTCACAAGTCTCCAGTGTATGTAATATTCCTGTCTCAGCTCAGGCTGCTGTATCAAAATGCTACAGCCTAGGTAGCTTAAACAACAGAAATTTATTTTCTTACAGTTCTGGAGGTTGGGGGTCCAAGATCAACGTTCTAGCCAACCTGGTTCCTATTGAGGGCTCTCTTCTGGGCTTACAGATGGCCACCTTCTTTCTGGGGCCTCACACAGCCTTTTCTAAGGGTGTGTGCAGAGACAGAGCAAGCTCTCTGGTATCTGTTCTTGTAAGGATGCCAGTCCTATGGGATCAGGGCCCCACACTATGACTACATTTAACCTCAATTACTTCCTTAGGGGCTCCATCTCCAAATATGCCACACTGGAGGTTAGGGCTTCCACATATGAATTTGGGGGGACCACAAACATTCAGTCCATAACACTTCCTTGAATATAATCACAATTGACAATGTGACAATCATAAACTTCCATTGCTTGAAAAGCAATCCAAGGATCATTTCTTCTAAAGCACAGGTGGTTCTGTGATTCGTTACCACATCTTTGATTAAAAGATCTGTATTAGTCCATTTTTATGCTGCTGATAAAGACATACCCAAGACTGGGTAATTTATATAGAAAAAGAGGTTTAATGGACTCACAGTTCCATGTGGCTGGGGAGGCCTCACAATCATGGCAGAAGGCAAAAGGCACATCTTACATGGCACATCTTACAGACAACGAAGAAAATGAGAGCCACCTTTTATAAGGTTTCCTCTTATAAAACGATCAGATCTTGTGAGACTTACTCACTACCACAGGAACAGTATGGGGGAAATCGCCCCCGTGATTCAATGAACTCCCACTGGGTCCCTCCCACAACATGTGGGAATTATGGGAGCTATAATTCAAGATGAGATTTGGGTGGGGACACAAAATCAAGGTCTATGGTCAGTGTCAATTTATAAGCTACTCTCTCTCAGTCTCAATGAATGAAGCATTTTTTACCCCAAAACTTTGACCCTGAAGCTTAAAAACCCAAACAGTTAAAACCTGCTGGCTGAATTAGGTACAAGGGAGCTTCAGCAATATAAATATCCTATAGAATGGGTCACTGTGGAAAGCTTCCCAGAGTGCTGAGTCATACCTGCTTTTGTGGTTTCTCTGTCTCCCTCCTTGTTGATGACTATCAGCTATCATTTTTCATTGATGTTCATATACCTCCTTAAAGCAGCACTTTTTCCCCTCAAAATATATTACTTCTGGGCTTTTTAAGATGTAGAAATCAATAATTAAATTTGTTAGAACTATATGCAAAATGAGAATAAACAGACTCTGAGAAAGACAGCCCGAGGTGGTTGTGGGGGTCTGTGACATTGAACTTAACATCCTAGTAGCCTCTGTCTTGTGTCGTCCTCTCTCCTTAAATGTGGGATAGGGCTGTGGCTTGCTTTCACCAAGAGAATGCAGTGGAAATACTACTGGGACAGTTCCAGGCCCAGACCTTAAAAGGCCTGGGAGCTTCTGCTTTTGTGCTCCTGGGAGCCCTGAGCTGCCATTTAAGAAGTCTAGCAACCCTAATGAGGAAACAACAAGGAGAGGCCATGAGAAGGAGAGAATATACAGGAAAAGAAGGAGGAGAGAATACACAGGAAAAAAAAGTCAGCCTCAGCTGACTCACCATGTGAGTATAATCACACAGGACCATGGGCAGGATCAGCTAAAGAACCTCCTGGCTGAGCCCAATCCATGCTGCAGAATTGTGAGAAATACTGAATTGGTTGTTTTAAACTACTAAGTGGTGAGGTAGTTGTTACACAACAATAGATAAAATATATTTTCTTTGAGACATGTGAAGTATAGGAAGTTAAAAAGGTCTGACCAAAGGCTCAAACCTACTGCTATGACTTTAAGGACCAGGCTTTGTCAACTGAGTGAATAAAATAACCAGTGGAGCTAAGGAATGGACCTCAGAGTGCAAGCCATCTTGACAATCCTGCACATTCTCTCTGTTCCAGCCCTAAGCTCTGTGTTAAGTGAAACAGGATAATGTATACAAAAATATCTGGCACCGAGGCTGGCACATGGGAAACACTCAAAAAATGCTTCTGGGTTTGTTCATGTGTTCCTAAAGCAGTGACGTGAACATGCAACTATCTATTCAGAGGTAGTATGGTGAAATGGGTAAGATCATTCTGGAACCAGAGAGCCTGGGCTCAAATCCTGGTTCCCACAATTACAAAGTGTGGGGCCTTAGACTTACCTAACTCTCCCACGCCTCGGTTTGCTCATCTGAAAAGGAGGCTACCAGAACCTACCTCACATGATTGTTGTGAAAACTGAGTTGCACATTAAAAGATCAGAAGGTACCTGGCTCCCAGTAAGACTATGTAATTGTTTATTGTTAAGGTTTTCTTTATCTGTCTCTGTTGTTCTACCATTTCACATTCAACCAGTCAATTACACTAGTGCCTGTGCACCAGTATTCACACTTATTTCCCTTTAGAGGTTTCAAAACTGAAAAATGATTAAGATAATTGAATGCCAATTTTTAGGCTCTTCTATTCTTCTGGGTTTCTCCTCAAATAAAGTCATATCAACAGTCATTAGTCTCTGGTAACATCCTGGAAAAGTTAGCAACTTATTGTGAGAACGGGGCCAAGAAAAGTGACGAGCAAGGTGTGTATGGAAAATGACAAAGCGACTGTGTGAGACACCAGGACGCTGTAGAAAGTGCGGTGGGGTAAGCGGTGTGATGCACAGGAAGGTGCTGATTCCCTGTGACCTTGAGCAGGTCCCTTACCCTGGGGGTTGGGGACCTCAACTGTAAGAGGGGACACCTCTACCCCACCTGCTCTGACCTCTGACAGGGCAGCAAGGAGGGGTAAATGAGTCCAAACCTATGAAAAGCTTTTCATAACTCCTAGGGCACTGGGCAGAGGTTAGGAAGTATCTCAATCTATTTATGGTATCTTACTTTCTGCAACAACTTTTTACATTTTTGAAAGTTTTCAAATAAGCCCAAAACTTCATTCCTGCCAACAAGCAGGGCCACAGCAAGCACCTTTTATGAACTAATGAGAAGCCTATTTTCTTTAAGAAACTAAAGAGTAGACATTCTTTAGACAACTCTCAAAAATAGCTCAGTCAATTCGATAAAATCATCTTTGAAAACATAAAAAAGAACTCACCATCGCTTGGCACCTAAGCCCAATAGGGTGCTGCCACGGTGAAGGCTTTACATAAAGGGAGAGCCAACAGCCTGTGATTCTGCTGGGTCTAATGGAGACCTGCTATTCTGATTTCCGAGGCTTGCTTTGTCTATTCCCGCTCCCTCTTCCCTCCTGTCTGTTTCTACACTTTACAAAAGGCCTTAGAAGTTGTATTTCTGGCCTAGTAACTCTTCCAGCCACTGCTGGGTTCAGACCAGATTTAGCCCAAGGATCGGCAGGTGACCAGGCCCACACAATGCCAGGAGGAAAGGTGCCAAGCCTGCTCCAGCTCTGGCAGACTGGCTGACACTTGGGCATCTGGCTCTCCCTGAGGGCTCCATTTGTCAGTAAAGATGTCCCTCTTTCCCCAGCCATTCTTTCCACCTCCTAACTCAGGCTCTCCACGAGAGGGACAAAGGGGGCCTTATTAAAGGCAGGGAGAGGAGGAACACCAATGGTCCTAAAAAGAAGCCGAAAGGATGAGGCTGGGGACCACCTCAAAACGCTCTCCCCAGGGCAGATGGGCACTTGCCACCTTTCAGTTCTCCCTGGGGAGCTGGGGTGACTGACTTGAGTTTTTTAAAGCCTGGACAGTTGTTGGTCATGGTAAGAGCAGACTGAAAGGTTTGCAGCAAGCCTGGGAGCCATGCAGCACAATCAGTCTGGCTTCTCCCATCCAGCTCTGCCCTGACCAGCAGAGCTGTGTGGTGGGAGGCGAGGGCTGCTGCTAATCATGCTTTCTGAACACGCCACAGGCATACTTTCCTCGGGCTGTTTGGTTTGTCCCCTCTCCACTCCCACTCAGATGCAGTGTGCAGCTCAACCAGTCGTACAGGGAGGAGCGATGTGGGAGCCCATGGGGGTAAGTCGGTCCCACCACCCTGCATGACCTATGGTGAGAAGATGCCCTGCCCTTTCCCACCTACACAGGTGGAATTCACACCAACTAGGGCTAAGGGCCAAAAAACAAAACCACCATAGACCTCACTCCTGGCCAGTGTCTTGGCTACTTACATATACAGAGTTCCAAATATCACTCATCTCCACTGAGACCACAGCCGGATTTTTCTCTACCACTTTAACTGCAGCAAAACCTGTTCTGAGACAGACTGTCTCCTGCTCGGCTTTATTGCTGCCACAATCTGAAATTCTCTGTCCTCCTGTGTTCCTATCACCTATACCCCCAGGCCTGTTTCTGCACCTGTCCACCAGACAGCGGTGCACTGGTCTCTTTCCAAGTGACTGTGAGTGCCACAGGTGCTGAGATAGAGCTCTGAAGGCAGCCAGCCTGGTGTGTCCAGGGCTCTGCACACAGCAGATGTTTAACACAAAACTGCTGGTCATTCCCTGATGCAAAACATGGGAAAAGAAAGCCTTCTGAGATGAATATGCAGCAAAGCGGTGACCTACTTGTCTTCAGAGCCCTACAGGCATCTGTGAAGGACTCTAAACCCCAGATTTTTGGTGCACAGACATGTGACTTGGACACCAGTTTCCACCAAGGATCAGTTAGGGTGGCAGCAACCTTGAACGCTAGATCATCCCGTTCTCGTAGCACAAGCCAAGCCAGAGGAATGGAGGAGGGTACACACCAACATGAAGATGGTTTGGCAGCATGGCCTGACTCCAAATACAGGCTGAGCCACCTTCCTGGAGCCCAGCCAAATCTATGACAAAGCCGATTGTTCTGATACCCACTAAGGTGTGCCCTTGCTGATTCTGGCTGCTCTGCCAGCTACATGATCACAGCAGTAATAGCTGCAATGAACTAAGTGCCTACCCTGCCCCAAGCAGGCTACACACATCAGCATATACTGCCTAAGGAGGCAGAGAGCCTGGGAGAGGGTAAAGGCTTTGAAGTCAAATGTCCCAGGCTCTGCATTCACCCAGAGAACATCTCAGTGCAAGCCATGCTCCATGCCAGGCACTGAGGATGTAATGAGGTATAAGGGTGGCCCCTGGCCTCAGGGAGTTCATAGTCTGTGGAAGAAAACAGATGGAAAAATAGGCCACTAACCACAAAGTGAGAGATGCCATTATGGGGGCATTCACTCAGCCCTGGCCTCATGACATCTGAGTGAATCCTAAATGAGGCTAGCCATATGTTTTTGTGCAAATTACTTAAATCCCCTAAGCCCTAGTTTCTTCATCTGTGACACAGGGATTAATAATACCTAGGTCACGGGGTTCTATGAAGACTAAATACACAATCTATATATAAAGTGCTTACCTTGAAGCAAATAAAATGATGGTAATCACTCTTATTTAACCACAAAATAATGAGATTTTATGCAGAGATGTAAGTATGACAACCCAACTGACTTCTAACTTTTTCTCACGCATACATTTTCACAACACTCAAGGATTACACATTTGGAGTCTCTAACCTGCACTTGATTCTTTATTGGAGGGTCCCTCGGATGACCATATAATTTACTGCCCAAACCAGGCCTCTGAGAGTGGGAAAAAAGGAACAATTCATTATTCCACTGGGACAACATGGTAAACCAGATGTCACATTTGGGACAAAATGGAGCTGCTGGTCACTTTATCTGTTGTCCATTGGCCAATTTCAGAGTCAAAGAAGGCAGCCATCACTATGCATCTCCTTTCTCCATCATTTTTGGGAGCTGCCAATAACTTTGAGAACAAGCCCAGCAAAATCTCAACCTGGGTGAGAGCCAGCAACTGCCCCGCACCATCTAGAAGTCCAGAAACTCAATGAACATGGACACCCTCCCCACCCTCGCATCTCCTCCCCAAACCAGAAAAGAGTCAGACTCTGGTCCTAGCTCTTGGCATCTGTCACCACCCCTCACGTGCTACAGAGCAGCTGTCTCCCAGCAAGACATCAGCCATCCTTTCTGCCTCCTGGATGTTGCCTCTTACCTCAGGTGTCCCAGGCTGTAGAAGCGGGACTCGCCATCGGTGGAGCGGACCACCTGCAGCGTGAACATGGGCTGCAGCTGCCTGAGCTCCAGCAGGACGATGGCCAGGTAATGGATGAAGAGGAGGGCATCCACAAGGGAGACTGCATATTGCACAATGCCCTGGTAATTCCGGTCCCGAGAGTCCAAAATGCGGACCCCGTAAAAAAGCCAATAGGAAACCACAAAGAGAAAGATGAGGACCAACAAAAGGGCACGAAACACAAACACCCGTGGCATGTCAGCTCTCCGCTTGCGGAAAAAAAGTGCCCAGGTCCCTATGAGCAGAATGAGGAGTTTGAATGCCATGGAGATAAAGAGCCCCTCACAAATTGTGCCACAAGGCTCCAGCTCATCCCTCCACAGGATCGGAGGTAAAAGGATGAAGGCAATAGGGGTGAGGAAAACTAGAAGTCCAAGAAAAGAGGCGACGGTGAGGCCCAGGTAGCGTTTGCAATCCAGCCCCACGCTGTCCTCCATGTCCTTGCTGATCCTGGCAATGTCCTCTTGGGATATGCTGTGCTCCGAGGTGCCTGTGATGGCCGTGGTGGTCTCTCCCCAGTTGTCATCCTGGTGGGGAGAAGACAGTGAGGATGACATGACACAGGTCATTTGTAAAAGCTACAAAGGGCAGTGAACATGCAGGGCCCGCTGCATCTACCCAGCCCTATTCACAAAGGCTTCCAGAAAATGAAAGCTTAACTCTTTAAATATTAGAACTTCTTAACTCAAACGATTTTCATTGAAATTTTCAAAATGTATGAGGTATTTACCTTTTCAAACAGAGAAAACATAATGTGATCTTTCTGTCTGTTTGGCTGATTCATTGACATAACATTGATTATCATCCCCTGGGTTGAAAAGCCTTGAGCAGCTCTGAGGGCCTGGAGCTGTTTGCCCTGCAATGCGCAACCCAGGTATTAGACTAATCTTGTGAGAGCTCATCTATAGAGATAAACCTCCTGCATCTTCTTTCCAATTCACGCTGGGTTATAAAGGCTTACGAAGTCCAACTTTTGGAGGTGGGAGTATTACTACACCCTCTAGCAGCCCAGAAGAGCAAAGGGCGTAGCAAGGGAACTTACACCACTACACAAACCCAAGCTTACCTGTAGCTAGGACCCACATTTTAAAATCTCTTTATGGACTGGGGCGCGGTGGCTCACACCTGTAATCCCCGTACTTTGGAAGGCCGAGGCGGACGGATCAGGAGGTCAGGAGATCAAGAACATCCTGGCCAACATGGTGAAACCCCGTCTCTACTAAAAATACAAAAATTAGCAAGGCGTGGTGGCACATGCCTGTAATCCCAGCTACTCAGGAGGCTGAGGCAGGAGAATCGCTTGAACCCGGGAGTCGGAGGTTGCAGTGAGCTGAGATCGTGCCACTGTACTCCAGCCTGGGCTACAGAGTGAGACTCCGTCTCAAAAAAAAAAAAAAAAAATCTCCTTATGATGTTCACAAGATCCACTTAACAAGCATCAGTGTCAAGCACTCTTTAACAATATTTCTCATGGACCAAGCTAAGCAAATCCAGGAATCCGTGTATGGCCAGATTGGCTTAAAAATTCTTTCTAAAACATGTTTTCACGAGGAACTAAACATCAAGGGCATAGAAACAACCAGGATTATTAAAATGTTATCTTTTACTTTCTAGCTTCCTCTCTTTTTAAACTTCTAGGCCGTTGCTAGTTAAAGCAATTAGTCTATTCACTTAGCAAAACCCAGTTGATAGAATTTTAAAGGATTTTGTTGTTTAAAAACAACTGGCAACAATAATGAAGCAATAAGAGCAAGGCGCTGAAAAGACACAGGAGGCCAAAGAGGTTTCTGCCTCTGAAATTTGTATGTATCCTTTCACTCGGAAAGAAAACAGTCAGATGCAGTGGCAAAGGGGGTGAAATTAGGACACCAACTTAGAAAAAGCTAGTTTCAGTTAGTAGCTAAATCAGCAAGACAGACATCGCTCATCATCAAATAACTCCGAATCTAGTAATGACCAAAAAAACCATGATTTATGAAATGTATGGGCTATGGTAAGAAGCGGTGGTGGTGAAGGTCTCAATCCCATAAACTAATAATCCTTCAACTTGCAAAGTCAGAAGTATCACCTACAGTGAGAGAAATTCCTATTTCAGACGATGGCCAGAAGCAGCCAGGACTCTCCAACACTGCTGGTGGAAGTGGACCGTGGTACAGTGCCTCTGGAAAACCACTCTGGCGGTTTCATATAAATCTAAATATACACTTAGCTATATGGCCCAGCAATTCCACTCTCAGGTTTTATCCAAAAATTAATAAAAATATACATCCAGCCAGGCACGGTGGCTCACGCCTGTAATCCTAGCACTTTGGGAGGCCAAGGCAGGCAAATCACCTGAGGTCAGGAGTTCGAGACCAGCCTGGCCAACATGGTGAAAGCCCATCTCTACTGAAAATACAAAAATTAGCTGGGCGTGGTGGTGCGTGCCTGTAATCCCGGCTATTCGGGAGGCTGAGGCAGGAGAATCGCTTGAACCCGGGAGGTAGAGGCTGCAGTGAGGTGATATCATGCCGCTGCACTCCAGCCTGGGCGACAGAACAAGACTCTGCCTCAAAAAACAAACAAACAACAACAAAAAAAACCCAAATGTCCATCCACTAGGAGAATGGATAACAAATTGTGGTAGACTGATACAATGGAATACTACTCAGCAAAAATAAAAAGAATAAGCTGTTGAAACATACCAAAACATGGATAAATCTCAAAATCATTATGCTAAGCAGGGCGGGTGGGTGGGGGCAGGAGATGGACCATATGATTCTAATTATACTAAATTCAAAAACAGGCAAAATTGATCTACAGTGATAGAAATCAACACAGTGGTTGCCTTGGAGAGGTGAGGGTGGGGCAGAGATTGACTAGAAAGGGCATGAGAGAATTTCCTGGGGTGCACATGTATGCCTAAAACATGTAGATACACAAAGGATCCTGTTAAGCTTCAGGTTCTTAGAAGAAAAAGCACCTAAGATGCTTTCATCAAAACCCCTAGATTTTCAATAAAGAAATTGAGGCCTACAAAGGCTGTGACTGCTCAAGGTAACAGAGCTACTAAAAAATACAGCCTCCAAACACCCATCTCAATGCTTTTCACACCAGATCATCCTGGGGCAACACCAAGAGCTTCTCAAAGTGTTCTCAGCTACGAGGTGCAGAGGAGATGCAGAGAAAGAAGAGCCTTTGCTGTAGGCCACTGGCACCTCTGAACCCACATCCAGGAGGAAACTGACCCCTTCAAGTACTCCAGGGTGATCCAATCCTAAGACTGGCCCCATCCGACCATCAGCCATCCCAGAGCCAAGGCAGGCAGCACTAAAGGCATTTGCTCATTGCTCAATGAATCCCACGTTCAACCCACAATTGTAGTTTTGTGTCCCAAGAACACCTTGTGTACTCTGAGGAATTCCAGTTTCAGTCCACCTATTTGATTATAAATGCTTACCTGTGTGTATGCACAGGTATGTACAGATGTATGCTTATCTATAGTCCTATATCTATCTTTACAGCTGTGTATCATACACCACTTTGTTTATGAGGGGCAAGGCTGGACATGTGTATATATACTTCAGGATGTGCAGAGGGTATGCAGACATGTTTCTGTGTATAGCTCAGATGTTTATTTAAATCAGGTGGGCTGCCAGACAGTTGGAACCTGGAGAAGAACCCACTCAATGGTTCAAAAAAATTAATAAAGTATCAGTATTTCAAAAATACTGTAAAGTTAGGATTCCACATAAAATCCTGATTTGCAGCTTTTCTCAAACAATGAATCCCTGCATTCCTGAGCAACAGTAGGTGTCTGGAGCTGCGGAGCTGCTGTTTCCTTTACAGAGGAAATGCATTCTCCAGTTAGCCATAGGCTCCTTCACACCACACTACAGCACTGACACTGAGGCACTGCACAGATTGCTGTTAACCCAAAGCTAGGTTAATATATTTTTGCCCCCTCTTTTCGACCCAGGGCCTCCTTAATTAACTTACGTTTCTCTACCAGGCATCTGAGCGTGCGGCCTCTCAATTCCTGCATAGCTCTAGTAGTAATGGTCAGTCTGGGCTGCCCCATGTTTTTTAAACTTCTTAGGTTTTCTGAGTTTCCTTCTCCCCCTTATACTGTTCCATTTTGAAATGAGTCGTGGGAGACTTCAGCTTTTCCCTTCCCAACCCTGTCGTCAACCTTGCTGGCTACTTTTCCACACCATGTAAAGCAGGCCAACCAATCATACTTCAGAAGAATCCCCACGCTACCAAAGGGCAGGACAGGCTGTCCTTAGACCAACAAGAGACCATGGGACATAGATAAACTAATTAGCATGCTAGAAAAATAAAGACAAAAATCCAAGAGAACCTAAGGAAAACATTTACAGACAGGAGTCTTGGCCAAGTGGCAGTGTGCTTACAGACCACCTTTGATCCTTACCTGAACTTCCTCTGTCCGAGTAGAATCATTTCCCAACAGGGGCTCTCCAGTGGGAGGTTGAATGGTGACAGACTTTTCTGACCCTCTGCCGTCTTTATTCCGGGGTGACTTGTGTCTCTCTCTAGTTCTTTCCCTGAAAAACAACAATGAGCTAGCACATTTATGCCATGTTAATTAACTCTCTGGGTTTATCAAAATGTAAGTATCATTTTGAATTTAGGGAAATTCTACATACACACACACACACACACACACACACACACACACAGAGCATCAAAACCCACCCATCTTCACCACACTTCAAGGGGTACACTGATCTTTACTCCCTACTAAATATTTTCTTTCTGCCATCCCAAGACCCAAAACAAAGACTGTCACTCTTCCTCTATCATCAGTGATATTTTCTCAAAGCCTAAAATTGTAATTTTAGGATTTTTGTAGCTAGTTACACTTTATTGTAATAATTAGTGATTTGATTTGGTTATAATTTGCCTTAACCAGTTTTCTAGGGCTTTTAAAATTGGGACAACACTGTAGAATAAGCTTTTTTCTACAAAAAAATATCTATTTTTTTGTAGAATATCCAAAAAAATCTGGGACACATTGTCACCCTTCACCTTTGGACAACAGAAGAAAGGAAATTCAAAGTCAGTACAAAGAATTGTTTACTTCTCATTCTTACAGGTTCAAAACTAAGTCATTCCCATAGGTTCTAGTTGAACTTGAAGACACCCATAGAAACAAACAAGCTAGGAAAAAAGGCCAAAGACACCAAGAGGGGTGGAGGGTGTGTGGGTGGATGTGTGTGTGTTTGTGTGTGTGTGTGTGTGTACATGGGGAGGGTTTCAGACCTCCTGAGGAAAGCAGGCTGCTGCATCATTTTACCCCACAGGAACTTCCTGGGTGGTCTTCCAGCGTGATTGTAAGAACCCTGCCTGGGGGTCACTCATGAAATTCCAAAATGAACCAATCACTGGCCAAGCCAAGGTCACAACCTGGGCAATAACCACTTATGGGAACTGGCACTCCCCCTCCAGCTGCCAACAGGAAACCCAGAATCCCCCACCTAAGGAGTCCCTCAAGGGTCAGTGAGTTCCCTCAGCCTCCTGCCCCCACAGCCACCTTGACATCAGCCCTCCTTCCTACAACCACTTGCCGTCATTCCCAAGGTCTCCCAGGCAGGACAGAAGCAGATTTTGGAGACAAACAGATCTTGGATCTGCCCTACCAGATGTGTGATCTTGCACAAGTTATTCAATCTCTGAAAACCTTGGTTTCTTTATGTATGAAATGGTGACAATGACAACACCACATAATGTAAGTAGTGCTCAGTACAAGGATGTGGAGTAAGTGCTAATGCACAGTGGCTATGATTGCTATTACTATTAGCCAGTGTCAAAGAATGGTGTCTTGACTTAGTGATGCAGAGTGTGTATAACCTTGGAGAAAGAGATGTAAATAGAACTATTAACACACAACATATCTTCTGTTAACCTACTACTTAGCTTAAGAAAACGTAGATTTCTTGTCAAACTTCGACCTTATCATTACCTCCCTGGGATAAGCATTGGCTGATTCCTTCATAGAGCCAGGAGGCTCCCATGGCCAAGGGAATCTTTCAGTGACAACAATTCTATTCCTACAGCATAACTTATAATCACACTCTATTGCTGATACAGTTCAGATAGTTGTCCCTACCCAAATCTCATGCTCAATTGTAATCCCCAGTGCTGGAGGTGGGGCCTGGTGAGAGGTGTCTGGATCATGGGGACAGACCCCTCATGGCTTGGTGCTATCTTCACGATAGTGAGTGAGTTCTTGGGAGATCTGGTTGTTTAAAAGTGTGTGGCGCCTCCTCTCCCAACTGTCTCTCTTGCTCCCGCTTTCACCATGTGATGTGCCTGCTACTGCTTCACTTTCTGCCATGACTGTAAGCTTCCTGAGGCCTCTCTAGAAGCCAAGTAGATGTCAGTACCATGCTTCCTGTAAAGCCTGCAGGACCGTGAGCCAGTTAAACCTCATTTCTTTATGAAGGTGTCAGGTATTTCTTTATGGCAATGCAAGAAGAGACTAATACAACTGCAAAGTTAGATTCTAAAAACAGAGGTGTTCTGGTCAACTCAGGTGTTTTGTTTTAACAAGGCAGCTAGGGAAACAGCCAAATAAGCAGAAAATTTGGTTGTTTACCCAGAGACGCATCTAACAATGCCAATTACCTCACATCCTACCCCAATTTATAGAACACTTTGCTGAATGCCTCACTATAATATTTCATTTAATCCTAATAATAATCCTATGAAGGCAGTATCATTGTCTTCATTCTACAGACAAGGAAACTGAGGCTCACAGAGTTCAAGTTACTTCTCAAGCTAGTATTATAGTCAGTGGCAGACCTGAATTCAGGTCTGTTGCCACCACTTCTATTCACACCTACTATGGTGCACCGTGTTGAAGAGCAATTGGAAGATTTCATGGCATAAATATTCTTAAAGCTCATTCTCACACCCTTATACTTGAAAACTATTAGAGCTATGAAATATGCCTTGAAGCTATTGCTAGGAATCACAATTGGACCGTGACCTTAGATAGCACAAAGCTGTGTGCCCAACACTCTGGGCTGTCAAATACAATCACTTCAAAAGGCACCCACTGTGAGAAACTATAAACAATTTGGGAGAGACTTCCCACGTTGTTAGGTCAGTTTCTGAACTAACCTCAGAATAGTCTAGAACTGCTGCTCCACCAGCCCTGCCATCGGCCAGATGGACAATGCCCCTCTTCTATCTTAATCCGTTTCCATTTTCCCCAGCTACTCTCACATTTATCACTCTCTCGGCCACCAGCCAAGTCACATGCTCACCTAACCCATCTATCTATTCACTAGTCCCATGGGTCAAATCTTGTGACAGCACAAATTCCACTGGAAATCAAAATTCTTTCACTGAGTGCCAATTCCCGGAGCCTGAACCCTACCAGGGCAGAAAGCAGGTGGGGAGCCACCCAGGGGTGGAAACAGCCTCTGTTGCCAGCCAGGGTTGCCATCACCAGCCCTCCCAGCCTGGCTCTTAAAAGGCCCAGGAGCACCCAAATGTGAAACAACCAACAATTCCCCTGATAACATCGGAGGGAAACCAGAGAAGAATCTGTTATCTGATAACCCAAGCAAGGTTTCTCATCCTCCAGAGCCCAAAACCCTAACCAGTGTGTCTTAAACTTTAAAAACCTCTTAAACTTAAAAAACTGCACAGAAAAACTATCCTAGGTATGGACTCAAGTGCAGATTTGTTGGCCCCACTCTCAAATAATTTTCTGGAAGGGAGACAACAGAAATCAAAATTTTTCCCAGCATCCCAGGTGACTGCAGGTGGTAAAGGAAACTTGCCCCAAGATTCTCTTCCCCAAATGCTCCTAGGAGGAGGTTGCTGAGTGACTGCTTGGAAGTTTGCTTCTTTGTGAAATGCCCTGTATATAGCAGGGGCTTGATAATGGGAGCCATGAGTGTAATGCTCAGCTGCACAATGTTATAATACACAGCACCGCTTTATTAAAATAGTATGAAGTGGATGAAGTTGGGAGAAAAGCTCAGGACAGTGTGCAGTCATGACTGAGGGATACCGAGCCAAGAACCTTCCACCCACTGTCAAGTGAGAGATGAAGGTGAGGCACTTCCTGTCAGCTCAGCACTAGCACTGCGCCAGGTACTGGTCATGCTACCAAGGGAGCAGGACCTGCCATATGGCTTTTATTAGAAAACAATTATTAGAAAATTAGAATAACTTTATCAGAAATCCACTGGTCCCGAATTACTGCTCTAAGAAGGTCTCTGAGCCAAGTCAGGACTTCATAGTGACACTCTGCAAAAATCCTGGCATTCAGTGCCTTCCAGTCTGCAGAACTGCGGGTCACAGTGTGGCCACCTCACTGTAATATGTACTCAAATGCTCATCCCTGTAGTTCCAGATGCCACAACTCCAGGGAAAACCTATGGCTGCCAAGTGCTGTCTGGGAGAGGGTTCCCCAATGATGAAGACAATCTGTTCACGGCATCTAAGAGTATGGAAATGGGAGACCAGGAGAGTAAACAGACTGCCAAGCCACAGGGAGAGGTGTTACAAACACATGTATACATGTGTGTTTTTCCAACTCTGCCTCAGTGGTCTGGATCACCTCTGTGCCTTTGCTGGGTGGCTGTGTCAGCTACGAGAGTTTTTCTTCGTATCTTTATCTCTGAATTTGTCTCCACGCAACATCTGCCTGTATGAGTAAAGATAAGTATATCTGTGCGTGTTGTGTGAGGGGCAGGAAGAGCAAGTGGTGGCATGCAGGCAGCCCGGGCATGTGTCTGCACCACACGTGTGTGAGCAAATGCATCTGTTTAGGTGGTTCTAGAGCTAAGCCCTTGGGGGTTGCTGTCACCCTCCTCGTTCCAGCTAGAACCCCTGTAATTCTCACTGTTCTCACTTACAGTCAGCATTTCCTGGGAAGATTATTTAGTCCTGTTTCTGTTGTTTGCCTATTTCTATTTGGGGAAAGCTGGCCCCACCGGTTACTCCTCCCTTTCCTTCTCTCCCACAACCCACGACCCGTCCTTTCTCTCTGCTGGCTGCTGGGGCCCGGCTGGCTGCTTCCTCTTGGCTATGGCTGGGGTAGGAGCGCTGGGCGCAGGACACACAGACTCTGAAGCAGCCTTGAAACAAAAGCACCAATTCCTCACTGCCCCGGCGGCCCTCTTTTTGTGCATTTTAGCACATCAATCACATGAGTCACCCTTCGTTTCCCTTTCCTAAAGTAGCATTTCTCTTCTAAAGAAACAAGGTTGGCCCAAAATCTGCTGAGGGCACCTACTAACTTTGTAATTTTAGGCAAATAACACTGCCCTCTGTGCCTCGATTTCATCACCCGTAAAATGGGGCTATGACCTCCCGCCATTCTAGGACTGCTGTGAGAATAGGAGACAATGGCTATGAGGGAGGGGCCTAGCAGACACCCCCAAAGCAGTTAACATAACTGGCAGCTGCTCTGTTTAAATTAGGGAACTTGTGCTCCAAACCCAACTTCAAATAAGGATGAGAAACAGAAGGAGCTCGGGGCAGGTGCTGCTGGACGGGGCCTGTGGTGACATGGCAGAGCCCAGCTCCTGAGACAGTCACAAACCCTCTGGCCATAAGAATTGAATCACACATTTCAGCTGGTGGGTAAACTGATCAGATTTAGTTATGAAATACCAGAAACAGCTGTTTTAAAATACCAATTTTTTTTTTTTTTTTTTTTTTTTAGCCCTACCAATTCCCTTGTCAATACCAGGCTTCCCTCATCCACACCACAATGACAAAAGTTAGGCGGGGTCAGCAGGAGTCCACACCATTCTCCCAGCAAGTTAACTGGACACCCTCTGGAGACTGCAGGCATCGCAAAACCAGGCCACTGACCTCTTTGTTAGAAAACAGTCACTTGTCATCTGCTTGGAACCTGGCCAGTCTTCTAAGATGATCATGGTGTCATCAGGCATATCAAGTTTGGTGCATTTCATTATTCCTCCCTGAGTTGGACTCTGACTAAAATTACCAAAGAGCATGGTCCCCCTCCAACCCCAACCCGCCTCCTACCCTTCCATTCAAGTTCCCAACAAACCTCTGAGCAGGGCAGCCTTCACAGGAACACTCCTTGGACAAAATACCCTTAGCTGGGCCTGGGGCCTGCTCTCATGCCTGTGGGGGGCAACCCTACTGCTTAACATCCTTTAGGCCCCAGCAAAGTACACCACAGCCCGTGCTCTCTAGGGATGGTGCCTCTCACCCCACAGTTGCTGTGCCCTATGCTGCAGTCAGTTGGAGAATCCACCACCCGTAGGTGGTAGTGGTGTTTTTTAAAGAACCCATGGAGTGCACCTACAAATCTCTAAGGTTCATCTCCTCTCTCAGAGCTTTTCTCAGAGTAGATATCCAGGAACATTTTTTGAATAATTGATTAAAAGACTCAGCTTGTATTAACATTTGCCAAGTACTTTCTATATGGGTCCAAGAATGCATTAAAAATTCTGCGTGTTGTTTTAATTGGAAGTTACAGTCTCTTAAAGTTACTACAAGGGCATTGGAATATCAATTTCTGGAGGCCCCAAGAGGCCTAAGGAAATAGCAGAGCGTAGCAATGGGCCCCGAAGCGTGAAAGTCAGAACTCGAGTGTAGACAAAAGAGCCCAGAGATGGTTCCCACAAAGGATACTGCAAAGCCAACCTGCTTTGTTCATCCCCAAGCACCCAGGGAATCCCAAATTCCTACTTCTGTCATTGTGGTGTGGATGAGGGAAGCCTGGTATTGACAAGGGAATTGGTAGTGCTAAACAAAATTGGTATTTTAAAACAGCTGTTTCTGGTATTTCATAACTAAATCTGGTAAGTTTACCCACCAGCTGAAATGTGTGATTCAATTCTTATGGCCAGAGGGTTTGTGACTGTCTCAGGAGCTGGGCTCTGCCATGTCACCACAGGCCCCGTCCAGCAGCACCTGCCCCGAGCTCCTTCTGTTTCTCATCCTTATTTGAAAGCCTTACCTGGACTCCAGCACAAGCTCGCTGACATGTTTTCCCCAAATTTTGATAAGAGCAATACATAAAAATTTAGAAAACAATTAAAGTTAAAAAGAAAATACGACCATAATCCTACACTCAGAGACAGGCATAGTCACTATGTGAATACTCATCATATGTCTATGTAACTATCACAGCATACAACATTTTGAATCCTGTTTCTTTTAACATGGTCTCATGAACGTTTCCTCAAGTCATCAAACATCTTTGAGAACCTATCCTTATACTATATTCCATTCATTTCTAAAAATTACAAAATATACACTTGTAAAAAAAATTGAACAAGTACAAAAAGATAAATGAAAATTTCCATCATTCTCCAGCTTCTGCCGAGCCTCCCCCTATGGATGACCACTCCTGGCAGCTTGGGAGGTCACCCTCCCAAACCTCTTTCTACGTTAGTAATCCAGATGGGCTTGTAAATAATTAGATATATGTAGCTCACTGCTGTTTTACAGAACAAAATCTCACTCTGCATTCGGCTGCTTGTATGGGGAAGAGCGCAGTCAGGGAAAAACCACTACAATCACTATTCCCAAGCCAGTGCAGAGCTGGGCATTTGGGCTGGGGCCAGTTGATACCTTGGAACATAGTGCTGAAATGCCAAGGCCATTACAGCATTACTTTAGCCACTGTTGACTGACCTCCAGCCTGTACTGTGTTACATGCTTCACATGCATAATCTCATTTAATCCTCTCAACAGCCCTGTAGGAGAGGACTGCTGTACCCATTTTACAGATGACAAGGCTAAGTAAACAGCAGCACTGCAATTTCACCAAGTACAATTCTAACTGGTACAGTGCCACCTATCTGTTCACTGATTTCTTTATTCATTCATTTGCTCTTCTACTTAACAAACATTCTACAGGTCAGTAACACAGCAGGCCCTAAGAATACCAGTGCACACCTGCTAATTTTGCAGAGAAGGGGAAGTTTGACCAATATCACTCAGGACAGTGTTTTCAAAACCCAAACTTGTTCACCTGAAGATTAGTCAAAAAGAATAAGGTGCCAGGACAATCCTACCAGTTCACTAAATAAGCCTCATGACAAAGGCATAATGGACAATGAGTCAACAACTTCAGGTGAAAAGCAACAAGCAATGAACACTTTTTAAATCTTCCATTTACATTCTTCATAAAGCTTTCAGGAGAGCCGATACCTATAAGAAATACCTAGAAACCGAGGCGGGCGGATCACAAGGTCAGATCGAGACCATCCTGGCCAACAAGGTGAAACCCCGTCTCTACTAAAAATACAAAAATTAGCCAGGCGTGGTGGTGGGCGCCTGTAGTCTCAGCTACTCGGGAGGCTGAGGCAGGAGAGTGGCGTGAACCCACAAGGCGGAGCTTGCAGTGAGCCGAGATGGCACCACTGCATTCCAGCCTGGGTGACAGAACGAGACTCCGTCTCAAAAAAAAAAAAAGAAATACCTAGAAATGAAAAACATTTCCACTGCAGGAAGAAACTTTAATTTAAAACCAATTGTGAGAAACTAAAGTCATCAACTCTAATGGTGGCTATAAAATGTAAACTGGTGACGTAGTTACTCCCAAGAATGTTAAATGCTCTTAAAGCTCAGCTTCTCATGCACCAACCGACCAAATGTCCAGCGCTGAGTCACTGAAAAGTGAGTGTAGAGAACCCCACCAACCTGTAGGTTTCCCCAAAAGGAAAAGTGTAATAATGAACAACTTACATACCCTTGTCTGTGAGATTTTTTCGAATGACTTGAATAGTAAGAATATCCAGAATAAGTGGATTCGGTATCCATAGCAATGGAGGGCTTGCGCTTGAGGAAGGAGCAGGTACTGTTTCTCCTTAGAGGTAGAAAATTTCACCTACCAGACTCCTAAAACCTCAAGGAGTCTGGAAATTAGAAGAGGAGCCACTCTTCAACAGGAACAAATTCTGGGAAAGAGGGGGAAAAAAAAAGACATTAATCTTCAGAGCCAACCTTAATGGGGCTGAAAGATAAATGACAAAGCCACACCTCCTCTCTGGGGTCTCTATCATGGAACAAGCGAGTGAGGGTGAAGCAACTGAACTGTAAATGCTCCACCCATGCAGCAACCAGTTTTCCCAGGTGTCTGGGAGGGAGACAGGATAGGCGCTGAGCAAGCTGAACCCCTACCACAGCAGCAGGAAAATGGGAGGCACTTGTCCACGTCCTCAGGATGACCTGACCCCTGCTCACTGGCTTTAGGAGGTGGCTTTCCACATCTGCGACCCTCCACACAATGCCCAGCCCCCCACTGCCAGTTTGCTGGTTAAAAAAACAATACCCAGCGAAGTTGCTTTTAAGGGATTTGGTCATAATTTCCAAAAGTCAATTAAAAAAAAAAAAGATCTTCAATCTTTTTGATCTAGGATCCGAATTTCTGGGAATTTATCTGAGGGAACTGATTTCTTTTTTAAAGAAAAATTATTGTGGTCTCATTGTCTATAAATAATAAAATGCTAGAAACAATCTGAATGCCCCCAGAATACAGGAATAGGTAAGGAAAACATGGTTCATCCACCAGAAAAGTATCACATATGTTTAAAATGATCATTATAAAGAATAGAAACTCTTATAATGATGAATTTTAAAAGCAGGATACAGTATTGTTGATACACAGTGAACCAACATTACAGTTACAATTGTATAAAATTGCTTATGTAAGGACAAAGATTTTTAAAAGGAGACACAGAAAATGAAAGCAGGCAATTTATTATTTGCAGGCTCCTGGGTCTTCTCCCACATTTTCATTAGATATTGCTTTGCAATAAAAATAAATTGGAAACATTTCCAAGTACATTCCTGAGCTCCCACATGCTAAAATTTTTACTTCTAGAAAACCGAGATCCACAAGTTCTGTCTCTTTCTGCACCCCTCACCCCAGAGCTAGTCTCAGCTCAACAGGGTTCCTTCTTCCAGCCGCTGGAAGCTGAAACTGCAAACACAGCCAGTGAGATAAGTGTGAAGAAAAAACAAAGGAGCTGTAAATGCCATACCCTAACCCTCCTGGGAGGAGGCCAAGTTTCCCTGACCCCAGCAACAACACATAAGTCTGGAGGGAATCAGGTCAGCACAAATTGCCATACACCACCAATACAGCCCCCACAGCCTCTAATCCCAGTTAGGGTGTATTTACCCTTACCATTCATTCTTCCTGGGAGTCAGGTACGATCACTTCCAAGGTCTGCCACCCAGGGCCAGCCTCCTTTGTCCCTGATGCCCTGACTTACCATTTCACTTCTCCTCTGCCATCAGGAGCCCAAGGCTAGCCCTGGGGAAACCTGAGTTCTAGTCTGAGCCCAGCCACTGTTTAGTACAACCTGGGATAAGCCACTTGCTTTCTTATGCCTCAGTTTCCTCATCTGTTAAACAGGGTAAACCAACCAGCCACCGACCTCACAGGTAGATCTGAAAATATAAGCAGACACAGTTTCCAAAGGTGGGTTCCAATCTCGGGTTTTACTCACTTATTAGCTATCAGGCCCCAGTCAAAATTAGTAAACCTCTTTGAACATGTAACTGTAAAATGCAAATATCAGGGTTGCCGTGAAGACCAAATGAGCTAACAACTATGAAGGCACCCAGCGCGAGCTCCAGATGTGCTAGGTAAACGAAAGTCACTGTCTATCAGCACTCTCTTTGCGGGTTCCGAAATGCTTGTTCCTCTGTCTTTTTAATGAGAGAAATGCTTGGAAAGAAGCAGAGCAGAGTCTCTGTGCCGGCCTTCCTGCCACAAGGCTCACCTGCAGTCAGACAGAACGGAGCACACATCTCAGTCCGCTGCCTACTAACTAGCTGTACACCTGGGCAAAGCAGTTTCTCCTTGGAGCCTCAGAGACTTCCCAATCCATAAAAAGGAAGCAAGGCAGCCTATTATGGTGGGGGTTTGTGGGGGGAGGTAGCTGTAAAGATTAAATGTGAAAACACAGCAGGCCTTTTTTAAATGCTAAGTTTTGCTCCTGGACTTACCCTACTTTCCTAGAAGACTTCAAGGGCTGAGTCATCTTTTTTTCTGCCTACTGTCTCCACCATTTTCACTAGCAATTTCAATCAGCTTTCAACACCTCAGTCTCACTTCCTTTCTGCCCTGGGCTTTGCTGTTTTCTCACCTGCTTCATAACAGGCAGACGTCAACATTAGGATGTGCTTCGAAGATCTCCAGCCCTGAGTGAACTGAGATCCTCCCTGAAAGCCCCTCACCCAGCCTCTGCTGATCTGCAGATTCAAATGTCCAGTTCCCTGGCCCAGAACACCGATTTCCCACTCTCTTCTAGATTCATAATTAACCCTTCACAACTCCTACACTCTGCCTTGCAACCCATAACTCTGGATTCCCCATTCCATCCCAACTTCCAGCTACTTTTTGCTAAATGCTGCTGGAGTGTCTCAGAGGCAGGTGGCCCAGGCCCCGCAGATGTGGGCAGATCCAGCTTGGTGCTTCCTAGCTGTGACATCAGGGGGCAAATGTTTGCCTCTCTGAGCTTATCCAACCCTGCCCCATAAAAATGAGGTCATTTAATACTCTCTCTTCCCAGGGTTCTTGTGAGGATTAAATGAAACTGCAAAGGTAAAGTCTCTGGCACATGGTAACCCAAGTTTTATTCCCTTCCCCCTCTGCCAGAGGACTTCATTCCTTGTCCTCATTGAAAACTTGTGGCCATTCATTAAGACAACTCCAGGCTTGTCCCTCAAAGGAAACCATGGGTCCCAACTGCCCTCCAGGGAAAGGCTTTATCTAACTCTACCAACCACCCTAGTCTGGTTTCCCTCCCATGGTTCCTTCCTGTACTTACCAAAGGAGTGGTCTATACATGCTGTCACTCCCTCCTTCTCCACTTTCAGTCCAAATCTCCATCCACAACACTCCACTGAAACAACTCAAAGTTGGCCAAGGATTGCTATGAGCCAAGTAACATCCTTGTCCTCCTCCCCCAGTGCTTTTTATTTCATTTATTAGTCCATCCACCTCCATATTAAGTGGCACCTACAAGACCATGCTAGGCAATGCTAGGGCACAGCAATGACAAAGGCATGCTGCCTGCCCTAGCAGAGTTTCTCTGCAGCTGGCTAGCCTCCAATTTGATGCCGCTTATGTTACTACTTCTCCTCTAACACTCCCTCTCCTCTCCCCTCATCACGTTATCCCTTGACATTCAAAACTCTTCTCAGTCTTCTCCATCCACAGATTTCCTATGGCAGAAGCTCCTTGAACACAGCAACTACGTCTTACCTCCACCCAGGATATTTTGAACATAGCAGGTACCCAACAAATACTTACTGAAAGACTAAATCCCAAGTGCACATTTCCTACTGAGATTCCTCTTGCTCCCCTTGGGAATACCATCATCCCTCTCATAGGTGCTCTCCAGTATCCTGTCCTGTTCTTCCCAATTCCTCAGCTAAAGCAATACCCTCATCCTAAGGATCTAACCCTGTGCCACCTTCAACACCCTCTCTGATCCTCCCTTCACTCTACTGATTCACAGCCACCCACTTCCTCCAGGCTCCACCTACACAGGGCTAGACCACTACAAAGCCTCCAGGTGTCCTCACCAGCCTATACACAGCTCAGGCCCCTTCTAAGTCATACCGTTTCTAATAGTTACCAACTCTTATCCTATCCAAGATCTGAGTGAGGACTAAGAGGATGCAATAAGAGGCAAACTAATAAAATCCGAAGTGAACTTATTTTAAAAGAGTCTGAGCCAAGGTAAGAACTTCAACAGACTTAATGGAAAAGGATATCCTGAAGCTTACCACTGCAATGATATATCTATGAGATAGTTCCCTTGCATACACAAGAAATTAACCAAACTCATGATAAGGTCAGAAGGAATCCCTTATCAGAAAAGACAATAAAGCAATGAAAAGGAATCAGGTTCCCAGGGTAATACACTGATAGGCTGTCACAGCAGCATGAATAGGACAGTCATATAAAGGTGGGAATATGGCTCCTAGAACCTGGAACTGTCTATCATACTGACCCCTGACATGACTCATATTGTGTTTGGCCCAGGCTGGGCAGCAGCCAGAGTGACCTTTTAAATTACAATGCAGACGTCACTTCCCTGTTTAAAACCTTTCCGTGGTGTCCCACTGCACTTTAAATAAAATACAAAAATCTTTCATTTGGTATGCAATGTCCTGCCCGACGCTCTAGCTCCCTCCTCCTTCTCTAGCCCCAGCTCCTTTAAGGTAGAGTCTTAGGGCTTTGGCAGAGCCCAGTATATCTGTTGGTACTCACCCTTTACATGCCCTGTTTTGCCAAATTCCTACTCATCACTCCTTAATTTAAATACTGCTCCTTTCAAGAGGCCTTTCCTGATCCTTCAATCTCAGTCAGGCTCTTCTCTAGTACCCTGTACTCTTCCTTTCTATCCAACTTCCAGTGATACATTTGTTTGTGTGATCACTTATTGTCTAGTTTCTTCACAGGCTGTAAGCTCCATGAGGGCAGAGGCACTTTCATGACTGCCTGTCTTTCCAGCTCCTAGGACATTATGGGTACCCTATAAATGTCTGCTGAATGAAGGGTTTTGTGGCAGATCTTAGGACATGAGGCCATAGATTCATTGTGGAAGAAACTTTAGAAATTATCTATTTTAAATCCTTAGTTTTAGAGGTGGCAAAAAAAAAGATGCAGATATTAGATAGAGGCGTGATACCAGAACTATCAAAAAAAAAAAAAAAAAAGCTATACTACTGGCTCGCATGGCAGTCCCACTCAGGGGCAGAGTTCGTATGCCAGACACACTGAGTAAAAATCAGCAGCAGCCTCTTTCAGCCACTGCCCAAGAGCATCTTGCCTCACCGGTCACCCACCCCTTAAGAGTGTATTGCTTGGCACTGCTTGGGTAGGGGCTGGAGGCAAATATTAGGACACGGCCAGGCTCATTGAACCACATTGCATGCAGGCAAGGTCAACAATGGGAGATAGGTGCACAGAGTGCTTCTAAGTGGCAGTGTCCTAAATTCTGGACTTCCTAGGCAAAAATGTCAGAAAGAACCTCCTTCACCACCCTTTATCAAAAGCAAAATGAAGATAATCAGCCTCAAACAGAATTCTCTCCTAAAGTCATGTTCACTCATATAAAAATCCTACTACTTAATATGAAAACACAGTGTTTAGCAAATCGTATGAAGGAAATAATATGTTATGATAATGACAGTGGTAAACATAAGCTAACCTTCGCAAAAAGGAAATTATAAAAACATCAACAGCTCTGCCTAGAGCTATTAAGTAATTAAGGGAGCTCTGGTTTGGAAAGTTACTTTGTAAGGGTTACAGAGACACGCACTGAATTTAAAGAGAGATTTTGCTTCCTATGCAGTAAGTAGATCTATTTCCAAGGAAAAGTGGTGTCTGGTACAACCATGCTTATATATGCTGTGTATATTATTCTGAATATTTGATTTTTACATAGAATTCTGCAGAGATTATGCTATTAATTATTATTTATATTATGTCTTGAAGCTAACATTCTTCTTAGGGGTACCCATTCTTAATTAAATGGCACTCAAGGGGAAAGTGACAATTGAAATAATTTTGTTTAGAGTCAACTATTCTTCTAGAGAGTAGCAATGAGCCCAAATTGTGGGTGAAGAGCATTCAAATCCTGGCTCTAGTACTTAGCTGTGTGACCTCAGAACAAGTTACTTAACTGCTCTCTGCCTCAGTTTCCCTAACTGTAACAACAGATTTTATTTTACTTATATTATAGATCTGTGGTAGGTATTAAATGAGATAATTCATAAAAATTATTAGAACAGTGCCTAGCACGTGGTAGGCACTCACAGCTGTCAACTACTACTAGTATTCACTAGAGTAAAATTCCTTCAGTTAGGAAGAACTGAAGGGGTTGTATGGCATATAACTTCTGTATCATTTTCACTGAACTTATACACATTTTTCTGGTCTCTGCTACCACCTTTAACTGCTACTATTAGCTATAGCTGAGTAACAAGTGATTTCTATTCTGTTTCTTACAGGCCTCTATTTACCATCCCCAGGTTGGAAGCAAATGTCAGAGAGACCAGAGGAAACCGTGTGTGTTTTAGTGGGTTTATTTGGAGGGGCATGGGCTGGAAAGGAGCGGGCAGAGATGCAGGGCAAATCTATAAAACATTTTGAACTTGTGGCCTATAAACCACCAAACATCATGCAGGTCACTGATGTGAGGATCTGCTGGGCTTATGGCATTTGTGACAAACCCAATGATTCTTTTATTACAACAGCTTATAAATGAATGATTCTGGGTCATTATTTACAAGGAAAGAAAATGTCAACTTTGTTTTACTTGTTTCGCCAATGATTTCAACTCACCTTGCCAGAATAACTTCTCTTGGCTCCAGTCATTAATTACCCCTGAAACACCTCCAGCAGCTGGGTACAGATTTCTGAAGAGGTGTGAATCGTTAACATGTCTGGAGTTATGTGATGTATATTTGCTTGCAAGTGACTCCCTTGTTCCCTGCCAGATATTTAAACTTCAGAAAAATAGATCTCATGAGTACTATCTCCTCTGTAAATCTGATGGTACAGAGTCTGATCACTGTTGTCCTGTAACTGGGATTCAGAAGGACACTGCTAGAGACAACAGCACACACATGTATCCTTGCATCAAACTTCAATACTGCTAACATCAAACCAATACTGCTAACACCAAACCAATATTGCTAACAGAAACATGGTCCAATCACAAGCCCACCTAATCTTTTCCATCTTAAGGAAAATAGAATAGCATGATGCCCAAATCACATGCCCTATACAGCGAGACCCTAACCAGCTAGCTGATTTTACAGAGATGATGGTAATAGTCTAACAGTTTCTAGTTGTCAAGTGTTTACTATGTGTTAGATGCTGTTTTAAGTCACTTACATGTAATATCTCACTTAATCCGCATAACAAGTGTTTAAGAAAAATAAGACATTAATATCATGTTAGTTAGGGAAACCAGACTGCCACAGGAGCCAGGGCTTAAACGTTGAGAGTCTAACTCCAGAACCTGTGTTCTTAGCTACAGAAAATTGACAGCACTGTAGCAATTACTAGAATTGTTTGTTTATATAGAGGAGTATAAGCAACAATCACAAATTGTCCCAAACCACATATAACCCCACTAAGAATTTTGCAATTTCAACTTCTACTCACAGGTTCAGTGTTCCAAGCATCGTGGGGCACTCAGGAGAAAAGAAATGGATCTAAAATAGTTCTAACTCCCAATGAGCTCACAGCCCCAATGTGGAGACCTCCAATTAAAACACAATGTGACAAGGGCCCATCCCACCAAAATAGCTGATAAGGCCTAGGGTAGCAAGCACAGTGTGTGTATATAAGTGTGTTAAGGGGATGATGAAGGGGAGGATGCCTTCTTCATTCAACACATTTATCCTTCAAACAAAGGGTGACATGGAATTGTTGCTTGGTAAAGAAACTTTAAATTTCCTTTATGGTTTTGTCCTGTTGCTTAATACATAAGACAATAAAAATGTACTGCTTGGCAAGCAGTCCTTACAAATATATCACTCTCAAAATTCTTCTCCCATTTTACTTACAAATTAAGTTGCAAGCAAGCCTCACTGCCAACATTGTTAATAGTGAAATTCCACACTGAGTGTTTTCACTAATTATACTGAGAGACATCAACGTTTGGGAATGTTTAATGCTCATGGATAGGTGAAGCGTGTTATTTCTTTGAACTGGAAAAAGAAACAGTTTCCTCCCACAAATCAAAGCCCCAACTATATCACATTGATTTAATTCAACCCTAAAAACTCTATAATTAGTGGTTACAGAAAATGGCTAATTACCTCTCCCTGTATTCAGACAATTTCTGCCATCTCACTTGCAGAGCCTGGGAGCTGTGTACTCAACCCACCCACTGACGGGAGAATGCTAATTAGCATTGTTGACTGGTGATACAAGTTATAATATTTTTCAGCAGCCCCGTAAAATTTATAAACATGTCAGTGAAAATGCCAGATTCTTTTACAGTTTGTTAGCTTTTGGACTAAGTGTCTAAGAATACATTCATTTCTAACCAAAGCCAGGTCAAGAGTTTTAACAAAATGCATGGGCCATCTACACAATCATCATCATAAGGCGCTCTAACACTTCCTAAGGAGAATCTAAGAGAGCTCACAACACCTTCGCAGCGTGGGCATTAGACCTGGTTTGGAGAAGTGAAAACTGAGCAACAGATTCCTCAGCTCCAAGTCTCATCTGCTCATCACACAGCAGCCAGGCCGCGGCTCCGCCCCACTGCTGCCGCCACCACGGACGCGTTTAAATTTTTATAAAGCTTCACACTTCTCTAGGCGCGATGCTTGGGGCAGTTCAAAGACTGCAGAAGGAAATGAGGTCCTGCCGGTGGCGAAGGCTGCCCCGGCGCGGTGAGATTTCCTCCAGCAGGGACACCTTGGGCAGAGACCCGCCAGGCGCCTCTGCTCCACCCCGGCGTTTTTGAAAGTAAACTCCTACCTGCCTGTTGCGCTCTCCGAGGCGCAACCGGACTCGCCCCCCAGGCCTCCAGGGCCGGCTCAATTTTTTGTGAGCGAGGTGTGCACACAGACCAGCTCTGTCCCGGTTCCTGGCGAAGGGCCAGGCGGCGCCCGGGTCGAGCCCCGCCAGGGGTGGGAACCCCGGTGCGCGCCCGGCTCCCGCCCTGCACGGCTGCTGCAGCCGCCCGGTGCCTCCAACGCTCGGCCACTCCCTGCCGGCCTGCCCGCCGCCCCGGCACGCGCACCGAAGGGGCGCACTCCAAAGGCCAGCCCGGGGAGAAAGGGACGTCCGAGGTGTGAGCAGGGAACCCCGGGACCCCAAGGAGTGGGGTGCGGCGGAGATCGCACGGCAGGGCCAGGAGGGGCGCAACGCATGGGGAGAAGAGTGGAGTCAGAGGAAGCACTACCCGGAGCGCTCCGGAGGAGGGGAGGGAGCCCCCGGCCCGAGGCGGGAGCCGGCCACCCGGGGTCGAAGTCCGGCGGGGCGAATGCGGGAGGAGGGCGCAGGGGCACGCGGGGTCCGAGGTGGGGGCGTCTCCCAGCCAACGGTCTGCCCCGGGGACCGCCGCCGCGCAGCGCTCGGCCTCTCGCGGGACTCACCTCCGCGCCGGCCGCCCGAGCTCCGCGGCCCGCGGTCTCGGCTCACAGCGGCCCCGGCTCTGCGGCCTGCGCTGGGCTCCTGGAGAGGCAGAGCCCCGCCGCCGCCGCCGCTGCACTGCTGCTTTCCGCTTCCTGTCCCGGCGCCGCCCCGCAGCCCGAGCCCAGCCCTGCGAGCCCGGCGCGGCCGCGAGCCAAGAACAGCTAGCGCTGCCGGCCCCGCCGCGGGGCCGGCCCACCTGCAGCGGAGGGCGGGGCTCGGCCGGCGTCCCCCTCACCTCGTCACCGCCCCGACCCCACACACCCGGGACACACACGAAGGCGTGCGCGGTCACACTCTTACACACGGACCAGGGAATGACACCTCCCACACTCATTCACCCTCATACACACACTCACCCTACACAGACGTGCACAGCCCAGTAACCCACTCTCTTCTGGGCAGACACACACACTATAAACACATGGCCCAGGGATTGATCTCCGACACCGCCCCCTCCCTCCCCCACATACTTGGAATCTCAAGCTCACACACACACACACACACACACAATCATGCACAAAATCCGAGCCCATTTGCCCTCACGAGTGCCCCCATCCACATATTCACACGGCTCAGGGACTAACCCCCCAACCCCACTCAACACACACTCATATACACACTTTCCAAGAACTGACCGACAAATATCCATATACACCATATCTCAACCCATATACACACACTTAAACTCACATGTAGCCCTGGAAATGACCCCACAAATAGACACACACACACACACACACACACACACACACACACCCCCTACAAGCCACCACAGCAAGCCTCTCCCCTCCTCCTCCCTTATCAGAGCAGGCACTGCCGCCAGCCTAGTCTCCTAGAAACTGCTAGATGAGCACATCTCTGCAGGCAGGTAGCTGAAGCTTCAGTGCTGATTCCAACCAGGTACTGTTTCCTTTCTGAGCCTTTGTTTACCTGTCTGAAAAGTGGTGAGGATGCTGCTGTCCACCTTGCAGGATTGTGGTGAGGATTACAAAACAGTTGGCAACGATTTTCATGAATATTTGCACTTTTCTTAGTTGTCTTGTGTTGGTAGCATTAGGGTTCCTTACTGATCATCTCCAATCTAGCTGGGACCCAAAGCTGCTTACGTGGCAGGATTTTCCAGTGGAAGCAGTGTATAATGAAGTGCTGAATTTCCTAAGAGTTGTCTACAGGAGTATTGCGGGCATTTGGGGTGGGGAAATGCAGGCCCACCCTGACTAGCCTTAATCAGGGAACCTTGGCTCCAAGAACCCCTCACTCCCTTGATCACCTCTTCCTCATCCCTTCTAGACTCCATTTTCTCTCGCATATGTCACATTTCCTTGAGAAGACACCCATATGTTCAATGTGGCTGATTTTCACCACTCCTAGTCCCCAGGCTCTGCTGCCCCACTCAGTGGCCTAGACCATCTTCCTCCCCCACCCCCAGCCTCCCAGTAGGCTCCAGAGAGCAGATGTTGCTGACTCAGGCAGCCAGGTTCCTATGGGTAAAGCCAATGGTCTATTCACCCAAATCAGCACTCAGGGTCAGAAATGTAGAACATTATAAAAACATGTCTCTCTCATCTCTAAAATGTAGAACTTTCAAAGTTCAAACAGGCCAGGGATTTCCAATTCTAGTCATGTACCTGAATAGCTCCAATTAACACAGAGATCTTCAATGAGTTTTCAGAAAGTAATTCTAATTCACTTAGGTTCTTATGTCTAGCCACCTTACCAGATGATGTTTTGTGGGAAAGAGGGGTAGTTGCAAATAACCTATTTTAAAATAATAAATTCACCTTTAAATGCCATGTAGAGGCCGGGCTTGGTGGCTGAAGCTTGTAATCCCAACACTTTGGGAGGCTGAGATGGGCAGATCACTTGGGGTCATGCGTTCAAGACCAGCCTGGCCAACATGGCGAAACCCCATCTCTACTAAAAATAAAAAAATTAGCCAGGCGTGGTGGCAGGCACCTGTAATCCCAGCTACTCAGGAGGCTGAGGCAGGAGAATTGCTTGAACCTAGGAGGCAGATGTTGCAGTGAGCTGATATCATGCCACTGCACTCCAGCCTGGGCAAAACGAGACTCCATCTCAATTAAAAAAAAAAAAAAAAAAACATGCCGGGGGACCTGGGCAAGATGGCTGAATAGGAACAGCTCCAGTATGCAGCTCCCAGCAAGATCAATGCAGAAGGCAGGTGATTTCTGCATTTCCGACTGAGGTACCCAGCTTATCTCATTGGGACTGGTTAGACAGTGGGTGCAGCCTACAGAGGGCGAGCTGAAGCAGGGTGGGGCGTCACCTCACCCAGGGAGCGCAAGGGATTGGGGAACTCCCTCCCCTAGCCAAGGGAAACCATGAGGGACTGTGCTGTGAGGAACAGTACATTCCAGCCCAGATACTATGCTTTTCCCATGGTCTTCACAAACAACAGACCAGGAAAGTCCCTTGGGTGCCTATGCCACCAGAGCCCTGGGTTTCAAGCACAAAACTGGGCGGCCATTTGGGCAGACACTGAGATACCTGCAGAAGGTTTCTTTCATACCTCAGTGGCTCCTGGAATGCCAGTGAGACGTAACTGCTCACTCCCCTGGAATGGGGGCTGAAGCCAGGAAGCCAAGTGGTCTAGCTCAGGGGATTCCACCCCCATGGAGCCCAACAAGCTAAGATCCACTGGCTTGAAATTCTTGCTGCCAGCACAGCAGTCTGAAGTCGACCTGGGATGCTGGAGCTTGTTGAGGGGAGGGGCATCCGCCATTACTGAGGCTTGAGTAGATGATTTTCCCCTGACAGTGTAAAGAAAGCCACTGGGAAGTTTGAACCGAGCAGAGCCCACTGCAGCTCCACAAAGCCACTGTAGCCAGACTTTCTCTCTAGATTCCTCCACTCTGGGCAGGGCATATCTCAGAGAAAGGCAGCAGATCCAGTCAGGGGCTTGTAGATAAAACTCCCATCTCCCTGGGATAGAGCACCTGGGGAAAGGGGCAGCTGTGGGTGCAGCTTCAGCAGACTTAAATGTTCTTGCCTGCCAGCTCCGAAGAGAACAGCAGATCTCCCAGCACAGCATTCGAGCTCTGCTAAGGGACAGAATGGTTCCTCAAGTGGGTCCCTGACCCCTGTGCCTCCTGACTGGGAGACACCTCCCAGCAGTGGTCGACAGACACTTCATACAGGAGAGCTCTGACTGGCATCCGGCAGGTGCCCCTCTGGGACAAAGCTTCCAGAGGAAGGAACAGGCTGTTCTTTGCTGTTCTGCAGCCTCTGCTGGTGATACGCGAGCAAACACGGTTTGGAGTGGACCGCCAGCAAAGTCCAAAAGACCTGAAGCAGAGGGGCCTGACTATTAAAAGGAAAACTAACGAACAGAAACGAATAGCATCAATATCAACAAAAAAGACGTCCACACAAAAACCTTATCCCAAGGTCACCAACATCAAAGACCAAAGGTAGATAAATCCACAAAGATGAGGAAAAACCAGCACAAAAAGGCTGAAAATTCCAAAAACCAGAGCACCTCTTCTCCTTCAAAGGATCACAATTCCTCACCATCAAGGGAACAAAACTGGAATGGAGAATGAGTCTGACAAACTGACAGAAGTAGGCTTCAGAAGGTGGGTAATAACAAACTCCTCCAAGCTAAAGGAGCATGTTCTAACCCAATAAGAGGAAGTTAAGAACCTTGAAAAAAGGTTATAGGAATTGCTAACTAGAATAACCAGTTTAGAGAAGAACATAAATGACCTGATGGAGCTGAAAAACACAGCATGAGAAATTCGTGAAGCATACACAAGTATCAATAGCTGAATCAATCAAGCGGAAGAAAGGATATCAGAGATTGAAGATCAACTTAATGAAATAAAGTGTGAAAACAAGATTAGAGAAAAAGAATGAAAGGGAATGAACAAAGCCTCCAAGAAATATGGGACTATGTGAAAAGACCAAACCTACGTTTGATTGTTGTACCTGAAAGTGACGGGGAGAATGGAACCAAGTTGGAAAACACTTTTCAGGATATTATCCAGGAGAACTTCCCCAACTTAGCAAGACAGGCCAACATTCAAATTCAGGAAATGCAGGGAACACCACAAAGATACTCCTCAAGAAGAGCAACCCCAAGACACATAATCATCAGATTCACCAAGGTTGGAATGAAGGAAAAAAATGTTAAGGGCAGCCAGAGAGAAAGGTTGGGTTACCCACAAAGGAAAGCCCATCAGACTGACAGTGGATCTCTCTGCAGAACTGCTACAAGCCAGAAGAGAGTGGATGCCAATATTCAACACACTTAAAGAAAAGAATTTTCAAACCAGAATTTCATATCCAGCCAAACTAAGCTTCGTAAGCTAAGGAGAAATAAAATCCTTTACAGACAAGCAAATGCTGAGCTATTTTGTCACCAACAGGCCTACCTTACAAGAGCTCCTGAAGGAACCACTAAATATGGAAAGGAAAAACCAGTACCCAGCCACTGCAAAAACATACCAAATTGTAAAGACCATTGACACTATGAAGAAACTGCATCAACTAATGGGCAAAATAGCCAGCTAGCATCATAATAACATGATCAAATTCACACAGAACAATATTAACCTTAAATGTAAATGGGCTAAATGCCCCAATTAAAAGACACAGACTGGCAAATTGGATAAAGAGTCAAGACCCATCGGTGTGCTGTATTCAGGAGACCAATCTCATGTGCAAAGACACACATAGGCTCAAAATAAAGGGATGGAGGAATATTTACCAAGCAAATGGAAAACAAAAAAAAGCAGAATTGCAATCCTAGTCTCTGATAAAACAGACTTTAAACCAACAAAGATCAAAAAAGACAAAGAAGGGTATTACATGATGATAAAGGGATCAATGCAACAAGAAGGGCTAACGATCTTAAATATATATGCACCCAATACAGGGGCACCCAGATTCATAAAGCAAGTTCTTAGAGACCTACAAAGAGAGTTAGACTCCCACACAAAAATAGTGGGAGACTTTAACACCCCACTGTCAATATTAGATAAATCAATGAGACAGAAAATTAACAAGGATATTCAGGACTTGAACTCAGCTTTGGACCAAGCAGACCTAATAGACATCTATAGAACTTTCCACCCCAAATCAACAGAATATACATTCTTCTCAGCACCACATCACACTTATTCTAAAATTGACCACATAATTGGAAGTAAAACACTCCTCAGCAAATGCAAAAGAATGGAAATCATAACAGTTTCTCAGACCACAGTACAATCAAATTAGAACTCAGGATTAAGAAACTCACTCAAAACTGCACAACTACATGGAAACTGAACAACCTGCTCCTGAATGACTACTGGGTAAATAATGAAATTAAGGCAGAAATAAATAAGTTATTTGAAACCAATGAGAACAAAGACAAAAGGTACCAGAATCTCTGGGACACAGCTAAAGCAGTGTTTAGAGGAAAATTTTTAGCACTAAATGCCCAAAGGAGAAAGCAGGAAAGATCTAAAATTGATACCCTAACATCACAGTTAAAGGAACTAAAGAAGCAAGCAAACAAATTCAAAAGCTAGCAGAAGGCAAGAAATAACTAAGATCAGAGCAGAACTGAAGGAGATAGAGACATGAAAAACCCTTCAAAAATCAATTAAACCAAGAGCTGTTTTTTTTTTGAAAAGATTAACAAAATAGATAGACTGCTAGCCAGACTAATAAGGAAGAAAATAGAGAAGAATCAACTAGACACAATAATAAATGATAAAGGGGATATCATCACTCATCCCACAGAAATACAAACTACCATCAGAGAATACTGTAAACACCTCTACACAAATAAACTAGAAAATCTAGAAGAAATGGGCAAATTCCTTGACACATACATGCTCCCAAGACTAAACCAGGAAGAATTTGAATCCCTGAATAGATCAATAACAAGTTCTGAAATTAAGGCAGTAATTAATAGCCTACCACCTAAAAAAAGCCTGGGACTGGACGTATTCACAGCCAAATTCTACCAGAGGTACAAAGAGGAGCTGGTACCATTCCTTCTGAAACTATTCCAAACAATAGAAAAAGAGGGACTCCTCCCTAACTCATTTTATGAGGCTGGCATCATCCTGATACCAAAACGTGGCAGAAACACAATAAAAAAAGAAAATTTCAGGCCAATATCCCTGATGAACAGCAATGCGAAAATCTTCAATAAATTACTGGCAAACCAAATCCAGCAGCACATGGAAAAGCTTATCCACCATGATCCAGTTGGCTTTATCCCTGGAATGCAAGGCTGGTTCAACATATGCAAATCAATAAACATAATCCATCACATAAACAGAACCAATGACAAAAACCACATGATTATCTCAATAGATGCAGAAAAGGCCTTTGATAAAATTCAACACCCCTTTATGCTAAAAACTCTCAATAAACTAGGTATTGATGGAACATATCTCAAAATAATAAGAGCTATTTATGACAAACCCACAGCCAATATCATACTGAATGGGCAAAAGCTGGAAGCATTCCCTTTGAAAACTGGCACAAGACAAGGATGTTCTCTCTCACTACTCCTATTCAACATAGTATTGGAAGTTCTGGCCAGGACAATTAGGCAAGAGAAAGAAATAAAGGGTATTCAAATAGGAAGAGAGGAAGTCAAATTGTCTCTGTTTGCAGATGACATGATTGTATATTTAGAAAACCCCATCATCTCAGCCCAAAATCTCCTTAAACTGATAAGCAACTTCAGCAAAGTCTCAGGATACAAAATCAATGTGCAAAAATCACAAGCATTCCTATACGCCAAAAACAGAAAAACCGAGAGCCAAACCATGAGTGAACTCCCATTCACAGTTGCTACAAAGAGAATAAATACCTAAGAATACAACTTACAAGGGATGTGAAGAACCTTTTCAAGGAGAAGTATAAACCACTGCTCAAGGAAATAAGAGAGAACACAAACAAATGTAAAAACATTCATGCTCATGGATAAGAAGAATCAATATTGTGAAAATGGCCATACTGCCCAAAGTAATTTGTAGATTTAATGCTATCCCCATCAAGCTACCATTGACTTTCTTCACAGAATTAGAAAGAACTACTTTAAATTTCACATGGAACCAAAAAAGAGCCCATATAGCCAAGACAATCCTAAGCAAAAAGCTGGAGGCATCATGCTACCTGACTTCAAACTATACTACAAGGCTACCTACAGTAACCAAAACAGCATGGTACTAGTACCAAAACAGATATATAGACCAATGGAACAGAACAGAGGCCTCAGAAATAACACCACACATGTACAACCCTCTGATCTTTGACAAACCTGACAAAAACAAGCAATGGGGAAAGGATTCACTATTTAATAAATGATGTTGGGAAAACTGGCTAGCCATATGCAGAAAACTGAAACTGGACCCCTTCCTTACACCTTATACAAAAATTAACTCAAGGTGGATTAAAGATTTAAACGTAAGACCTAAACCCATAAAAATCATAGAAGAAAACCTAGGCAATACCATTCAGGACATAGGCATGGGAAAGACTTCATGACTAAAATACCAACAGCAATGGCAACAAAAGCCAAAATTCACAAATGGGATCTGATTAAACTAAAGAGCTTCTGCACAGCGAAAGAAACTACCATCAGAGTGAAAAGGCAACCTACAGAATGGGAGAAAATTTTTGCAATCTATCCATCTGACAAAGGGCTAATATCCCGAATTTACAAGGAACTTAAACAAATTTACAAGAAAAAAACAATCCCATCAAAAAGTGGGTAAAGGATATGAACAGACACTTCTCAAAAGATGACATTTATGCAGCCAACAAACATATAAAAAAAAGCTCATCATCACTGGTCATTAGAGAAATGCAAATCAAAACCACAATGAGATACCATCTCATGCCAGTTAGAATGGCGATCATTAAAAAGTCAGGAAACAAGAGATGCTGGATAGGATGTGGAGAAATAGGAATGCTTTTGCACTGTTGGTCTGAGTGTAAATTAGTTCAACCATGTGGAAGACAGTGTGGCGATTCCTCAAGGATCTAGAACCAGAAATACCATTTGACCCAGCCATCCCATTACTGGGTATATACCTGAAGGATTATAAATCATGCTACTATAAAGACATATGCACATGTGTGTTTATTGCAGCACTGTTCACAAGAGCAAAGACTTGGAACCAACCCAAATGTCCATCAATGATAGACTGGATAAAGAAAATGTGGCACATATACACCATGGAATACTATGCAGCCATAAAAAAGGAAGAGTTATGTCTTTTGCAGGGTCATGGATGAAGCTGGAAACCATCATTCTTGTCAAACTAACACAGGAATGGAAAACCAAACACTGCATGTTCTCACTCATAAGTGGGAGTTGAACAATGAGAACACATGGACACAGGGAGGGGAACATCACACACCAGGGCCTGTCGGTGGGTTGGAGGACTAGGGGTGGCATAGCATTAGGAGAAATACCTAATGTAGATGACGGGTTGATGGGTGCAGAAAACCAGTATGGCACATGTATACCTATGTAACAAACCTGCACGTTCTGCACATGTATCCCAGAACTTGAAGCATAATTTTTAAAAAATGCCATTTACTGTCCATTTTTCTCCAGTGATCTTAAGTGTTCAAGCTGAAAAGGTAAGCATTGGAAAACTTCTCAAGAACTGAATGATGGAGGCCTGCTCTAGCTCAAGGTTACTGTTACCAAGTGGTTCAGCCTCATTTGGCTTTTGCCCAAAGTTGAGTGCTCCAGCTTATCCTTAATTAGTAATAAAAGTAATATTGTGGGTGCCACATGCCATTTCTTTGTTTCACTAATATATTTGTTGCAAATTCAATGTGGGAAGTGGGGTACTATGCACTGGATGATCTCAAGACTCTGTGTTCCACAAATGCATACAAATATTTCTCCCTTCTCATTCTCACAGCTTTCCCAAATCTTGGTATGCTGCAGTGATATGATGATGTATATGTTTTGGTTTTCATCCATGGTGGTTCCTGGCTCACATCTCCTGTGAGATTCTTATTTCCTAAGTGACTAGAGCAGTAAGGATATCTTTTGTTCAAGTATTTGACTTTTTGTCCTTGATTCCTGAAGCAGCTCTGGAAACAGTTTCAGAGTGATAAAGGTGAAAGACAGTCTTTTGTTATTTATAACAAATGCTTTTCACCCACACCTGAGCTTATGTTAATGAGGCAATTTTTGGGAAGTCCCTAGTTAACACTTTGTAGCATTGGGGGAGAGATACTGGTTGTCAGGGAAACCAATTCTGTAGTCACAGGGTTGAAGGGTTCTGCCTGTGGTATTTATACATTATTGAGGAGATAGGATGCAAATAACCAATAGGAAGCAACAAGGTGAGCATTCAGATTGAGTGCTGTGGGAATTCAAATAGGAGAAACTGTTTTCTGTTTGGGAGACCTGCAGAAGTCTTCGTGCAACTGGTGGCTTTTCAACTGGGGCTTGGTGGATAGGAAAAATTTTAGTGGGTAGCTGAGAAGAAAAAATAAACTTAGTTTCTTCCTATTGTACTCTCACAATACAGAATGCTTTTCAGACCCCGCTGTAGGAATATTTCCCCACACACCAAGCTAGCAATCAATTCTGCAGCAGATACCAGCTGAGAGGAGAGGGGGGTGAAGGTTAAGCTGATCACAGTGGCCAATGATTTAATCAATCATGCCTCTGTGATGAAGCTTCCGTAAAAACCCCAAAGGACTGGGTTTGGGTAACTACTAGATAGGCAAACACATGGAGGCTTCTAGGACAGTGAAGAAGAACATATCCATGTGTCTAGAGGGTGGCGGAGCCCAATTCCACCAAGATGGAAGCTCCTGGGTGCCACCCTTCCAGACCTCCTGCTGTGTGTCTCTTCATCTGACTGTTGATTTGTATTATTTCAGATATCCTTTATCATCAACATAAGTGTTTCCCTGAGTTCTATGATCCACTGTAACAAATTAATCGAATCTGATGAGGGGGTTGTGGGAACCCTGATTTATAGCCAGTTGGCCATAAGTTCCAGAGTCCTGGACTTGCAACTGGCCGAAGTGAGGGCATTCTTGGAGGCTGAGCCCTCAGCCTGTGGGTCTTGACACTCTTCAAGTCCATAGTGTCAGAATCGATTTGAATTAGAGGATACCCAGGTGGTATCTCCTGCAAAATTGCTTGCTTGCTTGGTCTGTGGGAAAATCCCTTACACTTGTGGTCAGAGAAGCATTCCATGTTGTGAGAGTACATAGGAAGAACTGAGTTTGTTTTTCCTTCTCAGCTACCCACTGAAATTTTTCCTGTTCACGAAGACCCAACTCAAATGCCACCTGTTTCATGAAGCCTTTCACAGGTCTCCCAACCAGAAGTTTCTTCTATTTGAATTGCCATAGCACTCTGAATTTTTTACATTTACCTTATTGCTTTGTATTGTTATTTGTGTCTTATCTCCTCAATAATGTGTAAATACCATGTCTTATTTATCTTTTTTCTGTCACAGATCTTTTCACATAGTAGTTGCTTTCTAAAATACTTAGCACATGAGTAAATGACTATAAAATACTTTTTGCCCTGGGAAGCTAATAATTTAACCAGAGAACAATCTAATTACAGAGTTTTTATATATGCATATAAAGGTTGTTAACAGAAGATAATACATAAAATGCTAAATGCATTAAATCACACTTTTTTAAGAAGTTACTTAACCAACCTCAAGAATTATGAGTAAACCCCAAATAACAGGAGTTAAGTGAGAAAGGCCTCTGATCCACAAAATAGACTGTGCAAAGTCTATGCCTTAAAGTAGAGAGGGTTGATAAACAAGTGACTCCCTCATACCCCACTTAGATACTGTTTACACTTGGTTTACTAACAATTCTAATAAACTTTACTATCTGATTCACTATAGATTAGCAACACATCAAAAAGAGTCAGGCAGTGACCTCAGGAAGACCCCAGGGACTGCAAAGAGGATCACTATGAGGATTGTTTAATTCCAGAGCTCATGCCCTTCTCTTTTGCTCCTGACACACTACACATCACAGAATAATGGCTAGGGATGCACAGTGCCTTCGTTGTAAAAGGTGAGATGGCCCTTCTGTATATAGTACTCTATTTGAGAAGACAGAGAAGATGTAAAATAAATATCAGAAAAATTTCCATCCAAAATGTTTGAAATGTTAAAAAGTGCCAATTCTTTAAAGGGCCATTTTCTGTAAAATCTACATACGTTTATTTTATGTCTGCTGGTTAATAATGCCAGTGATGAGGTGCTACAGTATGGGTCATTAGTGCCCAGTGAGAGAGTCACACAGGCCTGGATAGTTAGGGAAAGCTTCCCAAGGGAGGGTCAATTTGTCCTCGCCTTGAGGAAAGAGAAATGGAATAGGCATAGGTGGAGGACAGTGGCTGGATCCCAGGTGCTCAGTATGTACATGTTGAAGAATGGTTCAACAGTGTTTCTGTTTGGAGTGTGGGCCAGAGAGAGGAAGAGCAATGCCTGGTATTTACTCAAGGGCAGGAAGCAGGGCAGTCAGGGTCAAGATAAAGGCTTATGCTGAGACAAAGAGGATTCAAAATTGAGTGGCCAGGATTAGAAGGTAGAGAACCTGGAATCCAACACTAATGTTTGGATTTTTTTTTTTCCTTAAGAGTACGTGCTCAGGCACCACAGATAAACCTGAAATGTTCTTTCCAAGTGTTTTAAAATTTCATTTTTATTTAAGTTTATTTTTTAGAAACAGTCTTACTATATTGCCCAGGCTGGACTCAAATTCCTGATCTCAAGCAATCTTCCCACCTTAGCCTCTGGGACTATAAGTGCATGCCACAGTGCCTGACTTCTATGATATCTTCTTCTGGTATCTACTATGTGCTAGGCAATATGTTAGCTACTAGAGATATAAAATTAGGTAATGTAACATTGATCAGTGATTCAACAATTAATTCAACAAACATTTATTGAACACTCACTGTGTACCAGTTACTATTCTAGTCTCTGGGGATATATTAAAACAGACTAAAGCTTCTGTACTCAGAGAGTTCATATTTTAGTGGGGAGAGATGGACAAATGAGCATCATGTGTAGTATGTCCAATGGTAATGAGTGCTAAGGAGAAAATAAAGCAGGAAAGGACATGGAGAAGTGGGGTGAGGGTGCATACGGCACTCTCCTGGAGGAGCTCAGGCGCTCCAGGGCAAGACTGCTACATAAACAAAGTCTTCCCATCAAATACCATAGTGCTGATAGTGCCAGTGCCCTGACAGAGACCAGAGGCAGGATGGGAGCACCGTGGGAGCACAGAGAGAAGGACTAGCTAAATCTGCAAAAGTGGCATGGCTTCACCTGGTTGTAACTCTGGAACCAGAAGGAAAAGGGTGTATTTGGCAGATCAAGGGGGAGAGAGCATTTTGGGCCAAGGCACAGAAGTGTGACAGAGTAGATCCAGGAAGGCACATTTGTGACTTCCACGCTAATGGACTTCACAGGTCTGAAGAAACAAGGTGCTGAATGTGGGGGTGTTTCAGGGGAAGGAGAGGCAGGTACAGAGTGTTGAAGCAGGACAGCTCTGTGGGGCGCCTGTTGGCAGTTTGGCATCATGGGAGCATAAGAGAGGAAGCAGGCTGGGATACGGGGGAGAGAGTGGGGATGGGCCTGGAACAGGAGCAGCGCCAAAGCTCAGAGGGCCCTGCATGGCAGGCTTAGAAGTTTAGATTTTGGCCAGTCGCAGTGGCTCACATCGATAATCCCAGCACTTTGGGGGGCTAAGGCAGGAGGATCACTTGAACCCAGGAGTTTGAGACCAGTCTGAGCAACATAGGCTCTGTTTCTACAGAAATTAAAAAAAAAATTATCTGGGTGTTGTGGCTCATGCCTATAGTCCCAGCTACATGGGAGGCTGAGGTGGCAGGATTGCTTGAGCCCAACAGTTTGGGGTTACAGTGAGAGTGAGCTATGATTGTGCCACTGCACTCCAGAGCCTGGGCAACAGAGTAAAACACTGTCTCCAAAAAAAAAAAAAAAAAGGTTCAGATTGTATCTGATGGACAATGGGGAGCCACTGGGTTTTTACGGAGAGGAATAAGATGAGCCAATCTTGACTGCAGTGTGGAGAGTGGTTTGGTGGGTGGGAAAAGTAAAGGCAGGGAGACCAAATGGGAGGCTGGTGAGACCATAGGAAGCCCAGAGAGGCCAATAGCCCTTAGTTAATGCAGCCTTCACAGGCAAAGCTCAATCACAAATGGGGAACCAGGCAGAGGAAGAAGCTCAAGGAGAAAAGGTTAGTTTAATTCTAGGCATGTTGAATGTAAGGGACCTGTAGGATGTGCAGGTGCAAAGAATAATAGTTCACATTACTGATCATTCGTTATGTGTCAGGCACTGTGCTAAGCATTTCATGTCTTATTTATTCCTCACTACAACTGATGATGTAGGTGGATTTTACAAAGAGAAAAACTCAAGCACAGAAAGGTTAACTTGCTTGAGATCAACAGCTGCTAACTGGTGGGGCCAGGCTTTGAACCCAGACTGGCTGAACATAGATTCCTCATTTTTGATCCATAAGCAATACTGCTTTCTAACAGTATAGATTTAGAACTCAGGAGAAGATAGGCTAGTGATAGTGACTAAAGGTTTCAGAGATTACATATAGCTGGCAATGCAGTAGAGAAAAGAACAAGAAGTGGGTAGAGGAATACAGACCGTGTGAAGCAGAGATTAGATAGGGAGTGTGGCAGGGGCTGTTGTTTTGTTTTGACATGAGAAACCCTGAAACCTTTGTATAGACCAGGGAGAAGCAACCAGACGAGTTCAAAATTTAAGAAGGGGTAACTTGTGGGACAAAGAAGATGTGTGATGGAGAGCACAGGTGGAAAGACTAGCCTTGTACAGGTGCAGACAGAGGTGAGACCACCGGTGAGTGCAGGAGGTCAAAGGTGCCTCAGTATTTGCCATGAGGTAGGAGGCAAAAAGCTCTGCCAGAATCAGGGGGGCCAGGAGATACAGTCAGCCAAGAAATAGAGCCAGCTGGGAGAAGACATGTATCTGATGGCTTCTCAGGGCCCTTTGAGAATTTGATTGCCAATGGGATGGAAACTACTGAAAAACCGCACATTTCCCAAATTTTTGCAAAGAGTTTGAATGGGCCCTTCGAATTGAGAAAATTGCCAAGGGACCTAATTGGTTCCTTTCAGGGGCCCTAGACATAGCAGTCTCTAATGGCTCTTCTGTGTCTAAGAATTTTTATCTTTGATGGATTGAGTTTCAGGCAAGGGTAGGATGTCCAAGAGCAAACTTAAAAAAGCAGTTGAGGGCTCTGTTCTGTTCCATTGATCTATATCTCTGTTTTGGTACCAGTACCATGCTGTTTTGGTTACTGTAGCCTTGTAGTATAGTTTGAAGTCAGGTAGTGTGATTCCTCCAGCTTTGTTCTTTTGGCTTAGGATTGACTTGGCAATGCGGGCTCTTTTTTGGTTCCATATGAACTTTAAAGTAGTTTTTTCCAATTCTGTGAAGAAAGTCATTGGTAGCTTGATGGGGAAGACATTGAATCTGTAAATTACCTTGGGCAGTATGGCCATTTTCACGATATTGATTCTTCCTACCCATGAGCATGGAATGTTCTTCCATTTGTTTGTATCCTCTTTTATTTCCTTGAGCAGTGGTTTGTAGTTCTCCTTGAAGAGGTCCTTCACATCCCTTGTAAGTTGGATTCCTAGGTATTTTATTCTCTTTGAAGCAATTGTGAATGGGAGTTCACTCATGATTTGGCTCTCTGTTTGTCTGTTGTTGGTGTATAAGAATGCTTGTGATTTTTGTACATTGATTTTGTATCCTGAGACTTTGCTGAAGTTGCTTATCAGCTTAAGGAGATTTTGGGCTGAGACAATGGGGTTTTCTAGATATACAATCATGTCGTCTGCAAACAGGGACAATTTGACTTCCTCTTTTCCTAATTGAATACCCTTTATTTCCTTCTCCTGCCTAATTGCCCTGGCCAGAACTTCAGAGCCCTCAGAAATAACGCCGCTTATCTACAACTATCTGATCTTTGACAAACCTGAGAAAAACAAGCAATGGGGAAAGGATTCCCTATTTAATAAATGGTGCTGGGAAAACTGGCTAGCCATATGTAGGAAGCTGAAACTGGATCCCTTCCTTACACCTTATACAAAAATCAATTCAAGATGGATTAAAGATTTAAACGTTAGACCTAAAACCATAAAAACCCTAGAAGAAAACCTAGGCATTACCATTCAGGACATAGGCATGGGCAAGGACTTCATGTCCAAAACACCACAAGCAATGGCAACAAAAGACAAAATTGACAAATGGGATCTAATTAAACTAAAGAGCTTCTGCACAGCAAAAGAAACTACCATCAGAGTGAACAGGCAACCTACAAAATGGGAGAAAATTTTCGCAACCTACTCATCTGACAAAGGGCTAATATCCAGAATCTACAATGAACTCAAACAAATTTACAAGAGAACAAACAACCCCATCAAAAAGTGGGCAAAGGACATGAACAGACACTTCTCAAAAGAAGACATTTATGCAGCCAAAATACACATGAAAAAATGCTCATCATCACTGGCCATCAGAGAAATGCAAATCAAAACCACAATGAGATACCATCTCATACCAGTTAGAATGGCAATCATTAAAAAGTCAGGAAACAACAGGTGCTGGAGAGGATGTGGAGAAATAGGAACACTTTTACACTGTTGGTGGGACTGTAAACTAGTTCAACCATTTTGGAAGTCAGTGTGGCGATTCCTCAGGGATCTAGAACTAGAAATGCCATTTGACCCAGCCATCCCATTACTGGGTATATACCCAAATGACTATAAATCATGCTACTATAAAGACACATGCACACGTATGTTTATTGCGGCATTATTCACAATAGCAAAGACTTGGAACCAACCCAAATGTCCAACAATGATAGACTGGATTAAGAAAATGTGGCACATATACACCATGGAATACTATGCAGCCATAAAAAATGATGAGTTCATGTCCTTTGTAGGGACATGGATGAAATTGGAAATCATCATTCTCAGTAAACTATCGCAAGAACAAAAAACCAAACACCACATATTCTCACTCATAGGTGGGAATTGAACTATGAGAACACATGGACACAGGAAGGGGAATATCACACTCTGGGGACTGTGGTGGGGTTGGGGGAGGGGGGAGGGATAGCACTGGGAGATATACCTAATGCTAGATGACGAGTTAGTGGGTGCAGCGCACCAGCATGGCACATGTATACATATGTAACTAACCTGCACAATGTGCACATGTACCCTAAAACTTAAAGTATAATAAAAAAAAAAGCAGTTGAATGGTGGGATTTTCTAGTAAATAGCCTTGCCTGGGTTTGAGAGTGTAGTATACAAACAGGAAACAAGCTTGTTCTGTGGAAAGCCACTGGCCCACAGGAGCCTAAGCAAGCAGTCATGGTCTGTGGACCAAGTGTACTGACTCCCAGGCGCGCCAGTCACTGGTGTCCCGCCAGGCTTCTCTGCAGGCCCTGGCAGGCAGGCCCACTCCCAGGCCCAGTGGCTAGTGTTACCTTGGGGATTGGGAGGGACCCAATGTCAGATAGAGATCTCAGGTCGCAAAAGTGGGATCCTGCCAAGACTACAGCCAACCCCTCACTTTGGCAGCCTTGTTGTCATTGAAAAGGATACAAGTCAAGCAGAGAGAGAGTCTGATAAAGATACCAGTCAGTGCATGTGGCCTTAGGGCTGCTGGGTGCTCCCCAGATGATTCCACTTGCTGGGGCAGTGCAAAGGATCACACTCAGGGCCAGTCATGGGCAGAGCTGCACCAGGCTAATACCACCTTCTGGAGACCCAGAAGTTTCTTCTCTAGTGTTGTTTATTTCATCTGTGGCATCATCATCAGTAATTCATTAAACTATTTATGAGAAACACTTGAATAACACACCACATACAGTGTTGAACTAATTATTTGGACTGACACCAGGTGGCATTATTTCCCCAGGGTGAACCAGCCTCCAGAGCTTCTGGCCCAGGCTGAGACTCTTTCTGGCTGTGGAGGAAACGCAGGCATGCAAGGAAGGCCTTGGCTCCTGGTCTGCAAGCAGTCCACCCTGCCCTCCCTTCTGAGTTACAAGTGGTCTCCATGGGAGCTGCAGAGAGGAGGGCTAGGTCTGGGCATGGTAGGACAACACTGTTAACCCACCTTAGCAGTCAGACTTTGTATTAATCATGCCTATTTATTTTCTGGATTTCTGATGCTTTGACATCTGGAGGCCTGCTTCCCAGGGTTAGTTAGTTCCTAGTGATAGTAAAGGCTCACCCATAAGCATCCTTTTCGTGTGCAAACGAATCAATCCAGACCCTGTACCCCAACCAACTCCTTTACTGAGCTCTTGCAGGGGTCAGATACTGGGCCATTATCCCCCTGCCCAAATCACTCCAGGGTCATATACCAGAAAAATAGAGACAGTCCTTACACCCCAGAGCCTGCTGATGTTATTTAAACTAGCCAATCCTAAGCCTGCTTACCCTGCTTGGCCTGTTTCTTCCCATAGGGACCACAATAAAAGCTCTTGCCCATGTTTCCTGCCTGCTCTGTCTGCCTCTTGGCCGACTGTGGTGCGTCCCTGTGTGGCCTTGCACAGCATGGCATGCATTCTCCCCTTAGGAACTATGAGGAACCAACTATCTTTTCAATGGCAATTGTCTCCTGATCTGTTGGCCTCACCATACCCCAGTATAATAAAACCTACTTTTTTTTTTTTTTTTAAGATGAGTCTCGCTGTGTTGCCCAGGCTGGAGTGCAGTGGCATGATCTCGGCTTACTGCAACCTCTGCGTCTCAGGTTCAAGCAATTCTCCTGCCCTCAGCCTCCCAAGTAGCTGGGATTACAGGGATGCACCACCACACCCAGCTAATTTTTGTATTTTTAATACACACGGGGTTTCACCAAGTTGGCCAGGCTGGTTTCGAACTCTTGACCTTAGGTGATCCGCCCCCCTTGGCCTCCCTAAGTGTTAGGATTGCAGGCATGAGCCACCATGCCCCCGATAAAACCTACATTTTAAAAAAGGGTTTGTATTCAATCTTCACTGATTTGTGAACTATATAAATGAACAGACAGAAGCAATTAATATTTATTGTGTTTTTACAATGTGTCAGGCATTGTAATAGTCATTTTTATCTATTACTTATTTAATGGTAATTTCCAAAATCAAGTAGGTTAAATAACTTTACCAATGTCACAAGACAGGCTAAACTCAGGTCTTCTGGTTCGCAGCTCAGGACTTTCCTACCACACTATTTGTAGATAACTAAGACAAATCTCTTTTCTTTTTCTTTTCTTTCTTTCTTTTTTTGTTTGAAAGAGATGGGGTCTTGCTATGTTGCTCAGGTTGGTTCAAACTTCCCCCCGCCAGCCTCTCAAGTAGCTATGACTATAGGTATGTGCCACCATGCCCATCAGATTTCTTTCTTCTTTTCTTTCTTTTTTTATTTTAGTTGGTTTTTGAGATGCAGTTTTGCTCTTGTTGCCAAGGCTGGAGTGCAGTGGCATGTTCTTGGCTCACTGCAACCTCCACATCCCAGGTTCAAGTGATTCTCTTGCCTCAGCCTCCTGAGTAGCTGGGATTACAGGTGCCCACCAACACATCCAGTTAATTTTTTGTATTTTTAGTAGAGATGGGGTTTTACTGTGTTGGCCAGGCTGGTCTCAAATTCCTGACCTCAGGTGATCCACCCTCCTTGGCCTCCCAAAGTGCTGGGATTACAAGCGTGAGCCACCCTGCCCAGCAGATTTCTTTTTGTTGTTTCTTTATTCCTCTTTCTTTCCCTAATTAATGATCACTGTCCAATCCTCACCACCACTTTTCTACCTATCCTTTTCTTAAAAAAAAAAAAATTCCTCTGCAGCATTATTTGTTTGTTTCCTCCCCTCCCAGGTGAAAATATGAAAGACAAATAAATTGTAAGTTACAGAATAAAACAAAGTTCTTAATTTTAATTACAAATGTTTTTAAGTTTGGATCTTAATATTTTTATATTTTTAAGTTTAACAATACAGTCTTCAAACATGTACTTTGTTTTAAATGTTTTTTTAAAAAAACATGAGGGCCACAATAGACTAACAGGGCCAGATTTATTCTCCCACCTGAAATAACTATGAATTAGGACAAAATATAGGAAACAACAGGATTCCAGAAATTGGACATCAGGTAACAGAAGACCACGATTCCTGAGAGACTGAAAACAAATTAGGTATTCCCTACAGTTGTCACAGCTTGCTGTCTAGAGGGAATTTTTAGGTTGTACAGGGAGAGGAAACCCAAGTGGAGACTATTGATCTCCTTGCCTTGAAGAGGGAGGCCTAGGATCTCAGGGAGGCCAAGGAGACTAGAGTTTGCAGGACAGAGTAACAGAGATGAGAGGGCTGCAGAGAGAGAAAACCCTGGAAATCCACAGCAAATCCCCTCAAGCATTCAGCTGAGTCCTGTTGAGTGCAGATGTGTGAGGAGAGAATCCTCTGAATGGATAAGAGGGAACAGTACCTAGAACTCACACAGGAATGTAAATAGTGCCTGTTATGACCAGCCAGGCTGAAAAACCTCAGTTTGTGGAGCACTGGGTAGTGTAATCAGAAAGGTATTCCCTCAGTAGTGGGACAAAAAGCCCCCTAGTTGAAACATTGCTCAGGTTGTGCCAAACAAAGCTTAGAAGCAAGACCTGAAAGTGTCAAACTCTTTCTAATAACTCTGTATTACAGAACAAAGTTCAAGGATATTTATGAAATGCACAAATATCTGTCACCCAATAAAGCAAATTTACAATGACTGAGATCCTATAAAAATTACCAAACATATAAAGAAGTATACAGGAGAAAGTGAGCCATAACAGGGAGGACAATATATCAACTGAAACTCACAAAACTGACATAGATGATAGAAGCAGAAAAACAAAATCAAAATGGTCATCTTAAGTTGTATCTCATATATTCAGAAACTTAGGTGAAAGATTAAACATGATAAGTAGAGAAACGAAAGACATAAAACAAACCCAACAGCATGGTAGTGGGTTCATTGGGGGCCCTTCTCTGTGGGCCTCATAGCGTACCCATGCCAGTGTAAACTTGAGCCTTGAACCATTGCCCAGCCTCCTTCCCATGGGCTGTGTGTAGCGAAGGGGGTTGCACAGTGTCAAACAAGCAAAAAAATCCAAGTTGAGCTTCTAGAGATGAAAATTATAATTTCTGAAATAAAAATTACACTAGATAGGATTAACAAAAGGTAAGACATTGCAGAAAAAAAATTAATAAACTTGAGGACATAGCAATAGATACTATCCAAAATGAAACACAGAGAAGGCCAGGCACGATGGTTCACACCTGTAATCCCGCACTTTGGGAGGCTGAGGTGGGCAGATCACGAGGTCAGGAGTTCGACACCAGCCTGGCCAACATGGTTAAACCCCATTAAAAAATACAAAAATTAGCTGTCTGTGGTGGCAGGTGCCTGTAGTCCCAGCTCCTCAGGAGGCTGAGGCAGGAGAATTGCTTGAACATGGGAGGCAGAGGTTGCAGTGAGCCGAGATTGCGCCACTGCCCTCCAGCCTGGGCAACAGAGTGAGACTATGTCTCAAAAAAAAAAAAAAAGAGACATAGAAAAAAATTGAAAAGTGAGTCATGGGTATAATATACATGTACTAGGGGTTTCCCAGGAGGGGGATAGAAAAAATACATGAAGAAATAATGGCTCCCAACTTTCCAAATATCATGAAAATGATAAACTCTCAGATTCAAGAAACTCAATGAAACTTGAAGAAAATTGCTCAACAACATCAAATTGCTCAAAGCCAGTAACAAAGGGAAAAACATTTGGGGGGATGAGGGGCACAGGGAATGGAGACATTACATACAGAAGAACTAAGAGAAGAATAACAGCAAATTCATCATCAGAAACAATGCCAGCATGAAGACAATGGAGTAACTTCTTTAAAGTACTGAAAAAAAAAATGTCAGTTTAGCATTCTACACAATATACTTTTATATCCACTGAAAATATCTTTCAAAAATGAAGGCAAAGTAGATAAATTTTTAGACTTAAAAAATCTGAATGTATTAATCACCAGCAAGTTTATGCATCTTCTGCAATGTCTAATCAGTTGTTAATCCCATTCAATGTTTTTTTTTTAAATTTCAGACATTGTAATTTTTAATCCTTAAAGTAAGTTTTATTTTGGTCTCTTTTATATCATCCATGTTTTTACTTAATTTTTTGGAATAACTATTTTAATGCCTTTGACTGCTAAATTTAACATCACTATTAATTCTGTGTCATTTTCAGATTATTTATTTACCCCCTTATTTTAGTTAATATTTTCCTGCTTTTCATGTTTTGTAATTTTTTACTGGATGCTAGACATTGTTAATTTTACCTTGTGTGCTGGATATTTTTGTATTTCTATAAATGTTCTTGAGCTTTGTTCAGGGATGCAATTAAGTTACTTGGAAACAGTTAGATCCTTTCAGGTATTGCTTTTAATATATGTTAGGTGGGACCTGAGTCATATTTAGACTATGGCTCATTATTTCTAAACACTGAGGAAGATCTTTTGGAGTACTCTACCCAATGCCCCCTGAATTGTGAGGTTTTCCAGCCTGGCTGGTATGATTAGGTACTATTCCTAGTCACTGTGAATGCCGTGTACTGTTTCCTCTAATCCTTTTGGGTAGTTCTTTCCTCAGTCTCAGATTGTTTCCCCTCACCCACGCACTGATCAGTATCCTGTAGAATACTTGAGAGAGACCCTCTGCAGATCTCAGTTTTCTCCCTCTGCAGTTGTTGACTTTCTGGTACTCTCTACCGAAAACCCTAGCTACCTTAGTTTCCCTGGACTCTCAGCTCTGTCTCCTCATCAGATAGTATTCTAGGCTTTTCCTGGGTTTGCTTTCCCTGAACCAGAGCCAGGAACTCTCCCAAAGGAGTATACCTGGGCAATCATAGGTCTCACTTTGTTTGTTCTCTATCTCTCAGGAATCACTGTCTTTTGTTGACTAATGTTCAGGGTACTGAAAATAATCATTTTGCATATTTTGTCCAGTTTCTTGGTTTCTGGCAGGAGTGTAAATGTGGTCACTATTATTCTGTCTTGGTTAAAAACAGATGTCCTAGATCATTTAACATTAATTATAGATGTGGTTGGCTTTACATTACCACATTGCTATTATTTTCCTTTGTTTGATTTGTTCTTTTCCTGCCTTTGGTTGTATTAGTTATTTCTTTGATTTCATTTTATATCTATTATTAGTTCATTTAGTTATACTCCTTTTTAACTTTTTCAGTGGTTGGCCTTGGGTAGCTAATATACATTTTTTATCTTATCTTTCTTTCAATAGTATTATACCAGTTCATATGTAGTATAAGAAACAACAATATATTTACAATTTCTCCTTCCAATTATTTTGTGCTGTTTTTGTCATATAGTTTACTTTATTTTACAAACTGTACAATGCATTGTTATGCTTTTTATCTTTAGTTAGTCAAATATCTCATAATGCAATCAACAAATAGAATGTCTTTTATATTTATCTTAATGTTTACCTGTTTGTGCTCCTCCATTCCTTGATTATATTCAAGTTTCAATTTGGTTATCATATTCCTTTTACATAAAGAACTTATAACTTAACATTTCTTATAGAACCAAGTCTGCCTGAAATTAATTATCCTAGATTTTGTTTGTCTAAAAAAGTCATTATCTTACCTTCATTCTTGAGATATTTTTTTCTGGGTACAAAATTCTTGACTGAAAGGGATTTTTTCCTCAATTTTTAAAAGATATCACTTCATTTTTTTTTCTGGCTTGTATAGCTTCGTACAAGAAGGTTGTTGTATTTCTAATCTTTGTTTCTCTATATGTGTTTATTTTCTCTGGCTTCCTTCAAGATGTTCTCTTCGTCTTTGGTATTTAGCAGTTTGGCAATGATGTGTTTAGGTGTTTTAAAAGTGCATCTACTGCTTGGGGTTCTCTGTATCTCTTAGATCTGTTGTTTCATGTATTTCATTTTTTAAAAAAAAATTATTATGTCTTTAAATATTTCTTCCACTTTGTCCTCTTTCTCTTCTTCTAGGATTCAAATTACATATATGTTAGGCCATTTGATATTGCCCTATAGCTTTGAATACTTTGATCTTTTTTTTCATTCATTTATCTCTTTGTGTTTTAGTTTTAATAGTTTCTATTGACCTGCTTTCAAGTTTGCTGTTTCTTTTCTCAGCTGTGTCTACTTTACTCATCGGCTTGTGAGAGGAATTCATCCCTGATATCATGGTTTTAATTTCTAGCAGACATTTTCTCTCATTTCCATTTTTCTGCTGAAATTTCCAGTTCATGGATTTATATTTTCCCATGGAGCCTTTAACATATTGTTTAGTTAGGTTAAAATTTCTGTCTGATAGTTCCAATGTCTGGATTTCTCTGATTCTGGTTTTGTTGATTCCTTTACCTCTTGAAGGTAGGTTGTTTTCTCTTGCAATTTTGTCTGTCTTACAATTTTTTTGTTGAATGCTATACCTCATGTGTAGAAGAACAGTAGAAACTGAGGTAAATAATATTTATAACTTGTTAAGATTCATAGACCTGGCAGGAGGTTTTGCACAAACCCAGCTACCAGAGTATGAGTCTGGCAAGGTAGAAAACCCACACAAGTCTGAGAAAGCAACTTGTTACTCACCAATAGGCAGCAAGAATCAACAGAAGCCTAGGATCCATGGTGAGCCAGTCCTCCAAGGCTCAGGAAAGCTGTCCACAGCAGATGGAGTCTTATCTGCATGTGTCCCACTTTGTACCAAAGCTAAGGGACTCCAAAATCATGGCATTCTGGGTTTCACTCCCCAGGGGAAACCTGGATCACTGTGCACAAGTGTTGTAGGACATCCTGTTCTAGGAGAAATGAGGACAAAGCCCAAGCTATTCTGGACAGGTACTTCTTATCTCAGCATATTGCTTTCTCAGAACATTGTTCCAAATTGCAAGCAAGAGGAGGAAGAGCTGGGTTAACCAAGGTCATTTGGGGACCTGTCCTGCACACCTGGAAATAGAAATGCCTCTTCTATTCTTAGGCCATTAGTGTGTATGTAGGAATGGGAGATGGGAGTTGAGCTAGACTAGTCAGGAGTTGAACTGGTTTGAGCTTCAAATTCTTCTAGCAGTAGGATGCCATTACCATCTGCTTAGTGTGGGTCTGGGGTGCTAGTGAGTTTCTCCTGGTGTTTCTGCTACCCCTAAACGTTTCACTGTTCTTGAGTGCTTACACCACAGAAGGGAGTCTCTCTTACTGCTACTCCCCTGTCCTCAACAGTAGAGGTCTTGTTACTCAGTGCTAGGCTCATGGTATGGCAGGAGATTCTCTTGTCCTGGACTGGCCTCAGTCTTAGGTAGACCCTGAGCACCTGGGACTGGGGATGAGGCTTTATTGATCTTCCTGCACTCCTCATTGTGGTAGGGAAACTCTGTTTTGTATTTGTTGTTACTCCTGGGTGGAAATGGACTGCCACATCCCAGCTGTGCAGTACTATTCTTGGTGTCAGCATAGGATTCTGGACCCAAAAGGTTTCCTGCCTTCCCTAGGAGTAAAGGGCTTTTTGCTTCTACTCTTCCAGCAACAATGACTCTTTGCCCACGTCCTGGGAAATGGTTTCCTACCTTCTCCAGAGAAAGATGGGTTTTACTTTATTATTTTCCAAAAAGTCATGGTTCTAAATGGCTCACTACCTGTTCCCAAGTGGCATCATGCTTTTTTGTTTCATAGAAGAAAAGAGTCCAGAGAAGTAAGTAAGCAGGCTGTGTGCCTGTCCCCCAGCTATTCATTGCTTATACCATCCCCCTTCCCCTGCAAATGAGGAGGCTCTCGCCAGTCTCTGCCTGCCTCCAATCTTTGAGGCTCATGGAGAAGAGCTTGCCAGGGAGAACAAGCTCTCCTTGTGTCCAAAGCCCCCAGCCATTCCAAGCTGACATGCTGGTCCATCCTGGGCCCCTAAGAATTTGCTTTTTCTTACTCGCTTGTTTGGCAGCCATGTCTTTCTCCCATGCTCTGCCAAAGGAGGGACTGTATGTGTCCGATCTTGCTTTCAAGGGTCTCGTCCCTCTCTGGAATTTGGTTTACTTGGTGCCTCTCTCATGGGCTCCATAAAACCTGTAACTTTGTAGCTTATCCAGCTTTTCCTTATTGTAGAGTGGGAACCTCATTCTTTCCCACTTTCTTCATCCTGAAAGGAAGTCCCATTTTCTTATCATGGGATTCTCTCTTTGTTCTCAATGACCAGTAGAGGTGAGTTTTTCATTTTACACACAGGAAGCTAAGCTCTCAGAGAGGTCTTGTTCCTTGACTGGCAGATGATGAGGCTGGGACACCTCAGCTATAATGAAGATGGTCTTCATTAGGATGGGGGAGCAGGAAGCCATGGAGAAAGCCTGAGGTTCCTGGGAGGTGAGAAAGCATGGGAAATAGAGACCCGCCCCACCAAGAGCGCAAGGGTCATCAAGACACACACCTCTATCAGAGGCAAGAATACATCCAGCAACCAAGAATAAAAACCCTGACTGAATGGATTTCTGAAATACCCCTGATCAGGAGTGGCCCCCGACACAGAGTGAGGAAGGACTGTGAGATGACTGTGATGAGACCTTCTGCCACTAGTATGGTTTGGCTGTGTCCCCACCCAAATCTTTTCTTGAGCTGTAGCTCCCAGAATTCCCATGTGTTGTGGGAGGGACCTGGTAGGAGATAATAGAATCATGGGGGCGGTTTCCCCCACACTGTTCTTGTGGTGGTGAATAAGTCTCATGAGAGCTGATGGTTTTATAAGGGGAATCCCCTTTCACTTGGCTCTCATTTTCTCTCTTGTCTGCTGCCATGTAAGATGTGCCTTTCACCTTCTGCCATGATTGTGAGGCCTCCCCAGCCACATGGAACTGTGAGTCCATTAAACGTCTTTTTCTTTATAAATTACTCAGTCTTGGGTATGTCTTCATTAGCAGCATGAAAACAGATGAATACAGCCACAGTTCACTGCATGCAGGATCAAGGACCACCAGGCTCTACCTTCACAGCTGTGCTTTCCCCAGCACTCTCCCACCCATCCACCCCCACCATACACAGTAAAGATGCCCCAGCCTGCTAGCCATTCCTCAAACACAGGCTCCCTTTCCTGCTGTTATTACCTTCTTTGAGGTGTTTCCTTAATTGTTCTGCCCTTCTCCCACAAGGCCACCTTCTCTTGCCAGTTCTGCACGTCCAAAACTCAGGATGGGGAAGAAAACCTCTGTGCACTTGGGTGTGTCCAAGAGCGCGAGCAAGTATGTGCATCATGTGTGTGAAATAAAAGAAAGGGTGTGGGTATGAATGACAGCAAAGGTGTGAGACAGCTCAGAGGGCACAAGAGGAGAGGAGAAGCAGAAAAAATGGAATTGCTGATCTTATTACAATTTAGAACAGGCTTGGAGAGATGTGTCTCTGTCAGCACTAAAGTTTTCAGGTAAAATGCAAATGTCTAGCTCCAAGTGAGACAGAATTAGCATCGAGGGTAATCGTGACAGCACACATTGTGACAGCACACGTTGTGACAGCAGTTTGGAAAGCACTTGCTGAGGTGTCCTCTTTTGAGCCTATAACCACCCTACAAAGCGACAGAGCAAGGCTGGGTTCAAAGGAGTGTCATGTCTTGTCCAAGTCACCCGGTGAGTATGCTGTAGAGAGGAGCTCAAATCCAGGTGTTCTGAGTACAGATCCAGGGTTCTACTCATTACCTAGGTGACCACTGATGTTGTACAGGAGAGGAATGCTCCTCCAGTATGACTGTATGAAAAGGGGCATGGTGAGGCACCCTGTGCTGCAGATGGAGTGAGCAGAGAGAGGATGGAGGCACCTATGTGATACGGCTTGAAGGTTTGGGGAAGGTCTACTGCTGAATGTATGAAATTCCACCATCAAGGATTCAACACTACCATATTCTCCATACTATCTTTTAAAATGCAAACACTGTCTGGGCATGGTGGCTAACACCTGTAATCCCAGCACTTTGGGAGATCGAGGCAGGAAGATTACTTGAGCCTAGGAGTTTGAGACCAGCCTAGGCAACATAGTGAGATCCCATCCCTACCAAAAATAAAAATTACCTGGTGTAGTGGTGCGTGCATGTAGTCCTAGGTACTTGGGAGGCTGAGGCAGGAGGATGGCTTGAGTCCAGAAGGTTGAGGCTGCAGTGAGCTGTGACCAGGCCAGTGCACTCCAGCCTGGGTAACAAAAGAAAAGAAAGTAAAAATAAATAAAATGCAAATATTTTTAGGAAGAATAATGTGTTTTATTCCGTTGGTTTGGCTTTATATTACAATAAATAATAGAATAATTCCTGCAATGCCTTCTTCTATTTTAAAAAATGGATAAACAATTGAATCAGAACTGATTTCAAATCCTGACTCTACCAGTTATCAGCAATGAGCACTGTGAACCTTTTATTTGTAGTTTTGAATCGTTCTGATTATTCACTTCCTCATCAGAAAAATGTGATATTCATCTTACAAATTTGTTGTGAGGGTGAAATAAAATAATGAACATAAAATGCTTCCCACA